>NC_000023.11:56975299-57291355 GCF_000001405.40 Homo sapiens | reverse complement strand
TTAAAACTGAAACCTAAAATGGTATGATACATGAGGATGCTGTAACAGTCATATACTTTTCTGTTTTAATAAAGCTGGCAAATACATGAAGCATATACTACAAATACAAAGAGAAGTTGACCAGATGTATAAGTACAGTAGTAAACAATATAGCTCCCTCAGAGACTCACAGACCAAGGAGTAAAAAGTGAGGATATATCCAAGAATTTAATAATACAACCAACATGCTCAAATGCATAGTGAGGGAGAATTTTTACTCCATCAAGAATATGTTCTTTATTCATCAATCATTAACAAAAAATAATCATGTCACACAAAGCAAATCTTAAATCCCAAATGGTTTTAGAGAATTTCTAAGTCAATTTGACAAATTATCATATCCAGAAATATTAGAAACCCAAAATTAAACAGTGATATTTAGAAGGCTTAATTATTTCAAAAACATTCTTCCATATAACCAATGGATCTAAGAGGTAAACAAAACTAAAATGGCAAATTATCAGGAAATTCACAAAAAGAGGATCATTTCTTATCAAATATATTGATTGTGGCTAAAATTGTCCTAATATGCTTTTATTTATAAAAAGTAAGACAATATATAAGGTATTCAACTTAAAATAATAGAAAAATAAAGCAATTTTTTTAAAGAATAACAAGATCAAGATAAAATTTAATAACAGAAATAAAATAGGAACAGTAACAACAAAACCAGTATAAAAAGATGAACTAACTTTTAAATATCTATCAAATGGATAAACTGCAACAAGCATGATGGAGAAAGAGTGTGTGCAGAAAAATGGTTAGTATTAAGAATGAAAAAATAAGGTACAACCATAGATACAGGGGAGATTTATGAAATTATAAAAGAAAGTTACATGTACTTTTTCTTTTGGGTTAACTCTACTTGTCCTTTAGAATTATGCGTCTAGTAGGTTTTCAGTAAATGTTTGTTAAATGCATGCACAGACAGAGATTTCAGCCACCATAACTCAATAGTCTAGTGTATACAGAGCTCTAGCATTAAGAGCCTGGATTGTCAAGCTGATGTCTAGTACCTGGTCACTCCATCAACGTATACAACCCCAAAGATCTTCAACTGCCACTGCTACCGTAATTGAGTTTGTAGCATGCAGCACGTGAGAAAAAAAAAAAAAAAAGCAGGGGTTAGAGGTAGAAGTTAACATGACCATAATTGCCATTTGCTAAATACTTATTATATGCCAAGAACTTTATATATATTATGTCATTAAATATTCCTAGCAACACATGTAATGTTATCCCCATTTTACAGATGAAGTCATTGAGGCTCACTGAGGTTAAGTGACTTAACCAAAGTCACATAGCTGAGCCTGGATATTTGTGTTTGCTTATTCCAAATGAACCTTGCTGTCGTAAGAGAAATGAAGACTAGGTACATCGTTAGAAAATCCATTCACTACAGAAAAGTACAAATGAAAAGTGAAAGCTTCTCACTCTCTCTCTCTTTCCCTCCCTCTCTCCCTTATTCCCTTCTCCCCTCTCTTCAGCTCTCTCTCCCTTCTTCACACAAAAGGAATCATATTATATTCATTGTTCAGTACCTTATATTTTTACCACGTAACATAATTCAGAACTATTTACGTATCTGTTCCTTTAGATCAACTTCATACTTATTTTTTATTACTTATCTAAAAACTGAAAATACTTTTTTCTAATTTTCTAAAGTATTGATTATATTTATTATAAATAGGTAACATGAGCACACGTTTCAAAAATCTGAAAGTAAAAAAGATCATGCAATGAAGCCTCTTTCCACCCTTGTCTCCTAACAAAGGAGATGAATAAAGGGTGGGACTTACGGTTTCAAAACCTCATTGACTTTCGGATCATCAACAAAATCAAATATCCAAATGACCAGGCTATGTATGATGGTGGCCATAAGTTGATGTATTTTTGGCAAGGCCCAACCTTGGATACCAACTGAGGCTGTGGAGGTTCAGAAGACATAGTGGTAGCCTGAATTCTGAATAATAGAAGAGTAATCATAGGGACACAAAAGCAAGCAAAAGACAGTAGACACTGACTCACAGGAAACTGACTGTTCAATCAGAGCTCGTTATCAAGAAGCATACTCTTCCATAAAGTGCCAACAAAAATTGAGTAAGATTTACCTGGCTCTACCACTTTCTAGCTGTGTGGCATTGGACAAGCTATTAGAAAGCTCTAAACTTTATTTTCCTTCTCTGTAAGATGATGATAATCATATGTACCTCAAAATGTCATTATGAAGATTCAATTTACAAAAATCTAAGTAAAATGTTTGCCTTATCAAGTGGCACATGGTAGGTGTTTAAGAAATTTAGTTGTTTTGCAGTAACAATATTTCCATGTTTAAAAATGTCAGAAACTAAGGGATAAATAAAACTTTGTATCCACTCCACTTCTCCCCTTCAGAACATTTTTATAAATCTAGATAAACTATATCTAGATCATCTCATCTCATGGGCAAGCATGAATAAAAAATGGCTAGTTACCAAAAACTTGATGATAGTAATAATAGTAATAGTTAACATTTATATAGGATTAGTATGCCAGACAATATTCTATAAGTTTTACATATATGAATTCATTTAATTCATCACAATAACTCTAAAAGGTAGATTCTATTATCAAATCCATTTTTCTTAAAGGACATCAGAGACACAAAAAGTTAAGAAATGCTTTTAAGGCCGGGCGCAGTGGCTCACACCTGTAATTCCAGCACTTTGGGAGGCCGAGGTGGGTGGATCACGAGGTCCGGAGATCAAGACCATCCTGGCTAACTCGATGAAAACCCGTCTCTACTAAAAAATACGAAATATTAGCCGGGCATGGTGGCGGGCGCCTGTAGTCCCAGCTACTCGGGAGGCTGAGGCAGGAGAATGGCGTCAACCCGGGAGGCGGAGCTTGCAGTGAGCGAAGATCGCACCACTGCACTCCAGCCCAGGCGACAGAGCGAGACTCCGTCTCAAAAAAAAAAAAAAAAAAAAAAAAAAAAAGAAATGTTTTTAAGATCACAGAGCTAGATCGTAGAAAAGCTAGGATTTCTGAACCCAGGGAGTCTGACTCTAGAGTCCATCCTTCTAATCATTATGTTACACAATCTTCTATGTGCCAGGTTCTTGATATGTATTATCTGCTATTGGTGTGGCACAAGGTCACAGAGCCATGAACAGACAGTCCAAAATTTGAAATATATCATCTTTCTACTATTAGGTTGGTGCAAAAGTAATTGTGATTTTTGCCATTAAAAGTAATGTCAAAATCTCAATTACAAAATCACAATTACTTTTGCACCAACCGAATACATCCCATTGCCTCCCTAACTGGTAGAAAAGCATGCATGAGTGGGTAGAGGCTGGGGAGGGGGTACGGCAAGAAGACAGGATATGTCTTTGAAAGGTAACCAGGAGTACAATACAAATATTAATAATTCATACATTCAGGAGCACATACTGAGATAGTATTTGCTGCATGCCTATTCTTTGTTAAGTAGTATTGTAGATTCTGGAAATAAAGCAATGACGAAAAACAAATGAAACAGCAGAGAGGTGAAAACAAGCAGAGTATAAATAAACAATACTAGACTGTAGCTCAAGATCTCCAGGTAACCAATCACTTATATGACAGAGATGAATAGTCCTGCCTGCACAATTCTATAGAGAACGAATGAGCTGCTTAATTTTTTTAATTTAGAACTTTCAACAATTTTTGTGCAAATCATTTTACTTCAGTTTCCTTATGCATAAAATATGAATATTGCCTATATAACTGCATCCGTGAAATAGAATATGTTTAAGTACCCAGGCAGAGTATTTCACATATACTATGCAATAAATATATGGTAGACGCAGCTTTTACTATCCTAGACCAAGTACTACTTTTACTTTAAATCAATTTTAAAAAGAATTGGTTGAATGGTAAGCAGCAGGTTGATCTGGGGCCTGTGAGAGACGGAAGAATAGAGAGAGAGAAAGGGAGAGGGAGAGAGAAAGAGAGAGACTGACTTTCCATAGCTGAGAATCAGTTTGAAATTCACACCTGCTTTACCCCACACACAGTAATTATGCACAAATAGGACAAATGGATAGGAAGGACTATGACGGTACCAAAATAGTCCAACCCATGCCCACAGTAAATGTCCTTGGTAAAAATAAACGTACTACAACACCCAGAAGTCTCCCTTCATCCCCAATAAATGCCTCTCCTAAGTCGCCCTAGTAGAGAATGGAAAGGAAACCACAACCACCGCCACCACTAAGCTTCCTGGATCCTGCTAAAAGACCTGTCCCTCCAGCCTCTTCTGAATTGCATTCTCACCTTTCTCTGTCGGATCAGCTTGGCCAGCTGCATCCCCGAAAGCAGAAGCAATGGTTCAGTCACCGGCCGAGGGGTCTTTGAGGCAAACTTTGGACCCCCTAAGACTAAAGCTGCTCGGCCTACTAAGCCTATGAGAAAGCCTAGCGCCCGCAAGAGGAACAACTGAATGCGGGCGGTAAATGAAGGTGCCATCGCAGCCTGGATTCCGCACGGTCCTAGTGCTTGAGGGTTACGTGCACCCTGGGGAAAGGACGAGAAAAGTACTAAGCAAAGAGGGACTTATGAAGCTTTTCGTTTACAAGTCCAGTGTCTACCCACAATTCCACAGGAGCTTGTTTATCATCACCTGCAGGGCTCCTAGCCAGAGATGGGGGCGGAGACTTCCCAGCAGCTGCCTGTGTGCAATGCTACCTGTCGTTAGTGCTGTTGTAACCCAAGACAGAAAATGCGTCATAAGAAAGAACACTGGCCTTGGAATTCCCCAGTTCTGCTACTGTGTAGCCCTGGCCAACCTACACTATATCTCCTAGTCAGTTTACTCATAAGAAAAAAAATGGGAATAACTACTCCTATATCAAAGGGTTACCATAAACACTAGATAATAAGTAAAAACATTTAGCACAATTTATGGTAAATAGTATAAGTGGTAGTTGTTATAGTTTATTTCAGCTGTGCTTGTGAAAAAAGTGTTGTAAGTATACCTTTGTATGCAAATATTCAGTATGCTCAACAAACAACTAAATGGCAAGTATATATATATTTTCCATATGCATATTATTTAATCCTTATAAGATCACTAACAGGTAGTACTGATGAACATCAAATCTCCAGCCCATCTGTCTCCTAAACTGGACACTTGAAATGCCTTTTTTGACATATCCATGTGAATGTCTTCCAGATCGTTCAAACTCAACAAGTCCAAAACTCATCCTTTTGTCCCCCAGACTGCTGCCCCTACAGGTCTACAAATGGAATTTTCATCCACCCAGTCAGCCATGCCAAAAATCTAGAATCACTTCAGATTCTTCCATTTCTCTTATTCTCATGACAGAATCCAGCCCTTCCTTCTCAACTCAGTCTGGCTCAGATCTCACTGAGGTTTACATGAACTTCTACAAATAATCTAGCTGATCACTCTGCCTTTATTTATAGAGTGTTCTTTCTAATATGTAAATCTGACAATATTACACCCCTGCCAATAACTCCGCAATAATTCTCCATTTTCCACAGATTCAAGACCCATCTACTTTGTCCAGCATTCGACTCTCATGACTGGTGTCTGAAAAACTCTATGCTTCATCCCTAACCCCTTCTATCCCTCACATGCTAAGCTCCTGACAAACAACTATCCGAAAGTTCTCTCTTCCCTCCTTATCTTTGCATCTGCTTTCCCAACCTCTTCATCTAGTTCAGGACAAGTACCACCTCCTCCAGTAAGTCTTCCCTGAACTTACAACTGGGTGTGATGCCACTCTTTTGTAACCCTGCACTCCACAGATTAACAAAATCATAGCACTTACAACCCTCTGTTATGTGTTAGGTTTTTGTGTCTATGCCCCATCTAGATATAAACTCCTCGAAGAACAGGGTCATTCTAATTCCTCTTTGTATTGCCAGAGCCTGACATAGGGCTTGATGAGAAGTCAATACAGGTTTGTAGGCTGAAGGTATGTGATTATGAGATAATGAGCGTTGAAGATAGGGATTCGAGCTTGGCATTTAAGGTCTTGGGTAGGTGAAATGACAACGTCATCCAGGTCACTGTCTTTTCACCTGCAGAACTTAGGTTGATACTGAAAGTGTCATCACAGCACTTCTAGCCTAATTCAAGCACCTGGTAGAAAGCAGGTTAATCATGACAGGCACATCTAGCAGATCCAGTAAAGAAAGCTGATAAAGCAGGTTGTCATAATCTAGGCTCCATTACAGTTCTGAGCAAAACCTGTTAGCTGAGTGAAACTTCCTTACCAGAGAAAGGTTTTGTCAAAATGAAAATATTTACTTTGCCCAACTTTTGTTACTTTATTTAAGTTGTAAATGACAAATATGTGAGCCTGAGGTACAAAGAATGCTCACTGATTGGGCTCTGACCAGACAGACCTGAATCCAAATCCTAGATCCAGCACTCATTATGTTTTTGACCTTGAACAAATCACTTAATGTCCCTAGGTGTGTTTTCTCATCTGTAAAGTAGAATAACAGCTGCCATATGGTGTTATGAAGATTAAATCACATATGGATGTAAAGCTTCTGTTTTTTTTTTACAATCTTAAATATTTTAATTTTATATTAATAGTTAGACCATGTTAAGTATATTGCCATTGTTGGCAACATATCACCAGAACATTTTTATCTTGCAAAATGAATACATACTATACATGAATCGACTACCTGTTTTCCCCATTGACTGGCCCTTTACAAATGCCATTCTATTTTCTCTTTTTAAAAGTGCAACTACTTTAGCTAACTCGTATAAGTGGATTCATACTTTTTATGATGGACTTATTACACTTATCATAAGACCATTAAGATTTATCTTTAAAATAAATGTTAAATTTCCTGCTTTTTAAAAGCTGAATAATATTCCAGGTTTTGTTGTTGTTGTTGTTGTTGTTGTTGTTTTGTTTTGTTATGATATGGTGTCTCATTCTGTCGCCCAGGCTGGAGCGCCACTGGAGTGCAGTGGCACCATCTTGGCTCATTGCAACCTTTGCCTCCCGGGTTCAAGTGATTCTCCTGCCTCAGCCTTCCAAGTAGCTGGTATTATAAGCACCCACCACCATGCCCAGATTGCAGGCTTTCTTCCCGGGCACGCCGCAGGATAAGGCCCATTAGCTTGGGACACTAACAAGGCTACCCCAGCCCTGCCTGAGTTCTCAGGCTGGAAGCAGCTCCACACTTCCCTGGGACAGAGCTCCCAGAGGGAGCAGGCAAGCTGACGTTTTTCCACGCTCATGTTCTCATCAGGCTCTGGAGGTAGTATAGAAGTTGGGGACTGACGCGAACCCACAGCACAGCGCAGTCACCTTAAAGGAAAAGCGGCCAGACTGTTTTCACGTGTGTCCCCACCTCCGCTGCTCTTCACTGAGCAGTGCCTCTTGACCTGGGCCCCAAGCACAATCACTCTGCTTCCACATAAACACTTTACTCGGTAGCAGCTCTGCGTTTCTGAGGAGGAAATCCCAGAGACAACCCACAGCTTCTCTGCCATTGCAGCTGCAGTGGTACTGTTCTGCTGCATTCAGGCCAGGGAATAAAACAAAAGGTCGAGTTGCTACACTGGAGCCTCCAGCACGCTGCAGCCACCATACAGAGAGGAGCCCAGTCTCTCTTCCATGTAGGCTCCCACCCCACACTCTTCACCAAGCAGGGCCCCAAGCCTGGATCTACACAGACGTCCCACCCTTGGCAGAGCATTCCCTCTGCTAGTGGCTTTGTATTTCCCTGGGGGAGGGGCTCCCAGAGGCAACTGACAGCCCCTCTGCCACTGCCATTGCAGTGGTTCTTCCCCTGCTGCCCTCAGGCTGGAGAAGAAATGAAGATCCTGAGGGCTTTACTCACATTTCTAGCAAGACACAGTCACCATACAAAGAAGAGCCCACTCTCTCCTCCCTGTTATCCCTCGAACCCCGACTCTTCCCCAAGCGGGGTCCCCACCTCAGGCCAACAGCACAGTTGCCTCACCCCCTGGCTGAACATCCCCAGTAGCAGTGACTCTGTGTTTTTTTCTGAGATGGAGGTCCCAGAGACAACCAAAAGCCTTTCTGCCCCTGCCACTGCAATGGTAGTGCCCTTGCTGCCCTCAGACTGGGAAAGAAGCAAAGACGCACAGTGCTTTAACCACACCTCCAGAAAGCCACAGCCACCATAAGGAGAAGAGGCTGGTCTGTTCCCTCCGCAATCCCCTTCCCATCCCCAGGCAGGTTCCCATGGCTTGGGCCAAAAACGCAGCTGCCCCACCCTTGACTGATTGCACCAGTTGATATCCGCTCTGAATTTCTCTAGGGTAGAGCACCAAAAGACACGGGAAAGACCCTCTGCCATAGCCACTGCCAAGGTCTTGTCCCCTGCTGCCTCAAAAGTGGGGAAGGAAAATAAAGATGAGCTCACCACAAGGTTGTGCTGTACAGCTCGCAAGTGCCAAACAGAGGTCTACAGACAGCACTTCTGTGGGAGAGGAGCCTACACTTTCAGAACAGTAACAGAAAATTTGATGGCAATCATGAGGAAATACAGGCGAGCCACATGGCTAAGCAAGAGCGTACCTATTAACCATTACATTTAAGCACCATCTAGTGGATTACAACCAAATTTCAACACCGAAAATACTGTTAATATATCCCCCAGTGAAACCAAGGACAAGAACTAAGCTACAAATAAAGATCCTGCAAAAATGCTTAGACTGCTGAAAACATTCAGAAAAGAAGTCAACTGATTATACTCATATTACACTACAGTTGAAGGAACATCAACCCACACAGAAAGAATGAAACCATCAACGGAGTAAACAGACAACCTACAGAATGGGGGAAATATTCACAAACATCAAACAAAGATCTAATATCCACAATCTCTAAGAAACTTAACAAGCAATAAACAAATAACCCCATTAAAAAGTGAGCAAGAAACATAAACAGACACTTCTGAAAAGAAGACATACAAGTGGCCAAAAAACATTAAAAAAATGCTCATCATCACTAATCGTCAGAGAAATGTAAATCAAAACCACGAAGAGATACCATCTCACATAGTCAGAATGGCTATTATTAAAATGTCAAAAAACTAACACATGCTGGTGAGGTTGTACAGAAAAGGGAAAGCTTATACACTGCTATAGGCGATATAAGTTAGTTCAACCATTGTGGAAGGCATTTTGTTTATTTCTCAAAGAACTGAAAGAAGAATTACCATTTGACCAAGCAATCTCATTACTGGGTATACACACAAAGGAATATAAATTGTTCGACCACAAAAATACATGCATCTGTATGTTCTTTGCAGCCCTATTCACAATAACAAAGACATGTAATCAACCGAAATGCCCATCAACATTAGACTGGATAACAAAAATGTGGTACATATACACCATGGAATACTACACAGCCATAAACAGGAATGAGATAATGCCCTTTGGAGAAACATGGATGGAGCTGGAGGCCCTTATCCTAAGAAAACTATCACAGGAACAGAAAACCAAATACTGCATGTTCTCACTTATGAGTGGAAGCTAAACAATGAGGACATATGGCCACAAAGAAGGGAAAAACAGACACCACAGCCTACTTGAAGGTGGAGGGAGAGAGGAGGCTGAGGACCAAAAAATTACCTGACTGGTACTATGCAAATTACCTGGATGGCAAAATAATCTGCACACCAAACCTCCATGACATGCAATTTACCAATATATCAAACCTATACATGTACCACTAAACCTAAAATAAACATTTAAAAAACACATAAAAATACATATACTCATAATGAAAACATGAACTTATATCTGAGGATGCACACATGCACATATACAACTATGTAAATCAAATTTCTTGTTACCCATTCCCAAATACTAACTAATATAAAAACAAATGTATGTCTTAGTAACTATAAACTTGTGCTTAAAGTAGGCAAAAGTGGGTGTGTCTTAATAAGTGTAACACAATAGGTAAGTAAATAGGAAATGATAAACTTTTGACCATGTCCACCACCAAATAAGCTTATTTTGCATACATTATTTTAATTAAACTTCTTATTTTAAGATAATTGTAGATTTACAAGAAGCTGTAAGAAATAATACAGAGAGATTCCAGGTGCCCTTTACTCATTTTCCCCCAATGGTAACATCCTCCAAATAAGTACAATGTCATAATGAGAATACTGTAGTTAATATAGAACATTTTCTTCACAACACAGATCTCTCATGTTGTCCTTTTATGTCCACACCACTGCCCAATCCCCTCATTATTCCATAGCTACCCCCAATCTGTTCTCCATTTGTATGATTTCATTTCAAGATTGTCAAATAAAACAAATCGTGCAGTATTGTAACCAATTGGGGTTTGTTTCTTTCACTCTGCACAATCACTGGAGATTCAGCCAGGTTGTATGTGTATCAATAATCATTTATTTTTCATTGTTACCTAGTATTCCATTACATGGATGTGCCATGGTTTGTTTAACCTTTTCACTATTGAAGGATATCTGTAAGGTTTTTATTCATTTACATCTTTTGGTTATTATTGAATAAAGCTGCTGTAAACATTCATGTACAACTTTTTGTGTGAACAAAGGTATTAATTTCTCTAAGATAAATACCTAAGAGTGCAATTGCTGGGCCATATGGTAGATGCATTTTTAGTGTTTTTTTTTTTTTGAAGCTTCCAAATAATCTTGTAAAGTGGCTATGCCATTTTATGCCACCAGCAATATATGTCATCCAGTTTCACTGCATGCTCAGCAGCATTTCTTACAGTCACCATTTTTTTTTTAAATTTTAGCCATTCTAATAGGTGTAAAGTGATAGCTTAACATAGTTTAAATTTGCATTTCCCTAGGGCCTAAAACAGTTTCATAAGCTTATATGACATCTATATATTCATTTTGGTGAAAAATCTTTTCATGTCTTCTGTTCATTTTCTAATTGGATTTTTTTTGCTTGATATTAAGGTTTTTTAATTAAAGTCAAAAGGTGAAAAAAGTGAAAGCCCAGTCGTTTTGTTTCTTCTATTAAAGACTGTTTTTTGATATTTCAGATTCTTAGCATATCCGTGTAAATGTTATAATCAGAGTACAGAAAAAAAAAGATCTGCTTAGATTTTTATTAGGATTCCATTGAATCTATAGACCAATTTGGGGACAGCTGACATTTTTTCAAAGTGGGGTCTTCCAATCATGAATATGAGATATACATATACACATGCATACATAAGCCCTCAATTATTTAGCTATCTTTAATTTCTTCAGCAATATTTTATAGATTAACTTCCTTGCTATCTATTCGGATGCTGTCATTTTATTCTCTTGCCTGATTGACCTAGCTAGAACTCCCAATACTATGTAAAATAGGAGTGGTCAGAGAGGGAATCAATGTCTTGTGCCAGCTCTCATGGGAAATGCTTCCAGCTTTTGCCCATTCAGTATGATGTTGGCTGTGAGTTTGTCATAAGTGACTCATTATTTTGAAGTATGTTCCTTCAAAATCTTGTTTGTTGAGAACTTTTAACATGAAGGAATGTTTAATTGTACTGAAAGCCTGTTCTCCATCTATTGAGATAATAACGTGTTTTTTGTCTTTAGTTCTGTTTATGTGATGAATCATATTTATTGATTTGCATATGTTGAACCAAACTCTCATCCCAGCATTAAAGCCTACTTGATTATGATAAATAAGCTTTTCTTTTTTTGTTGTGGTTCTTTTTTATTATTATTATCCTTTAAGTTTGGGGTTACATGTGCAGAACGTGTTTTGTTACATAGGTATACACGTGCCTTGGTGGTTTGCTGCACCCATCAACCCGTCACCTACATTAGGTATTTCTCCTAATGTTATCCCTCACCTAGTCCCCCAGTCCCCAACAGGCACCAGTGTGTGATGTTCCCTTCCCTGTGTCCATGTGTTCTCATTGTTCAACTCCCACTTATGAGTGAGAACACGCAGTGTTTGGTTTTCTGCTCTTGTGATAGTTTGCTGAGAATTATGGTTTCTGGCTTCATCCATGTCCCTGCAAAGGACATGAACTCATCCTTTTTTATGGCTGCATAGTATTCCATGGTGTATATGTGCCACATTTTCTTAATCCAGTCTATCATTGATGACATTTTGGTTGGTTCCAAGTCTTTGCTATTGTGAATAGTGCCACAATAAACATACGTGTTCATGTTTCTTTATCATAGAATGATTTATAATCCTTTGGGTATATACCCAGTAATGGGATTGCTGGGACAAATGGCAATTCTAGTTCTAGATCCTTCAGGAATTGCCACATTGTCTTCCACAATGGTTGAACTAATTCACACTCCCCTAACAGTGTAAAAGCATTCCTATTTTTCCACATCTCTCCAGCATCTGTTGTTTCCCGACGTTTTAATGATCGTTATTCTATCTGGCGTGAGATGGTATCTCATTGTGGTTTTGATTTGCATTTCTCTAATGACCAGTGATGATGAGCATTTTTTCATATGCCTCTTAGCTGCATAAATGTCTACTTTTGAGAAGTATCTGTTCTTATACTTTGCCCAAATTTTAATGTGTTTTTTTGTTTTTTTCTTGTAAATTTGTTTAACTTCTTTGTACATTCAATTAGCCCTTTGTCAGGTGGATAGATTGCAAAAATTTTTCTCCCATTCTGTAGGTTGCCAGTTCATTCTGATGATAGGTTTTTTTTTGTTTTATTGTTATTATTATTATTTTACTGTGCAGAAACTCTTTAGTTTTATTAGATGCAATTTGTCAATTTTGGCTTTTGTTGCCATTGCTTTTGGTGTTTTAGTCATGAAGTCCTTGCCCATGTCTCTATCCTGAATGGTATTGCCTAGGTTTTTTCTTCTAGGGTTTTTATGGTTTTAGGTCTAGCATTTAAATCTTTAATCCATCTTGAATTAGTTCTTCTATAAGGTGTAAGGAAGGGATCCAGTTTCAGCTTTCTACATATGGCTAGACAGTTTTCCCAACACCATTTATTAAATAGGGAATCCTTTCCCCATTTCTTGTTATTGTCAGGTTTGTCAAAGATCAGATGGCCGTAGATGTGTGGTGTTATTTCTGAGGCCTCTGTTCTGTTCTGTTCCATTGGTCCATATATCTTCTTTGTTACCAGTACCATGCTGTTTTGGATGCTCTAGCCTTGTAGTATAGTTTGAAATCAGGTAGCGTGATGCCTCCAGCTTTGCTCTTTTTGCTTAGGATTGTCATGGCAATGAGGGCTCTTTTTTGGTTCCATAGGAAACTAAGTAGTTTTTTTCCAATTCTGTGAAGAAAGTCATTGGGAGCTTGATAGGGATGGCATTAAATCTATAAATCATCTTGTGCAGTATGGCCATTTTCACGATATTGATGCTTCCTATCCATGAGCACGGAATGTTCTTCCATTTGTTTTGCTCCGGTTTTACTTCCTTGAGCAGTGGTTTGTAGTTCTCCTTGAAGAGGTCCTTCACCTCCCTTGTAAGTTGGATTGCTAGGTATTTTATTCTCTTTGTAGCAATTGTGAATGGGAGTTCACTCTTGATTTGTTTCTGTGTTTGTCTGTTCTTGGTGTATAGGAATGCTTGTGATTTTTACACACTGATTTTGTATCCTGAGATTTTGCTGAAGTTGCTTATCAGCTTAAGGAGATTTTGGGCTGAGACAATGGGGTTTTCTAAATATACAATCATATCATCTGCAAGCACAGACAATTTGACTTCCTCTTTTCCTAATTGAATACCCTTTATTTCTTTCTCTTGCCTGATTGCCCTAGCCAGAACTTCCAACACTATGTTGAATAGGAGTGGTGAGAGAGGGCATCCTTGTATTGTGCTGGTTTACAAAGGGAATGCTTCCAGGTTTGCCCATTCAGTATGATATTGGCTGTGGGTTTGTCATAAATAGATCCTATTATTTTGAGATACATTCCATCAATACCTAGTTTATTGAGAGTTTTAGCATGAAGGCTGTTGAATTTTGTTGAAGGCCATTTCTGCAACTATTGAGATAATCATGTGGTTTTTCTCATTGGTCGTGTTTATGTGATGGATCACATTTATTGATTTGCATATGTTGAACCAGCCTTGCGTCCCAGGGATGAAGCCAACTTGATCGTGGTGGATAAGCTTTTTGATGTGCTGCTGGAATCGGTTTGCCAGTATTTTACTGAGGATATTCCCAATGATGTTCATCAGGAATATTGGTCTAAAATTCTCTTTTTTTGTTGTGTCTCTGCCAGGTTTTGGTATCAGGCTGATGCTGGCCATATAAAATGAGACAGGGAGGATTTTCTCTTTTTCTATTGATTGGAATAGTTTCAGAAGGAATGGTACCAGCTCCTCTTTGTACCTCTGGTAGAATTCGGCTGTGAATACGTCCGATCCTGGACTTTTTTTGGTTGGTAAACTATTAATTATTGCCTCAGTTTCAGAGCCTGTTATTAGTCTATTCAGAGATTGAACTTTTTCCTGGTTTTGTCTTGGGAGGGTATATGTGTTCAGGAATTCATCCATTTCTTCTAGATTTTCTACTTTATTTGTGTACCGGTGCTTATAGTATTCTCTAAAGGTAGTTTGTATTTCTGTGGGATTGGTGGTGATATCCCCTTTATTATTTTTTATTGTGTCTATTTGATTCTTCTCTTTTTTCTTCTATATTAGTCTTGCTAGCAGTCTGTCAATTTTGTTGATCTTTTCATAAACCCAGCTCCTGGATTCATTGATTTTTTTGAAGGGTTTTTTGTGTCTCTATTTCCTTCAGTTCTGCTCTGATCTTAGTTATTTCTTCCCTTCGGGTAGCTTTTGAATTTGTTTGCTCTTGCTTCTCTAGTTATTTCAACTGTGGTGTTAGGGTGCTGATTTTAGATTTTTTCTGCTTTCTCTTGTGGGCATTTAGTGCTATAAATTTCCCTCTACACGCTGCTTTAAATGTGTCACAAAGATTCTGGTATGTTGAGTCTTTGTTCTTGTTGGTTTCAGAGAACATCTTTATTTCTGCCTTCATTTCATTATTTACTCAGTAGTCATTCAGGAGCAGGTTGTTCAGTTTCCATGTAGTTGTGTGGTTTTGAGTGAGTTTCTTAATCCCGAATTCTAACTTGATGGCACTGTGGTCTGAGAGACAGATTGTTATGATTTCTGTTATTTTACATTTGCTAAGGAGTGCTTTACTTCCAATTATGTGGTCATTTTTAGAATAAGTGTGATGTGGTGCTGAGTAGAATGTATATTCTGTTGATTTGGGGTGGAGAGTTCTGTAGATGTCTATTAGGTCCACTGGGTGCAGAGGTGAGTTCAATTCCTGGATGTTCTTGTTAACCTTCTGTCTCATTGATCTGTCTGATATGGACAGTGGGGTGTTAAAGTCTCCCATTATTATTGTGTGGGAGTCTAAGTCTCTTTGTAGGTATCTAAGGACTTGCTTTATGAATCTGGGTGCTCCTGTATTGGGTGCATAGATATTTAGGATAGTTAGATCTTCTTGTTGATTTGATCCCTTTACCATTATGTAATGGCCTTCTTTGTCTCTTTTGATCTTTGTTGGTTTAAAGTCTGTTTTATCAGAGACTAGCATTGCAACCGCTTCTTTTTTTGGCTTTCCTTTTACTTGGTAGATCTTCCTCCATCCCTTTATTTTGAGCCTATCTGTGTCCCTGCACGTGAGATGGTTCTCCTGAATACAGCACACTAGCAGGTCTCGACTCTATCCAATTTGCCAGTCTTTGTCTTTTAATTGGGGCTTTAAGCCCATTTACATTTAAGGTCAATATTGTTATGTGTGAATTTGATCCTCTCGTTATGATGTCAGCTGGTTATTTTAACTGTTAATTGATTCAGTTTCTTCCTAGCATCGATGGTCTT
This sequence comes from Homo sapiens, assembly GCF_000001405.40. Lineage (NCBI taxonomy): Eukaryota > Metazoa > Chordata > Mammalia > Primates > Hominidae > Homo > Homo sapiens. The sequence continues at coordinate 57,275,482 of NC_000023.11, read as the reverse complement.
TACAATTTGGCGTGTTTTTGCAGTGGCTGGTACTGGTTGTCTTTTTCCATGTTTTTTGCTTCTGTCAGGAGCTACTTGACCCACGGGGAACTGGAGCCCAACCCTAGAAGAGCAAGTCTTAGCCTTGGCTCAGGCCTTTCCACCTTGCTTTCCACATCTGGACATTTTGAAATCTTGACAAATATGTTCAGCAATGAAGAGATAAATGTAAAAGTTTGTTTCTCTCCTCTTTTATTTCATTGAGCAGTGGTTTGTAGTTCTCCTTGAAGAGGTCCTTCACATACCTTGTAAGTTGAATTCCTAGGTATTTTGTTCTCTTAGTAGTAATTGTGAATGGGACTTCACTCATGATTTTGCTCTCTGTTTGTCTGTTATTGGTGTATAAGAATGCCTGTGATTTTTGCACATTGATTTTGTGTCCTGAGACTTTGCTGAAGTTGCTTATCAGCTTAAGGAGATTTTGGGCTGAGATGATGGGGTTTTCTAAATATTCAATCATGTAATCTGCAAACACAGACAATTTGACTTACTCTCTTCATATCTGAATACACTTTATTGCTTTCTCCTGCCTGATTACCCTGGCCAGAACTTCCAATACTATGTTGAATAGGAGTGATGAGAGAGGCATCCTTGTCTTGTGCCAGTTTTCAAAGGAAATGCTTCCAGTTTTTTCCCATTCAGTATGATATTGGCTGTGGGTTTGTCATAAATAGCTCTTATTATTTTGAGATATGTTCCATCGATACCTAGTTTATTGAGAGCTTTTAGCATGAAGAGGCATTGATTTTTATCAAAGGCCTTTTCTGTGTCTATTGAGATAATCATGTGGTTTTTCTCATTTGTTCTGTTTTTGTGATGGATTGCGTTTATTGATTTGCATATGTTGAACCAGCTCTGCATCCCAGGTATGAAGCCAACTTGATCATAGTGGATAATCTTTTTGATGTGCTGCTGGATTCAGTTTGCTAGTATTTTATTGAGCATTGTCACATCGATATTTATCAGGAATATTGGTCTGAAGTTTTCTCTTTTTGTTGTGTCTCTGCCAGGTTTTGATATCAGAATGATTCTGGCCTCATGAAATGAGGGAGGATGCCCTCTTTTTCTATTGATTGGAATAGTTTCAGAAGGAATGGTAGCAGCTCCTCTTTGTTCCTCTGGTAGAATTCGGCTGTGAATCTGTCTGGTCCTGGACTTTTTTGGTTAGTAGGCTATTAATTACTGCTTCAATTTCAGAACTTGTTATTGGTCTATTCAGGGATTCAACTTCTTTCTGACTTAGACTTGTGAGGGTGTATGTGTCCAGGGATTTATCCATTTCTTCTAGATTTTCTAGTTTATTTGCTAGAGGCATTTATTGTATTCTCTGATGGTAGTTTTTATTTCTGTGGGATCAGTGGTGATATCCCCTATATCATTTTTTATTTTGTCTACTTGATTCTTCTCTCTTTTCTTCTGTATTAGTCTGGCTAGCAGTCTATCTATTTTGTTGATTTTTCTAAAAAAACAACTCCTGAATTCATTGATTTTTTGGAGGGTTGTTTGTGCCTCTATCTCCTTCAGTTCTGCTCTGCTCTTAGTTATTTCATGTCTTCTGCTAGCTTTTGAATTCGTTTGCTTCTGCTTCTCTAGTTCTTTTAATTTTGATGTTAGGGCATCAATTTTAGATTTTTCCTGCTTTCTCTTGTGTGCATTTAGTGCTATAAATTTCCCTCTAAACACTGCCTTAAATGTGTCCAGAGATTCTGGTACGTTGTGTCTTTATTCTTACTGGTTTCAAAGAACGTCTTTATTCCTACCTTTATTTCATTATTTACCCAGTAGTCATTCAGAAGCAGGTTGTTCAGTTTCCATGTAGTTGTGAGGTTTTCAGTGAGTTTCTTTATCCTGAGTTCTAATTTGATTGCACTCTGGTCTGAGATACAGTTTGTTATGATTTCCATTCTTGTACATTTGCTGAGAAGTGTTTTACTTCCAATTATGTGGTCAATTTTAAAATAAGTGCTATGTGGTGCTGAGAGGAATATATATTCTGTTGATTTGGGGTGGAGAATTCTGTAGAAGTCTATTAGGTCGGCTTGCTCCAGAGCTGAGTTCAAGTCTTGAATATCACTGTTAATTTTCTGTCTCCTCGAACTGTCTAATATTGACAGTGGAGTGTGAAATTCTCCCATTATTATTGTGTGGGAGTCTAAGTCTTTCTAGGTCTCTAAAAACTTGCTTTATTAATATGTGTGCTCCTGTATTGGGTGCATATATATTTAGGATAGTTAGCTCTCATTGCTGCATTGATCCCTTCACCAAAATGTAATGCCCTTCTTTGTCTCTTTTGATCTTTGTTGGATTAAAGTCTGTTTTATCAGAGATTAGGACTGCAACTCACGTTCTTTTTTGCTTTCCATTCACTTGATAAGTATCCCTCCATCCCTTTATTTTGAGCCTATGTGTGTCTTTGCACATGAGGTAGATCTTCTGAATACAGCACACTGAGGTGTCTTGACTTTTTATCCAATTTGCCAGTCTGTGTCTTTTAATTGGGGCATTTGGCCTGTTTCCATTTACGGTTAATATTGTAATGTGTGAATTTGATTCTGTCATTATGATTCTAGCTGGTTGTTTTGCTGGATGTTGGTTAGTTAATGCGGTTTCTTCATAGTGTTGATGTTCTTTACAATTTGGTATGTTTTTGTATTGGCTGGTAACTGTTTTTCCTTTCCATGTTTAGTGCTCACTTCAGGAGCTCTGTAAGGCAGATCTAGCGGTGACAAAATCCCTCAGCATTTGCTTGCCTGTAAAGGATTTTATTTCTTCTTCACTTATGAAGCTTAGTTTGGCTAGATATGAAATTCTGGTTTGAAAATTCTTTTCTTTGAGAACACCAAATATTGGCACCCACTCTCTTCTGACTTGTAGGGTTTCTGCAGAGACATCTGCTGTTAGTCTGATTGGCTTCCCTTTGTGGGTAACCTGACTTTTTTCTCTGGCTGCCCTTAACATTTTTCCCTTCATTTCAACCTTGGTGAATCTGACAATTATGTGTCTTGGGGTTGCTCTTCTCTAGAAGTATCTTTGTGGTGTTCTCTGCATTTCCTGAATTTGAATGTTGTCCTGTCTTTCTAGGTTGGGGAAGTTCTCCTGGATAATATCCTGAAGAGTGTTTTCCAACTTGGTTCCATTCTCCCCATCACTTTCAGATACACCAATCAAACACAGGTTTGGTCTTTTCACATAGTCCCAGATTTCTTGGAGTGTTTGTTCTTTCTTTTTATACTTTTTTTTTTTCTCTGATCTTGTCTTCTCTCTTTATTTCATTAAGTTGGTCTTCAATCACTGATATCCTTTCTTCTGCTTGATCTATTCAGCTATTGATACTTGTATATTCTTCACGTTCTCATGCTGTGTTTTTCAGCTCCATCAGATCATATATGTTCTTCTCTACATTAGTTATTCTAGTTAGCAATTCGGCTAACCTTTTTTCAAGGTTCTTAGCTTCCTTGCATTGGGTTAGAACATGCTCCTTTAGCTCAGGGGAGTTTGTTATTACCCACCTTCTGAAGGCTACTTCTGTCAGTTCATCAAATGCATTCTCTGTCCAGTTTTGTTCCCTTGCTGGTGAAGAGTTGTGATCCTTCAGAGGAAGAGAGGCATTCTGGATTTTGGTATTTATATCCTTTTAGCACTTTTTTTTTTCTTTCCTATCTTTGTGGATTTATCTACCTTTGGTCTTTGATGTTGGTGAACTTCAGATGGGGCATTTGAGTGGATGTGCTATTCCTTTCTGTTTGTTTATTTTCCTTCTAACAGTCAGGCCCCTCTGCTGCCAGTCAGCTGGAGTTTGCTGGAGGTCCACTCCCGACCCTGTTTCCCTGGGTATCACCAGTGGAGGCTGCAGAGCAGCAAAGATTGCTGTCTGTTCTTTCCTCTGGAAGTTTTGACCCAGAGGTACACCTTCCAGATGCCAGCCAGAGCTCTCCTGTAAGAGATGTCTGTTGGCCCCTACTTGGAGGTGTCTCCTAGTCAGTACACACGGGGGTCAGGGACTCACTTGTGGAGGCTGTCTGACCCTTAGCAAAGCACGAACACTGTGCTGGGAGGTCCACTGTACTCTTCAGAGCCATCAGGCAGGAACTTTTATGTCTGCTATAAGCCCCTGACTGGGGCTGCTACCTTTTTTACAGATATGCCCTGTCCAGAGAGGAGAAATCTGGCAGTCTGGCCACAGCATCCTTGCTGAGCTACAGTGGGCTCTGCCCAGTTCGAACTTCCCAGAAGCTTTGTTTACACTGTGATCATAAAACCGCTTATTCAAGCCTCAGCAATGGCAGATGCCCCTCCCTCCACCAAGCTTGAATGTCCCAGGTGGACCTCAGATTGCTGCTGTGCTGACTGTGAGAATTTCAAGCCACTGGATTTTAGTTTCCTGGGCTCCATGTGGATGGGACTCACCAAGCCAGACCACTTTGCTCCCTGGCTTCAGCTGCCATTTCAAGGGGAGTGAACGGTTCTGTCTCATTGGCATTCTATGCACCACTGGGGTATGGGAAAAAAAGAGCTCCTGCAGCTAGTTCAGTGACTGCCCAACTGGCCACCCAGTTTTGTGCTTGAAACCCAGGGCCTTGGTGGGGTAGGCACCAGAGGGGATCTCCTGGTTTGCAGGTTGTGAAGACTGAGGGACAAGCTCAGTATCTGTGCTGGAGTTCCTCAGGCTTAGACCCTCATGGGTTCTCTTGTGTAGGGGAGAAAATTCCCCGACCCCTTGCACTTCCCAGGTGAGGCAACAACCCACCTGACTTCAGCTCACCCTCCGTGGGCTGCACCCACTGTGCAACCAGTCCCATTGAGATGAACCGGGTACGTCAGTTGGAAATGCAGAAATCACCCACCTTCTGCATCGATCTCGCTGGGAACTGCACACAGGTGTTTTTCCTATTAGGCCATCTTGAATCCCCCACCTCCAGCAATTATCTGAATAAGCTTTTCAATGTGCTGTTGAATTCAGTTTGCTGGTATTTTGATGAGGATTTTTGCATCAGTGTTCATCAAGGATATTGGCCTGAAGTTTTCTTTTTTTGTTGCATTGCTGCCAGGTTTTGCTATCAGGATGATGCTGACCTCATAGAATGAATTAAGGAGGCGTCCATTCTCCTCAATTTTTTAAAGTAATTTCAATAGGAATGGTACCAGCTCTTCTTTGTACATTTGGTAGAATTCAGCCATGAATCCATCTGGTCTTGGGCTTTTATTGGTTGATAGGAAATTTATTACTGCCTCCATTTCAGAGCTCATTATTGGTCTGTTCAGGAATTCAATTTCTTCCTGGCTCAGTCTTGCGAGGGTGTATTTGTCCAGGAATTTGGTCATTTCCTCTAGATTTTCTAATTTATATGCATAAATGTGTTGATAACATTCATTGATAATTTTATTTCTGCGGGGTCAGTGGTAATATCCCCTTGTAGTTTCTGATTGTGTTTATTTAAATATTCTCTCTTTTCTTCTTCATTAGTCTATCTAGAATTCTATTTATTTTATTATTTTTTTAAAAGCAGCTCCTGGATTTGTTGACCTTTTGAATGTTTTTTTGTGCCTTTATCTCTTCTTCAGTTCAGCTCTGATTTGGTTATTTGTCTTCTACTAGCTTTGGGGTTGGTTTGCTCTTGGTTCTCTGATTCTTTTAATTGTGAAGTTAGGTTGTTAACTTGAGATCTTTCTAACTTTTTTCTGTGGGCATTTAGTGCTATAAATTTCTCTCTTAACACTGCCTTAGCTGTGTCTCAGAGATTCTGGTATATTGTATTTTTGTTCTCATTAGTTTCAAATAACTTACTGATTTCTCCCTTAATTTCATTTTTTACCCCAAAATCATTCAGGAGCAGATTATTCAATATCCATATAATTATATGGTTTTGAGTGAACTTCTTAGTCTTGATTTCTAGTTTCATTGCACCATAGTCCTAGAGACTATTTGTTATGATTTCAGTTCTCTTGAATTTGCTTATGAAAGGTTTACATCTAATTATACAGTTGGTTTTAGAGTATGTCCCATGTGGTGGTGAGAAAAATGTATATTTTGTTATTTTTTTGGTGGAGAGTTCTGTAGATATCTATCAGGCCCATATTGTCCAGTGCTGAGTTCAGGTCATTAATATATTTGTTAATTTTCTGCCTCAATAATCTGTCTAATATTGTCAATGGGGTGTTAAAATATCCCACTATTATTGTGTGGTAGTCTAAGACTCTTTGAAGGTCTCTATGAACTTGCCTTATAAATCGAGATGCTCCTGTGTTGGGTGCATATATTTAGAATAGTTACATCTTCTTGTTGAATTGAGTCTTTCACCATTATTTGACGTTTTTCTGTGTCCTTTTTGATGCTTGTCAGTTCTACTTTGTCAAGAACTAAGATTTCAATCCCTTCTTTTTCTGTTTTTCATTTTCTTGATAGATTTTCCTCCTTTTATTTGAGCCTATGTGTGACATTACATATGAGATAGGGCTCTTGAAGACAGCATACTGATGGGTCTTGATTCTTTATTCAGCTTGCCACACTGTCTTTTAATTGGAGCATTTAGCCCATTTACATTTAAAATCAGTATTGATATGTGTGGATTTGATCCTGTCATCATCTTGTTAGCTGGTTATTTTGCAGACTTTTTTATGTGGTTGCTTTATAATGTCACTGGTTTGTGTACTTCAGTGTGTTTTTGTAGTGGTGGGTAATGGTCTTTTCTTTCCATATTTAGTGAGAAAAGAAATTCTGAGTTGGAATTTCTTTTCCTTAAAAATATTGAATATTGACACCCAATCTTTTATTTTCAGGGTTTCCAGTTAGAGGTCCACTGTTAACACTGATGGGCTTCCCATTGTAGTTTACCTGGTCCTTCTCTCTACCTCCCTTTAACATTTTTTCTTTCATTTCAACCTTGGAGAACGTGATGAGTATGTGTCTTGGGGATGGTCTTTCTGTGGAGCATGTTACTGGGGTTCTCTGCATTTCCTGAATTTGAATGTTATCCTCTCTAGCTGGATTAGGGAAGTTCTCATGGATGATATCCTGAAATATGTTTTCCAAGTTGGTCCCATTCTCCTTATCTCTTTCAGGTACACCAATCAGTCATAGATTTGGTCTCTTTACATAATCTCATTTTTTTTGGGGGGTTATATACTCCTTTTAATTCTTTTTTTATCTATTCTTGTCTGCCTGCCTTATTTTAGAAAGCCAGTCTTCATGCTCTAAGATTTTTTTCTCCACTTGGTCTATTCTGCTGTTAATACTTGTGATTGCATTATGAAATTTTTATAGTGTGTTTTTCAGCTCTATCAGGTTGGTTATGTTCGTCTCTATTCTGGCTATTTTGTCTGTCAGCTTCTGTAATTTTTTATCATAATTTTTGATTCCTCGCATTGAGTTACAGTGTACTCCTATAGCTCAGTGAACTTTGCTCCTATCAATATTCTGAATTGTACTTGTCATTTCAGCCATCTCAGCCTCAGCTCAGTTCTGAATCCTTGCTGAAGAGTGAATGTGGTCATTTGGAGGCTAGAAGGTATTCTGGCTTTTTGAGTTTTTAGCATTTGTGCACTGAATCTCATTTTTGTGGGCTTATCTACCTTTGATCTTTGATGTTGCTGACATTTTAATTTTTTTTCTTTTATCCTATTTGATAACCATGAGTGTTTGATTGTGATATAAGGTGGATTCAGCCAACTGGTTTTGTTTCTGGAAGATTTTAGGGGATCCAACCTTCATCTCTGAACTTCTGGGCTGCGTGCTGTAAATCTGCAGGACTTGTATTGGGCCCTTTGTTCTCTGGCTCCTTGAGGTTTGGAGTCTACTGCACTGGGGGAACTGAGGTGTGTCAGCTGCAGCAAAGTGCTACTGGATGCAGGGGGTACCTGCCTCCCTGTGGGCATTCACCATAGTGGTGGAGGCAAGGCAGCCAAGGGTTGGGGTTATGGTAGTACCCTGCTAGAGACTGTGTGCACTGTTGCAGTGGAGATGGTCCTGGTTTGTGGTGGAATGCTGGCCAGTGCAGGCCTGGGTGCTTATTCTGTGCCCCACAAGCATGCGTGATTGCCCAGGTTGTAAAAGAATTCCCTGTTCTCTGTGCAGCATTAACAAAAAAGCAGAGCACTGGCAGAGGCAGGGCTTACTGGCTCTGTGCCAGCCAAGGCTAAGTCTGCAATAGCAGTAGGCTGGGATGGGGGAAGTAGTGCACTCCTGCATGCTGAAGGGGCAAGGAAAGCAAAACCTGCCATGCAGACATGCACCAGAAAAACGACTTGGGGATTTGCCATGGGCTCATGAGAAGCTGCACTATGGCAAGGGAATGTGCAGGCTGGTGCACACCTGTAGGGGCCACCTTGCTGGAGCTTTCCATGGGACAGGCATGGTCCACTGGTGCAGAAGCTATGGTGTGGGCTCGCAGGGCACCTGAGACTGTCTTATAAGCAGGCATGGCCAGGATGGGGCCCCAGGAGGCCAGCAGACCAAGGAGTGCTCAGGTGGGACTAGCCCCATCTGATGTGCAAGGCTGCCCTGCAGAGATCAGGTCCAATGGTTTCCCTAGGGCTAAAGCCTCTTGTGGGAGCAAGTTGAGCCTAGAGGAATGACCATCTCTGGCCCTGCTCCACGACAGATGCTCTTGCACTAAACCCCCTGGGCTCCACATCATCTGGCTTGCTGTTCCACCACTTTGCTTGTCTCCTGGAGCCTCCATCCCAGAGAGATGTGGGTCAGCAGTCACTCAGTGCAATCATCCCAGGATGGATGGTCTGTGCTCTGGGCCCCAGCCAGGGATTCCCTGTCTAGTGATGAGCAATGTGGGGTATGTGGAACCCATGGGGATAGACAGGCCTACTCTCCTTGGGTCAACTACCAGTTGTTAAAGTTGTGGATAGGCACTTAAGGTCTTTGCTCTTTTTATAGTTCAAGAGTAACAAGGAGAGGCCTACTGCAAAGGCAGTGGCAGAGAGGCTTTCAGTTGCCCCTGGCGGCTCCGTCCAGAGAGGCTTGACAGCTCTGGCAGAGAGTGGCTGTAGGCCCAGGCATGGAGGACCTGCCTGGTGAGGAGATATGGGAATGGGCACTCATGTAGCAGTCTGGTCACTTTTCCATAGGGTCGCTGGGTATGCTGAGCATCCACTCCAGTCCCTAGTTGTCTCAGGTTTTCCAATGCCTGGAAGTATCACCAGTTAAGGCTGCCAAACAACAAAGATAGCAGCCTGCTCCTCCCTCTCAGAGCTTCATCCCAGGGAGGCAGAGGCCTGTTGCCAGCCCGAACACACCTGTAGGAGGTGGCTAAAGACCCCTGTTGGGAGGTCTTGTTCAGTCAGGAGGAATGGGATCACGGAGTTGGTTAAAAAAGTAGTCTGGCCATGTTTTCATAGAGCAGCTGTATTGTGAGTCCACATCAGCCCCCAGTCACCTCAAACACTCTGAAGCTTGAAGGCTGAAATAGCTAATTTGCTCAAACAGCAAAGATGGCGGCCCACCCCTACCCCTGGGAGCTCCATCCCAGGGAGGTCTGAAACCTCTGTCAGCCAGAGAACACCAGTGGAAGTAGCTGGAGATCCTGGTTGGGAGGCTCCACACTGTGATGAAGGACAGGATCAGGGAACCACGTAAAAAAGCAGTATGGCCACTTTTTCATAGGGCAGTGTGCTGTGCTGGTGTACCACTTCCACCCCAGGTTGGCTTGGGCTCTCCAAAGCCCAAAGGATAAAATGGCTAAGTTATCCAAACAACAAAGATAATGGTCCACTCCTCCCTCTGGGAGCTCTTTCCCATGGAATTTTAAAATCTCTACTGGCCAGAGAACACTGGCAGAGGGGGCTGCAGGCCTTGGTTGGGAGTTACCCCCCAAGTGATGAGAAAGGGGATTTGAGACCCAATTAAAGAAGCAATCTGGCCATGTTTTGGTAAAGCAGCTGTGCTGTGCTGGGGGATCTCTTCTGCCCCCGTTTGGTTTGGACTCTCCAAAGCCTGAAGGCCATATGGCTAAGTCACCCAAACAGCAGAGTTAGTAGCCCACCCCTTCCCCTAGGAACTCCATCACAGAGAGACACAACTCTGCTACCTGTAACTGGCTGGAATCCTAAGCCAGTGGGTCTTATCCTGTGAGGTGCAACGGAAGTGGGGTTCACAGACCATTGCAGCTTGGCCCCCTGGATTCAACTTCTTTCTTAGGGGTATGTACAGGGGTCTAACCACCTGGGGTTGCAGTTACTTCTGCCAGGAAGCCCAGAAAGCTGGAGTATCTAAAGCTCCTGAGTCTCGTGCATGCCTGAGTGGATGCTTTGCCAAGACTCCATGTAGCTCTCTGTGTCAGACTGAAGGCCCACGTGGAGTGGGTTCACAAGGGGACCACCTGACCCAAAGTTTGCAAAGCTCCATAGAAGAAGTGTGGTTTCCTGTGGTCACATGTTCACTCACCACTTCCCTGGGTGAGAGAGGTTCCCTTGGCTCTGTGTCACTCCCGAGTGGGCCATCGTCCTGCCTTGCTTTTCTCTGTTCTCCATGGATCAAGTTGTTTGAATAGTCCCAATGCGAGTACCTGAATATTTTAATTGAAGGTGCTGTATTTACCTGCCCCTTTGGTTCCTCTCCGTGAGAGGCACACACATTAGCAACTTCTAGATGGCCATCTTGGCCACTCCTAATTCCACATTTTCTTTATCCAGTCTACCATTGGTGGGTATTTGGTTTGATTCCATGTCTTTGCTATTGTGAATAGTCCTGCAATGAACACATGTGTGCATGCGTGTTTATGATAGAATGATTTATGTACTTTTGGGTATATACCCAGTAATGGGATGGCTGAGTGGAATGGTATTGCTGTTTTTAGGTTTTTGAGCAATCACCACACTGTCTTCCACAATGGTTGAGCTAATTTACACTACCTCCACCAGTGTATAAGCATTCCTTTTTCTCTGCAAACTCACCATCATCTGTTATTTTTTGACTTTATAATTATAGCCAGTTTGACTGATGCAACATGGTATCTCATTGTGGTTTTGATTTGCATTTCTCTAATGATCAATGATATTGAGCTTTTTTTAATATGCTTGTTGGCCGCATATGCGTCTTCTTTTGAAAAGTGTCTGTTCATGTCTTTTGCCCACTTTTTAATGGGATTGTTTATTTTAAGATTTCTGTATATAATCTAGAAACCAGTCCTTTGCCAGATATGTGGAATCTGTAGCTTGTATTTTTATCTTTTTTACAGATTTGTTCACAAAACAAAAGTTTTTCATGTTGGTCTGGTACAATTGATCAGTTTTTCCTTTTATATATCATGTTTTCAATGCCAATTCTAAGAACTCTTTGTCAACACTAGATTCTAAAAATTTTCTCCTATTTTTTTCTGAAATATTATAGTTTTACATTTAAGACTGTAATCCAGTTTGCATTAATTTCTAGGAGTGGGGTTTATGTTTAGTATTTTAAGTATGTTTAAGTATGTTTAGTATTTCAGTATTTTAATTTGTTGACCTATACATTTCTAATTGCTCCAAAACCATGTGTTTAAAAGACTCTTTTCTCCATTGAATTGCTTTTACATCTTTATAAAATATCAATTTGGCATATCTATATGTGTATTCTGGGTTTTGTGTTTGGTTCCATTTATCTATGTTTCTGTCCTTCCTCCAATACCACACAGTCTTGATTCCAAGAGCAATATAATGTAATACAATTGGGTAGAAAGATTCTTCATGTTTTATTCTTCTTTTCTTTTTTCCAGATTTATTTAGGTATAATAGACAGATACAATTGTATATACATAAATTGTATAATGTGATGATAGATATATGTATTTGTTGTTAAATAATTACTACAATAAGCTATTCTATTTTCTTTGCCTTCACTTATAAATGTTATAATTTATTTACTTTTTATCACCTGTTGTTATAAAAAATCTTGCAAAAGTTTTTACAAGAATTGTGTTAAATTTGTATATTAATTTGGAGGAATTAACATCTTTACTATGTTCAATCTTCCAATCGTGAATGTGGCATATCTCTTTATTTATTTAGATAACGCTTGATTTATTTCATCAGCATTGTGTAGTTTTCAGTAAACAGGTCCAGTGCATGTTTTGTTATATTTACAACTAAGTATTTTAATTTTTGAGTGACTCTAAGTGGTATTGTACTTTTAATTTCAATGTCCACATGTTCATTCCTAGCATATAGACATACATCTAAATTTTGTAATCTGATCTTCTATCTTGCAAACTTGATGAAATAACTTATTAGTTCTAGGAGGTTTTTGTACACTCCTTGCGATTTTCTATAGACAATCATGTCAACTTCAACTAGAAGGAATTTTATTTCTTCCTTTCTGATCAGAATTTTATTTACTTTTCTTGTCTAACTGCATTGTCTGGAACTTCCAGCATTGTAATTAAGAGTGGTGAGAATAAAAATTTTTGCCTGTTTCCTAATTTTAGGGGAAAAGCTCTCACACTTTTACCATTATGTGTGATGTGAGCTGTAGTATTCTTAGAGCTATTTTTCAAATAAAGAAAGCTCCCCTATATTCTGATTTTTCTGAGAGTTTTTATTATGAATGAATGTAGAATTTTGTCAAATGTTCCTTCTGCATTGATTAATATGGTCATATAATTTTATTTCTTAGTCTATTAATATATAGGGAATAAATTGTTGATTTTGAGTAATGAACCAGCCTTGTATCTTTGGAATAAACCCCACTTGGTCATAGTGTATAATTATTTTAATATATTGCTAAATTGTATTTACTAATATTGTGTTAGAAGTTTTAAATCCAAATTAATTAGAGCTATTAGTCTGAGATTTCCTCATTAGACTATCTTTATTTAGATTTGTTATCAGAGTAATACTACCTTCATACAATTAGTTAGAAAGTGTTCTCTTCCATTTTCTGAAAGAGACTTGAATTTGGTGTTATTTCTTTTTTAAACCTTTGGTATAATTCTCCATTGACACTATCTGAGTTTGGAGATTTCCTTGGGGAACAATTTTTAATTCATGAATATAATTAACTCTTAAATTATAGGGTTATTCAAATAATTTATTTTATATTGGGTGAATGTCTTTACCTTCTCTCACTTATAACAATTAATCTAATAATACAATTATTGATATAATTATCTTCCCTATCTTTGCAGAGAAATTTTATAGTTTCATTTATTTCAAGTGTGTTTTGAAGCACATATCTGAGTTTTCAGTTTATTCAGTTCCAAGTTAGAATATATGAGGCAAAACAACACACCAGTATACTCACCAATGTGTCATTACTCAGGTCCTGAGAGTCCGAGCTGGTCTGCCACCTTCTCTTCACCTTTAGGAGTCTTTTTATGTTTGTTTTAGATACAATGCCTGAGATTTTTAGTTGCATTTAGTAGCAGGAGTAAAGAAAAGTATATATATATATATTCCATTTCCAATAAGTTAAAATGTCATATCCTATATTATTTGACTCAGTTGATGACACCAAGTCACGTAAACAATAAATACAGATGTCATACTTAATTCTTCTCTTTCAGCATCCACATATACTCATTTAATGAAATTGATGTTTCCTAATTTCCATATTTTATTCTAATTTCTTTCTTGCAACATCACCAGCAATGCCTTAGTTAAGCCTTTGTTATTTCTCATCTTAATTATGAATTAATCTCATAACTAATATTCCTGCTTCCTAACTCATTACCTTTAAACTTATCTTTCACATTGAACTCAGAGTGATTTACTTTAAGGTAAACACATCAAGATAACAAATATATTCATAACCACCCACAATTTTTTTCATGTTCCGTATATTCCACCTCCCATCCCTGGCAACAATTAATCTGATTTGTTTCACTTTATATTCGTTTTGATTTTCTGGAATTCTGTATAAATATAGATTTTTTCTTATTTTTTTCTTTTTTTTTTTTTTTTTTTTTTTGAGACAGAGTCTCGCTCTGTTGCCCAGGCTAGAGTGCAATGGCACAGTCTCTGCTCACTGCAACCTCCGCCTCCTGGGTTCAAGTGGTTCTCCTGCCTCAGACTCCTGAGTAGCTGGGATTACAGGAACGCACCACCATGCCCAGCTAATTTTTGTATTTTTAGTAGAGACAGGGTTTCACCATGATGGCCAGGCTGTTCTCAAACTCCTGACCTCAGATGATCCACCCGCCTTGCCCTAACAAAGAGCTGGGATTACAGATCTGGCCAAATATAGATTTTTTCACTCCACAAAATTGTTTTTTAGATTTATCCATGTTGTTTAATGTATCTATAATATGTGCCCTTTAATTGCTCATTAGAATCCCACTGCATGGGTCTACGAAAATTTATTGATTATTTCTCTGTTGATGGACATTTGTGTGGCTTCACGTTTTTATAATTACAAGTGTAATTTTATAATTATTTAATACAAGTCTTTGTATAAACAAAAGCTTTATTATATTTTAGAAAAACATCTAGAAGATTGGGTTTTATGGTAGATGTATGTTTAATTTTGTACATAGCTACTAAAATAGTTTTAAAACTGTTTTAGCAATTTATATTCCCAACAGCAGTGTATGAAATTTCTAGTTGCACTACATTCTCACCAACACTTGTGGTTGTCATTTTTTACTTTTTAGCCGCCTTGTGAGTGTGATATATTATCATATTAAAATTTTAATTTGCACTTTTCTGATGACTAATGATACTAAACATATTTTATACACTTATTTACCATTCATATATATATACACACACACACACACATATCCTTTGATCCCTAGTGTTTGTTTAAATTTTTCACTCATTTCTAATTCTTGACTTATTATTACTGACTTCTAAGATTTTTTGTAGATTCTTGATATGAAGTATTTTGCTAAATACATGTTTTGCCATTTTCTCATTTACATCACTGTGTTTTCAAGAGCAAATCATTTAATTTTGATGAACTCCAATATATTGATCTTTTGTTTTATAATTTGTGCTTAATTTTGTTCTGTTTAAGAAATCTTTGCCAAACCTAAGATCCCAAAAAATTTTACTATCGTTTCTTCTACACTTTTGATAGTTTTTAGCTCAATAACTCAGTTCAAGTTAAGTTTTGTAGCTGATGTATGTTTAGGATCAAGATTCATTTTTAATGCAATTATTTTGGCACATTTTGTTGAAAATATTACCATTTAAATTAAATTGTCTTGGTACCTTGGTGAAAAAGCATTTGCCCTTATATGCATGGGTCTATTTCTGAACTCTATTTTCTGTTTCATTCATCTGAATGTCTTTCATTACAAGGATACTCTGCTGTATTGATTACTATGGCTTTATAATAGGTCTTGACATAAGGTAATAGTTTTTCAACTGCGTTTTCTTCTTTCAAAATTATTTTGAAGGGTTTTTAAAGTAAAAAATGCTAGGAAAATCCTTAAACATATCAATGATTGTTTGAAGTTATATTACACTACATATATTTATATTATTCATGTGTTTACTCTGCAAATACTAATATAAACAAATTAGTAATTCCAAATGGTAAATATTATTAGATTTTAAGTGTGATATTTCAGTCACTATTATTAAAATTTGTAAAAATAAATTTTTTACCACAAGCAAATAACAGTAGAAAGGAAGATTGTCCTACAGAAGCTTGAATAATTCTTTAAATATTTTTTCCAGCTTTGTTAAGGTATAATGAACAAATACAAATTTCATTTATTCAAGGTATACAATGTGGTGTTTTGATACATGTGTACATTGTAAAATTATTACCACAATCAAGCTAATTAATATATCCATCACCTCACATAGTTACCTATATGGGGGGAATGAGATAACTTAAGATTTACTCTGTTAGCAAATTTGACCAATATTTTTCTATTTCCCCCACCTCTAACCCCTGAAAATCACCTATTTACTTTATGTTTCTATTACTTCAGGTTCTTAAGATTTCACATATAAGTGGAAACATGCAATATTTGTCTTTCTGTGTCTGGATTAATTCTCAGAGCATAAAGTCCATCAGGTTCATCTATTGTACCACAAATAGCAGAGTTTCCTTCTCTTGTAAGGTTGCATAATATTCCACTGCATGCACACATACATGCACACACAGACATACAAACACCCCATTTTCTTTATTTATTTATCCATCAACTGACATTTGGGTGTTTTCCATATCTTAGCTATTGCAAATAATGTTGCAACGATCATGGGAATGCCTATATCTCTTGGAAATAGTAATTTTTCTCTCTTTTAGATATATACACAGAACTAAAATCACTGGATTATATGGTATTTCTATTTTAATTATTTGGGAGACCTCTATCCATGCTGTTTTTCATAATGACTATACCAATTTACATTTCCATCCATGATGTATAAGAGATCTGTTTTCACTACATTTTCACCAATGCTTATCTTTTGATTTTTTGTTGATAGTCATCCTAACAGATGTAAGGTGATATATCATTGTAGTTTAGATTTGCATTTTATATTGACCAGGCGTGATGGCTCATGCCTGTAATCCCAGCACTTTGGGAGGCTGAGGCGGGCAGACCACAAGGTCAGGAGATGAGACCATCCTGGCTAACACGGTGAAAGCTCGTCTCTACTAAAAATCCAAAAAAAAAAAAACAAAATTAGCCAGGCGTGGTGGCAGGTGCCTGTAGTCCCAGCTACTTCGGAGGCTGAGGCAGGAGAATGGCGTGAACCCAGGAGGCGGAGCTTGCAGCGAGCCTAGGTAGCGCCACTGCACTCCAGCCTGGGTGACAGAGCAAGACTCTGTCTCAAAAAAAAAAAAAAAAAGGCAACAAAAAAACCTTTTTATAGTCATGCTCATCGTTGGTAAGTTTTCCGTGGAAGAATGGCAACTCAGGTTTTTTGGTCATTTTTAAAAAATCAGATTATTTCTTTTTTGTTTTTAAGTTGTATGAGTTCCTCATATTTTTTGAATATTAACCCTTTATCACATATATGGCTTACACATATATTATCTCATCCTCTAGGATGGCTTTTCATTTTCTTGATGGTTTCCTTTACAGTGAAGCAAACTTTTTTGATTGATATAGTCCCAATTATTTATTTTTGCTCTTGTTACCTTTGCTTTGGGGGTTAGCTTAAAAAAATTATTGCCAAATCAATATTATGGAGTTTTTAATCTTATATTTTCTTCTCTAAGATTTATGGTTTCAGGTCTTACATTTAAATATTTAATTCATATTGAGTTTATTTTGTGTATGGTTTGTGATAAGGATCCAGTTTCATTTTTTTCATATAGATATTCAATTTCCCATCACTACTTATAGGTCACACTATCCTTTTCTTATTGTCAATTCCTGATGCTTTAATGAAAAATCAATATGCCATAGAGTTTAGGTTATATTTCTGGGCTTTCTATTCTGTTCCACTGTTCTATGTGTCTGTTTTTATGCCAGTACCATGCTGTTTTGATTACTATAATTGTATAATATAATTTGAAATCAGCAACTCGGATGCAACTAGCTATGTTATTCTTGTTCAAAATTGAGACAGATAATTGAGGTTTAATTTTTTTCTATTTCTGTAAGAATGATGTTGGAATTTTGATAGAGATAGCATTGAATCTCTAGTTGCTTTAAACAATATGGACACTTTGGCAATATTGATTTTACTAATCCATGAACCACAAGATATATTTTCAATTATTTCTTTTTTTCAGTTTCCTTAATCACTCTCCTATAGATTTTGGGGTCCAGATTTTTCACATCCTTGGTTAAATTTGTTTCTATATATTTTATTCTTATTGGTGCCATTACAAATGGTATGATTTTATTTTCTTTTTTTAATTATACTTTAAGTTCTGGGTTACATATGCAGAATGTGCAGTTTTTTTACATAGGTATACACGTGTCATGGTGGTTTGCTGCACCCATCAACCCGTCACTACATTAGGTATTTCTCCTAATGTTATCCCTCCCCTAGACCCCCACCCCCCGACAGGCAATGGTGTGTGATATTCCTCTCCCTGTGTCCATGTGTTCTCATTGTTCAACTCCCACTTATGAGTGAGAACATGTGGTGTATGGTTTTCTGATCTTGTGATAGTTTGCTGAGAATGATGGTTTCCAGCTTCATCCATGTCCCTGCAAAGGACATGAACAAATCCTTTTGTTCTGGCTGCATAGTATTCCATGGTGTACATGTGCCACATTTTCTTAATCCAGTCTATCACTGATAAATATTTGGGTTGGTTCCAAGTCTTTGCTCTTCTGAATAGTACCACAATAAAAATACATGTGCATGTGTCTTTATCATAAAATGATTTATAATTGTTTGGGTATATGCCAAATAATGGGATTGCTAAGTCAAATAGTATTTCTAGTTCTAGATCCTTGAGGAAACACCACACTGTCTTCCACAATGATTGAACTAATTTATACTCCCACCAACAATGTAAAAGCATTCCTATTTTTCCACACCTCTCCAGCATCTGTTGTTTTCTGACTTTTTAATGGTTGCCATTCTAACTGGTGTGAGATGGTATCTCATTATGGTTTTGATTTGCATTTCTCTAATGACCAGTGATGATGAGCATTTTTTCATATGTCTGTTGGCCGCATAAATTTCTTCTTTTGAGAAGTGCCTGTTCATATTTTTGCAAATTTTTGGATGTGGTTTTTTGCTTTGTCTTCTAAATTTCTTTAAGTTCTTGTAGATTCTGGATATTAGCCCTTTGTCACATGGATAGACGGCAAAAATTTTCTCCCATTCTGTAGGTTGCCTGTTCACTCTGATGATAGTTTCTTTTGCTGTGCAGAAGCTCTTTAGTTTAATTAGCTCCTATTTGTCAATTTTGGCTTTTGTTGCCATAGCTTTTGGTGTTTTAGACATGAAGTCTTTTCCCATGCCTATGTCCTGAATGGTATTGCCTAGGTTTTCTTCTAGAATTTTTATGGTCCTAGGTTTTATGTTTAAGTCTTTGGTCCATCTTGAGTTGATTTTTAGCCTTGTAATACAATTTGAAGTCAGGTAGCGTGGTGCCTTCAACTTTTTTCTTTTTGCCCAAGATTGTCTTGGCTATGCGGGGTCCTTTTTGATTTCATATGAACTATAAAGGAGATTTATCAAATTCTGTGAAGAAAGTCAGTGGTAGCTTGATGGGGATAGCACTGAATCTATAAATAACTTTGAACAGGAAGGTCATTTTCACAATATTGGTTCCTTCTATCCATGAGCATGGAATGTTTCCCCATTTGTTTGTGTCCTCTCTTATTTCCTGAGGAGTGGTTTATAGTTCTCCTTGAAGAGGTCCTTCACATCCCTTGTAAGTTGGATTCCTAGGTATTTTATTTTCTTAGTAGTGATTGGGAATGGGAGTTCGATCATAATCTGGCTGCTTGTCTCTTATTTGTTTACAGCAATGCTTGTGATTTTTGCACATCGATTTTGTATCCTGAAACTTTGCTGAAATTGCTTATCAGCTTAAGAAGATTTTGGGCTGAGACAATGGAGTTTTCTAAATATGCAATCATGTCATCTGCAAACAGAGACAATTTGACTTCCTCTCTTTTTATTTGGATACCCTTTATTGCTTTCTCTTGACTGATTGCCCTGGCCAGAAATTCCAATACTATGTTGAATAGGAGTGGTGAGAGAGGGCATCCTTTTCTTGTGCCAGTTTTCCAAGGAAATGCTTCCAGTTTTTGCCCATTTGATATGATATCGGTTGTGGGTTTGTCATATATTGTTCTTATTATTTTGACATATGTTCCCTCAATACCCAGTTTATTGAGAGTTGTTAGCATGAAAGGCGTTGAATTTTTGTCGAAGGTCTTTTCTGCATCTATTGAGATAATCATGAGGTTTTTGTTGTTGGTTCTGTTTATGTGATAGATTACATTCATTGATTTGCAAATGTTGGACCAACCTTGCATCCCAGGAATGAAGCCTACTTTATTGTGGTGGATAAGATTTCTGATGTGCTGCTGCATTTGGTTTGCCAGTATTTTATTGAGGATGTTCTCCTTGATCTTCATCAGGGATATTGGCCTAAAATTCTCTTTTTTGGTTGTGTCTCTGCCAGGCTTTTGTATCAGGATGATGCTGGCCTCATAAACTGAGTTAGGGAGGATTCCCTCTTTTTCTACTCATCAGAAGAGTTTCAGAAGAATGTTACCAGCTCCTCTTTGGACTTCTGGTAGAATTTGGCTGTGAATCTGTCTGGTCCTGGACTTTTTTTGGTTGGTAGGCTATTAATTATTGCCTCAATGCCAGAACCTGTTATTAGACTACTCAGAGATTCAACTTTTTCCTGGTTTAGTCTTGGGAGGGTGTATGTGTCCAGAAATTGATCCATTTCTTCTAGATTCTCTAGTTTATTTGTTTAGAGGAGCTTATAGTATTCTCTTATGGTAGTTTGTATTTCTGTGGGATCGGTGGTGATAGCCCTTTATCATTTTTATTACATTTATTTGATTATTCCCTCTTTTCTTCTTTATTAGTCTTGCTAGGCTAGTGGTCTATCAATTTTGTTGAACTTTTCAAAAAACCAGCTCCTGGATTCATTGATTTTTTTCAGGGTTTTTTTGTGTCTCAATCTCCTTCAGTTCTGCTCTGATTTTAGTTATTTCTTGTCTTCTAGCTTTTGAATTTGTTTGCTTTTGCTTCTCTAGTTCTTTTAATTTTGATGTTAGGGTGTCAATTTTAGATGTCTCTTGCTTTCTCTTGAGGGCATTCAGTGCCATAAATTTCCCTCTACACACTGCTTTAAATGTGCCCCAGAGATTCTGGTATGTTGTGTCTTTGTTCTCATTGGTTTCAAAGAACTTCTTTATTACTGCCTTCATTTCTTTATTTACCCAGTAGTCATTCAGGAGCAAATTTTTCAGTTTCCATGTAGTTGTGTGGTTTTGAGTGAGTTTCTTAATCATGAGTTCTAATTTGATTGCACTCTGGACTGAGAGACAGTTTGTTGTGATTTCTGTTCTTTTACATTTGCTGAGGAGTGTTTTACTTCCAACTATGTGGTCAATTTTAGAATAAGTGCGATGTGGTGCTGAGAAGAATGTATATTCTGCTGATTTGGAGTGGAGAGTTCTATAGATGCCTATTAGGCTCACTTGATCCAGAGTTGAGTTCAAATCCTGGATATTCTTGTTAATTTTCTGTCTCATTGATCTGTCTAATATTGACAGTGGGGTGTTAAAGTCTCCCATTATTATTGTGTGGGAGTCTAAGTCTCTTTGTAGGTCACTAAGGACTTGCTTTATGAATCTGGGTGCTCCTGTATTGGGTGCATATATATTTAGCATAGTTAGCTCTTCTTGTTGAATTGATCCCTTTACCATTATGTAATGGCCTTGTCTCTTTTGATCTTTATTGGTTTAAAGTCTGTTTTATCAAAGACCAGGATTGCACCCCTTGCCTTTTTTTTTTGCTTGGTAGATCTTCCTCCATCCCTTTATTTTGAGCCTATGTGTGTCTTTGCACGTGAGGTGAGTCTCCTGAATACAGCACACCAATGGGTCTTCACTCTTTATCTAATTTGCCAGATTGGATAAAGATTTGTGTTTTTTAATTGGGACCTTTAGCCTATTTACATTTAAGGTTAATATTGTTATGTGTGAATTTGACCCTGTCATTATGATGTTAGCTCGTTATTGTGTCCATTAATTAATGCAATTTCTTCATAGTGTTGATGGTCTTTACAATTTGGCATGTTTTTACAGTGGCTGGTATGGGTTGCTCCTTTCCTTTCCATGTTTAGTATTTCCTTCAGGAGCTCCTGTGAGGCAGGCCTTGTGGTGACAAAATCTCTCACCATTAGTTTCTCTGTAAAGAATTTTATTCCTCTTCACTTATGAAGCTTAGTTTGGCTGGATATGAAATTCTGGATTGAAAATTCTTTTCTTTAAGAATGTTGAATGTTGACCCCCAATCTCTTCTGGCTTTTAGGGTTTCTGCCAAGAGATCCACTGTTCGTTTGATGGGCTTCCTTTTGCGGGTAACCTGACCTTTCTCTCCGGCTGCCATTAACATTTTTTCCTTCATTTTTACCTTGGTGAATTTGACAATTATGTGTCTTGGGGTTGCTCTTCTCAAAGAGTATCTTTTTGGTGTTCTCTGTATTTCCTGAATTTGAATGTTGGCCTGCCTTGCTAGGTTTGGGAAGTTCTCCTGGATAATATCCTGAAGAGTGTTTTCCAACTTGTTTCCATTCTCCCCATTACTTTCAGTTACACCAATCAAACGTAGATCTGGTCTTTCCACATAGTCCCATTTTTCTTGGAGGCTTTTTTTTTTGTTTCTTTTCACTCTTTTTTCTCTAAGCTTGTCTTCTGGCTTTATTTCATTAATTTGATCTTCAATCACTGATATCCTTTCTTAAGCTTTA
The DNA here is from genome assembly GCF_000001405.40 of Homo sapiens. Classification (NCBI taxonomy): domain Eukaryota; kingdom Metazoa; phylum Chordata; class Mammalia; order Primates; family Hominidae; genus Homo; species Homo sapiens. The sequence continues at coordinate 57,253,143 of NC_000023.11, read as the reverse complement.
TCGAATTGGCTATTGAAGCTTGTGTATGCTTCACGAAGTCTAGTACTGTGGTTTTCCGCTCCATCAGGTAATTTAAGCTCTTCTGTACACTGGTTATTCTAGTTAGCCATTCGTCTTACCTTTTTTTCAAGGTTTTTAGCTTCCTTGCAATGGATTAGATCATGCTCCTTTAGCTCGGAGAAGTTTGTGATTACCGACCTTCTGAAGCCTACTTCTGTCAACTTGTCAAACTCATTCTCCATCCAGGTTTGTGCCCTTGCTGGCAAGGAGTTGTGTTCCTTTGGAGGAGAGGAGGCATTCTGGTTTTTAGAATTTTCAGCCTTTCTGCTCTGGTTTCTTCCCATCTTCGTGGTTTTATCTACCTTTGTTATTTGATGTTGGTGACCTACAGATGGGGTTTTGGTGTAGACGTCCTTTTGTTGATGTTGATGCTATTCCTTTCTGTTAGTTTTCCTTCTAACAGACTGACCCCTCAGCTGCAGGTCTGTTGGGGTTTACTGGAGGTCCACTCCAGACCCTGTTTGCCTGGGTATCACCAGCAGAGGCTCCAGAACAGCAAATATTGCTGCTTGATTCTTCATCTGGAAGCTTTGTCCCAGAGGGGCAACCTCTAGATGCCAGCCAGAGATGTCCTGTATGAGGTGTCTGTCAGTCCCTACTGGGAGGTGTCTACCAATCAGGCTACACGGGTGTCAGGGATCCACTTGAGTAAGCAGTCTGTCTGTTAGCAGAGCTCAAACGCCATGCTGGGAGAATCACTGCTCTCTTCAGAGCTGTCTGTCAGGGACATTTAAGTCTGGAGAAGCTGTCTCCTGCCTTTTGTTCAGATATGCCCTCTCCCCAGAGGTGGAATCTAGAAAGGCAGTACGTCTTGCTGAGCTGCGGTGGGCTCTGCTCTGTTAGAGCTTCCCTGTTGCTTTGCTTACACTGTGAGCATAGAACCGCCTTCTCAAGCCTCAGCAATGGCAGACGCCCCTCCCCCTGCCAAACTTCAGCATCCCAGGTTAATCTCAGATTGATTCACTAGCAGCGAGCAAGGCTCTGTGGGTGTGGGAACCACCAAGCCAGGCAGGTCTCCTGGTCTGCAGGTCTCCAGGAATCTCCTGGTCTGTTGGTTGTGAAGACCATGGGAAAAGCACAGCATTTGGAAAGGAGTGTACCGCTCCTCCAGGTACAGTCACTCATGGCTTCCCTTGGCTAGGAAAGGGAAATCCCCTGACCCCTTGCACTTCCTGGGTGAGGCAACACTCCCCCACCCCCCACTTTGGCTCACCTTCCATGGGCTGCACCCACTCTCCAACCATTCCTAGTGAGATGAACCAGGTAACTCAGTTGGAAATGCAGAAATCACCCATCTTCTGTGTCGATCTCACTGGGAACTGTAGACCAGAGCTGTTCCTATTCGGCCGTCTTGGAAGCGACTCTCATGATTTTCTTCATTTCTTTTTTGAATAGTTTCTATCTAGTGTATAGAAAGAGAACTGATTTTTTGTTCAGCAGCTTCATGGAATTTGTTAGTTTTAACAGTTTTTGGTGGGGTCTTTAGGGATTTCTGTATATAAGATCATGTCACCTGCAAACAGAGACATTTTAACTCGTTTCCAATTTGGATGACTTTGTTTCTTTCTCTTGCCTAACTACTCTGATTAAGACTTTTAGTACTGCGTTGAATTGAATTGGCATCAGTGAGAATCCTTGTCTTGTTCCTGATCTTAGAGGAGAAACTTTCAGCATTTTACCACTTAGTATGAGGTTAGCTGTTGACTTGGGGTATATGGCCTTTGTTGTGTTGAGGTACCTTCCTACTAACTCTAGTTTTTTGAGAGATTTTATCATGTAAAGATGTTGAATTATATTAAACGCTTTCACTGCATCTATTAAGATAATCATATGGTTATTGTTTTTGATTCTTTTAAAGTAATGTATCACATTTATTTGTTTTGCATATAATGAACCATCCATTTATCCCAGAAATAAATTCCACTTGATTATGTTGTATGATCCTTTTAATATGCATTTGAATTCAGTTGGCCAGCGTTTTGTTGAGAATTTTTGTGTTTTGTTCATCAGGGATATTCACCTATATTTTCTTTTCTTGTAGTATCCTTGTCAGGCTTTGGACTAATACTGGCCTTGCAAAATGAGTTTGGAAGTGTTATCTCCTAATGAATTTTTTGGAAGTGTTTGAGAAGATAGATTTTAATTCTTCTTTAGATGTTTGGTATAATTCACCAGGGAAGCCATCAGGTCCTGGGATTCTATTTGTTGGGAAAGTTTTGATTATTGATTCAATCTCCTTAATAATTGTTAGTCTGTTCATATTTTCTATTTCTTCATGATTCAGTCTTTTTAGGTTGAATGTTTCTTAGTTTTTTTTTTATTTCTTCTAGGTTATCTTTTTTGTTGGTGTACAATTGTTCATACTCAACTAGTGTGAACTTTTGTAATTCTGTAGTATCAATTGTAATATCTCCTGTTTTTTAATTATTTATAATTATTTTAGTAGACAAAAATTATATATATTAATGGTGTATAACATGGTGTCTTAAAATATGTTTACATTGTGGATTGGCTAGATCATGCTTATTAACATATGCATTACCTAACAAACGCACTATTTTTTTTGGTGAGAACACTTTCAATCTACTGTCATAGCAAATTTTAAGAATATAGTACATTGTTATTTAAACAGCTTTATTGAGATACAATTCATATATCATACAATTCACACATTTAAAGTGTTGAATGCCATAATGTTTCACCTCCTTGGTTAAATTTATTCCTATCTATTTTATTCTTACTGATGCCATTACAAATGATATGGTTTTCTTAATTTATTTTTTTGATAGCTTCTACTTAATGTGTAGAAAGGGAACTGAGCTGGCATATTTTGATCCCTTACAGATGTTCTTCAAGTATTTGAAGGAGTTTAGTTGTATAGAATATATATCTCTGTAAGGAGATGCCACAATAAATTGCTCACAATTATTGCTGTATCCAACTTCCAATTATGGTTCCAATCACTTTTGCAAGGATATGTCAAAATAAATTTTTAAATGCCATCTAAATAAAGCTCACAGTTTGTTCAATGTCTATGGCCTTTGTTTTATGAAGTCTTCATGGTAAATTACAATGGTCCACACATTAGTTTAGGACACTAAACTAGCCATTTCAGAAGTATAAAAGACTTTCCATTTAAATGCAGTCAAGGTTATATTTATTGTGACCAGAATCTCTAAGCAATAGTCATTTTGAACTGCATTCCTCCTAAATCAAGTAAAATATTAGTCTTCATGATTCATCCAATCTGTGGCCTTCCTTCAATGGCTTCAGCAGGGAAATTAAAATGGATTTTAAATAAAGACATTTGCATATTCAAAGAACCCAGCATATCAAAAGTCAAGCAAACATAGTATACCCAGAAAAAACTGGAGTCCAGCTACTTGGTCTCATGGTCCAATTAACGAGTTACAGACAGACTGGGAAAGAAGAGAGTTTATTTCTGTAACTGGCCATAAGGAGAAGGTCAGGGTAGTTCACCAGACCAACCCAAAGTTACAAGATTTTTTTCAGCACTTGCTTATACATTAATACATTCAAGCTATATGCCTGCATGCACGTGTGCAACTATAAACAGGAGTGTTTCACTCAATCTAATCTTTAACTAGGGTCTGGGGCCTGGAAGTTTAATTCAGAGCCTTGGAAAAATTTGTTAATCTTAATGGGCCCTGGAACAAGGTGTGTGTAAGAATGCCTTCATTATTTTATCAGGCTTTAAGTTCTGAGAAAACCCAGGCAAGGTCTTAATGGTTTTGTTTTCACATCCCAGCCCTTGTACTAAAGCACTAGTTTCTCCAATTCTTTAATGTTTAACTTATACATTCATCAGAACTATAGTAAAGGGTTAGTGGAAACTGACTGTTCTGGTTGCTAATGGAGACCTGGCCTGCCACAATAGCACTATGATAACAATCTTATTTAAAAAACATTCTTTGGCTCCAAACTCATATTTCAATATCTAGACAAATTTTACTTCCAAAGTTTGGAAATTCACATAGTATTTTGTAAAATGACATATATAACTTAAAACTACATCACAAAAGCACTCTATGTCTTAGGCCATCATTGAACCTTCTCTATTTTTCATAAAAGTGCAAAATACACTTTGGTACATATTGGCAGAATTAGGCAGACATATTATGTGAAGCCCAAATAAGGGAATATCTAAACTTCTTCTTGGAATAAGCAAAGAAGATAATTAAAAAGACTCAAGTACCAAATAGTACAAAGGTCATCTCCAGCATTCCAACGTTCACATGCTTAACAGAAAAAAAAAAAAAAAAAAAAAAGACACACTATTCGATTTTTTTTTTTTTTTTTTTTTTTTTTTGAGACGGAGCTTTGCTCTTGTTGCCCAGGCTGGAGTGCAATGGCGTGATCTTGGCTCACCATAAACTCCGCCTCCCGGGTTCAAGCGATTCTCCTACCTCAGCCTCCCCAGTATCTGGGATTACAGGCATGCACCACCAAGCCTGGCTAATTTTGTATTTTTAGTAGAAATGGGGTTTTTCCATGTTGATCAGGCTGTTCTCAAACTCCCGACCTCAGGTGATCCACCCGCCTCCGCCTCCCAAACAGCTGGGATTACAGGCGTGAGCCACCATGCCTGGCCCACATTATTAGATTTATAGTGCAAAAATTGCTATTCTTTATCTATCTATTCTAGCTATTCTTTTATCAGATGGATCAACATGAGAAAGACACAACTGAATTTCTTTGCCTAACCTTACTCCTAGCAGGTGTTCCCTGTATGTATCTCTATAGGTTCAGATGACTTAAGATAACGATGTAATCTATTAAAAAACAAATGCAGAAAATTACCTGTTGGTGCAAGAGCCAGAACTAGCTTTAAAGTTTTGCATGTTTCCACTTACAATTTTGCTACTCAGTAATCTGATTATTAACCCAACTTATCTAAATGTCATTGTTCTTAACATTTTTATTAAATTGAATCTTTGTTTATTCTATATGTTCTTCTCTAGAATGTTAGCTCCATGTGAGTAAATATGTCATCTAGCTAGATACTTTATTTGGATTATTTGGAAGAGTGCCTGTTCATGCGTGTTTGACTCATTAAATAAATAAATGATCTGAAAATTTCTGTAAAACACTTCTAATAAATTTATTAAGAAGTAAAATAGAAATTCTGTTGAAGAAAATTTACCACTTTTATCAAGTAAAAAGAGACTGTATCTTCGGTCTCTCATCTACAACACTCTCTTTCAGTAATAGGGAAAACACGTTTGAAGCACTCGCCTATGACCACTTAACTAGAGACAAGTTTATTGCCTCCCATGCAGCTAGGTGTGGTCATCTGATTTTGTCCTGGCTGATGAGATGTGAATGAAAGCGATGTGTATTACTTAGTTAAAGTCACTTGTCCTGGTCTTTTACTTCTCCCTGTCTTACAGCCTGGAATACAAATATGGTGGTGATTTGCCTTTGATCATACAGATGAAGACCACATTGTACAGAATGGTAGACAAACAAGATAAAAAAAGCATGAATCATTTTCTGAATGGCCTTATATAGTTAAAGTGCCACAAGAACACAGATAAATGGCCTGCTCTGGTGCTGTTAAGAGAGAGAGAGAGAGGGATGGAGGGAGAGAGAGAGAGAAACTCTTCTTTAAATGGCTGTATTTTAAAATTGATATGTTAATACACTACCCCTCTTCCTTCACATCCTTCTAATTTTATACTATTCAAATGCCTCACTTGCAGGACAGTATCTCTTGAGTGGAAGCCTGTTTGATCATTCTGTTTTTCTGTCATAATAAAGAAGGTAAAAAAAACTTTTCTTATTTGTATTAAAGTGAGTCTAATATGTAACTTATCCTTATTTCTTCCAATGCATTATCTGTTCTTTTCCCTCAGAGCCTCTGTAAATCTTCTCAACAATTATTAACCTAAACTAGTATATCACAGTTTTCTAAAAGAGAAATTAGCAAATTACAAACTATATGTCAAGCATGGCCTGCTATATATTCTTATATTACCCATTAGCTAAGAATGGCTTTTACATTTTTAATGATTAATAAAATAATATTTTATAAAATATGAAAAGTATATAAAATAAAAATTTCATTCCTCATAAAGTTTTTATACCTAGCCATATGGATTTGTTTTTATATTATGCATAGCTGTTTTCAGCCACACTGACAGTATTGAGTAGCTGCAAAACTGACCCAATGTCACTTTGCACTGCAGCTCAACCCACTAAAAATTGCAGTGATGCAGTCACAACTCAAAAGTGTTTTGAGTGTCCCATATATCACCAACCCACAATTATTTTTACTGCATACTCACCATGTCAAGAAAAGAAAGGAAGAATTAAGTGGACTTTTAATGCCACACTTTTAAGGCACAGTGCCACAAGACTTACTTTGTTATTGAATAATAACAAAGCATGATTTTTATTATGCAATGCTGTATATATACCCAGTATTATTGAGATAATCTGGTTTTTGTCATTGATTCAGTTTATGTGATGGATTGCATTAAAATTGATTCAGGTATGTTGTACCAGCCTTGCATCCCAGGGATGAAGCCGAATTGATCATGGTCGATAAGCTTTTTGATGTGCTGCTGGATTTGGCTTGCTAGTATTTTATTGAGAATTTTCACATATTCCTCAGGGATATTGGCCTGAAATTTCTTTTTTGGTTTTGTTTCTGCCAGGTTTTGGTATCAGGATGATGCTGACCTCTTAAAATGAGTTAAGGAGGATTCCCTTTTTTTCTATTGTTTGGAATAGTTTCAGAAGGAATGCTACCAGCTCCTCTTTTCACCTGTGGTAGAATTCGGCTGTGAATCCATCTGATCCTGGACTCTTTTTGGTTGTTAGGCTATTAATTACTGCATCAATTTCAGAACTTGTTATTGGTCTTTTCAGGGATTCGACTTCTTTCTGGTTTAGACTTAGTAGGGTTTATGTGTCCAGGAATTTATCCATTTCTTCTAGATTTTCTAGTATATTTGCATAGAGGTGTTTATAGTATTCTCTGATGGAAGTTTTTATTTCTGTGGGATCAGTAGTTTATCCCCTATAGCATTTTTTATTGCACCTATTTGATTCTTCTTTCTCTTCTTGTTTGTTAGTCTGGCTAGCAGATTATCTATTTTGTTGATCTTTAAAAAAAACAGCTCCTGGATTCATTGATTTTTCAAAGGGTTCTTCATGTCTCTATCTCTTTCAGTTTTGCTCTGATCTTAGTTATTTCTTGTCTTCTGATAGCTTTGGAATTTGTTTGTTCTTGCTTCTCTAGATCGTTTAATTGTGATGTTAGGTTTTCAATTTTAGATCTTTCCCACTTTCTCTTGTGGGCATTTAGTGCTATAATTTTCCCTCTAAACATGGCTGTAGCTGTGTCCCACAGATTCTGCCACATTGTGTTTTTGTTCTTATTGGTTTCAAATAACTTATTTATTTCTGTCTTTATTTCATTATTTACCCAGTAGTCATTCAGAAGCAGGTTGTTCAGTTTCCAAGTTGTGGGGTTTCGAGTGAGTTTCTTAATCCTGAGTTCTAATTTGATTACCCTGTTGTCTGAGAGACTGTTTGATATGATTTCCATTGTTTTGCATTTCCTGAGGAGTGTTTTACTTTCAATTATTTGGTCAATTTTAGAATAAGTGTGATGTGGTGCTGAGAAGAATGTATATTCTGTTGATTTGGGGTGGAGAGTTCTGTAGATGTCTATTAGGCCTGCTTGGTCTAGAGCAGAGTTCAAGTCTTGAATATCCTGGTTAATTTTGTCTCACTGATCTGTCCAATATTAACAATGGGGTGTTAAAGTCTCCCACTATTATTGTGTGGGTGTCTAAGTTTCTTTGTAGGTCTCTAAGAACTTGGTTTATAATCTGGTTGCTCCTGTATTGGGTGCATGTATACTTAGGATAGTTAGCTCTTCTTGTTGCATTGATCCCTTTACCATTATGTAATGCCCTCCTTTGTCTCTTTTGATCTTTGTTGGTTTAAAGTCTGTTTTTTTCAGCGACTAGGATTGCAATGTTTGCTTTTTTTTTGTTTTCCATTTCCTTGGTAAATATTCCTCCATCCTTTTATTTTGAGCCTATGTGTTTCTTTGCATGTGAGATGGGTCTCCTGAATACAGCACACCAATGGGTTTTGACTCTTTATCCAATTTGCCAGTGTGTGTCTTTTAACTGGGGCATTTAACCCATTTACATTTAAGGTTAATATTGTTATGGGTCAATTTGAACCTGTCATTATGATGCTTGCTCACTGTTTTGTCCGTTAATTGATGCAATTTCTTCATAGTGTCCATGGTCTTTACAATTTGGTATGTTTTTGCAGTGGCTGGTTCCAGATGTTCCTTTTCATGTTTAGGGCTTCCTTCAGGAGTTCTTGGAAGGCAGGCCTGGTGGTGAGAAAATCTCTCAGAATTTGCTTGTCTGTAAAGGATTTTATTTCTCCTTCACTTATGAAGATTAGTTTGGCTGGATATGAAATTCTGGGTTGAAAATTCTCTTATTTAAGAATGTTGAATATTGGCCCCACTCTTCTGACTAACAGAGATCTGCTGTTAGTCTGATGGGATTCCCTTGTGGGTAACCCGACCTTTCTCTCTGGCTGACCTGATAATTTTTTCCTTCATTTCACCCTTGGTGAATCTGACGATTATGTGCCTTGGGGTTCCTCTTCTCGAGGAGTATGTTTGTGGTGTTCTCTGCATTTCCTGAATTTGAATGTTGGCCTGTCTTTCTAGGTTGGGGAAGTTCTCCTGGATAATATCCTGAAGAGTGTTTTCCAACTTGGTTCCATTCTCCCCATCACTTTCAGGTACACCAATCAAACATAGGTTTGGTCTTTTCACATGGTCCCATATACTTTGGAAACTTTGTTCGTTTCTTTTTATTCTTTTTTCTCTAATCTTGTCTTCACGCTTTATTTCATTATGATGATCTTCAACCTCGATGTCCTTTCTTCTGCTTGATTGATTCAGCTATTGATACTTGCGTATGCTTCACGAAGTTCTCATGCTATGTTTTTCAGCTCCATCAGGTCATTTATGTTCTCTAAACTGGTTATCCTAGTTAGCAATTCAACGAACCTTTTTTTCAAGCTTCTTAGCTTTTTTGCATTGGGTTAGAACATGCTCCTTTAGCCCAGAGGAGTTTGTTATTATCCACCTTCTGAAGCCTACTTCTGTCAATTTGTCAAATTCATTCTCTGTTCAGTTTTGTTCCCTTGCTGAAAAGGAATTGTGATCCTTTGGAGGAGAAGAGGCCTTCTAGTTTTTGCAATTTTCAGCCTTTTTTCGCTTGTTTCTCTCTATCTTTATAGATTTGTCTACCTTTGGTCTTTGATGTTGGTGACCTTTGGATGGGGTTTTGGTGTGGTTGTTTTTGTTGATGTTGATATTATTCCTTTCTGTTTGTTAGTTTTCCTTCTAACAGTCAGGCCCCTCTGCTGCAGGTCTGCTGGAGACTGCTGTAGGTCCACTCCAGACCATGTTTGCCTGAGTATCACCAGCAGAGGCTGCAGAATGGCAAAGATTGCTGCCTTTTCCTTCCTCTGGAAGCTTCATCCCAGAGGGGCACCCTCCAGATGTCAGCCAGAGCTCTCCTATATGAGGTGTCTGTTGACTCCTTCTGAGAGGTGCCTCACAGTCAGGAGGCATGGGGGTTATGGACCCAGTTGAGGAGGCAGTCTGTCCCTAGCAGAGCTCGAGTGCTGTGCTGGGAGATGTGCTGCTCTCTTCAGAGCTGGCAGGCAGGAACATTTGTCTGCTGAAGTTGCGCCCACAGCCACCCCTTTCCCAGGTTCTCTGTCCCAGGGAAATGAAAGTTTTATCTATAAGCCCCTGACTGGGGCTGCTGTGTTTCTTTCAAAGATGCCCTGCCCAGAATGGAGGAATCTAGAGGCAGTCTGGCTACAGTGGCTTTGCCAAGCTGTGGTGGGCTTCACCCAGTTTGAACTTCCTGGCAGCTTTGTTTATGCTGTGATTGGAAAACCGCCTACTCAAGCCTTAGTAATAGTGGACACCCCTCCCCCCACCAACCTGGAGCATCCCAGATTGACTTCATACTGCTGTGCTGGCAGCAAGAATTTCACGGATCTTAGCTTGCTGGGCTTTCCGGGGGTGGGATCCACTGAGCTAGGCCACTTGTCTCTCTGGCTTCAGCCCCCTTTCCAGGGAAGTGAATGGTTCCATCTCACTGGCATTCCAGGCGTCACTAGGTTACGAAAAGAAACTCCTGCTGCTAGATCAGTTTCTGCCCACACAGATGCCCAGTTTTGTGCTTGAAATGCAGGGCCTTGGTAGTGTAGGCACCGAGGGAATCTCCTGGTCTGTGGGTTGCAAAGACCATGGGAAAAGCATAGTATGTGGGTTGGAATGCACCATTCTTCATGGCACAGTCCCTTACAGCTTCCCTTGGCTAGGGGAGGGAGTTCCTCAACCCCTTGCACTTCCTGGGTGAGGTGATGCCCCACCCTGTTTCTGCTCACCCTCCATGGGCTGCATCCACTGTCTAACCAGTCCCAATGAGATGAGCCAGGTAACTCAGTTGGAAATGCAGAAATCACCCTCCTTTTGTGTTGACCTTGCTGGGAGCTGCAGATCAGAACTGTTCTTGTTTAGCCATATTGCCAGCCATGCCTGGATGGGTTTTTTTAAATGGGGTTCCTTCTTTTTCTTTGATGTTGATGTTATTACTTTTTGTTTTTTAGTTTTTCTTCTAACAATCAGGCCCCTTTTCTGCATGTCTGCTGTAGTTTGCCGGAGGTCCACTCCAGACCCTGTTTGCCTGGGTATCACCAGCAGAGGCTGCAGAACAGCAAAGACTGCTGCCTGCTCCTTCATCTGGAAGCTTTGTCTCAGAGAGGCACCTGCCAGATGCCAGCTGGAGCTCTCTTGTATAAGGTGTCTGCTGACCCCTGCTGGGAGCTGTCTCCCAGTCGGGAGGCACGGGGGTCAGGGACCCACTTAAGGAAGCAGTCTGTCCCTTAGTGGAGCTCCCGTTCTGTGCTGGGAGAATCCTCCTTGTCAGGATACGCTGCTCTCTGCAGAGCCGTCTGGCAGGAACATTTAAGTCTGCTGAAGCTGCGCCCACAGCCTCCCCTTCCCCCAGGTGTTCTGTCCCAGGGAGATGGGAATTTTATCTATAAGCCTCTGACTGGGGCTGTTGCCTTTCTTTCAGAGATGCCCTGCCCAGTGGGGAGGAATCTAGTAAGGCAGTCTGGCCATAGCTGCTTTTCTGTGCTGTGGTGAGTTCCGGAGGCCATTATTCTAAGTGAAGTAACTCAGAAATAGAAAGCCAAATGATGTATGTTCTTACTTATAAGTGGGAGCTAAGCTATGAGGATGCAAAGGCATAAGAATGATATAATTGGCTTTGTGGACACAAGGGGAAAGGTAGGATTGGGGTGATGAATAAAAGACTACCTATTGAGTACAGTGTATACTGCTTTAGTGATGGTGCACCAGAATCTCTAAATCACTGCTAAAGAACACATACATGTAACCAGAAACCACCTGTACCGCCAAAACTATTGAAATACAAAATTTTTAAAAATGAACTTTACAAATAAAGGTAGCTATTTAAAGAAAAGAAGAAAAGTGCCTGTTTATGTCTTTTGCCCACTTTTTAATAGGTCTGTTTTTTTTTCTTGTAGTTTTGTTTAAGCTCCTTATAGATGCTTCATATTAGACTTTGTCAGATGCATAGATTGCAAAATTTATTTTCCTTTCCATAGGCTGTTTGTTTACTCTGCTGATTTTTGCTTTTGTTGCAATTGCTTTTGGCATCATCATAAAATCTTTGCTGATTCCTATGTGGAGAACAGTATTGTATAGGTTGTCTTCCAGGATTTTTATAGTTTTTGGTTTTACATTTACATCTTTAATCCATCTTGATTTAATTTTTGCATTTGGTGTAAAGAAGGAGTCCACAAACCTCCAGAATCATAGCTGCAGAAAACCCCATGTCCCTAACAGGCATTTGAGCTAGCAGAAAGAGCTTCTTGGGGAGTTGGCAGGGACAGGGCTCCAGCCTGCATGGGACTCAGAGGTTTTGGTGCCAGAATGGCTGCAGTGGAGCACCATCATGGATGCCCATTCCCTGAGGCATAACATGTTCATGTAGGTGGATTTGGATTTTGTTGACTATCAGTCCTGTACAGAATAGGGTTATGTTGCCTGTAGGATGCGGCCAGTGTGATCTGAGCATCCCCCTATCTACCAGCCTTTCCCAGGGTCCCTGCCTGGCTATAGTTGCTTGTAGCACAGACTCAGATGCCCAACTGAGGCATTTCCCAGCAGCCAACTTCATAGCTCCTACACTGACAGATCTTGCTTAACCATCAGAGAGCTTCTGCTGATAAGCACCACCCGCAGCTTCTGCTGATGTGCACTCACCCACAGTCTCCCCTACAGATGTGCTGGCACATGCACATGTGAACACTGCCATGCTGCTGCTGGTGGTGTGCACACATGTGCAGACCCCACTGCACTCTGCCAGTGGAGACTGTGTGCACTTGCAGACCCGACCATGTCAATGCCATGCCACTGCTTGGATACACACTTGCACACCGATCCTGCTGACACAAGCATGCATGCATGCATGGAACCCACTGCCACTACTCAAATGAATCACTTTCGCCAGCACTCCCATTGGAGTATTGTTGCCACCAGACAGGGAGCACCTTGGCCCATCCAGCACAGCAGGTGCTTAACCTGGAGGAGACAGAGAACAAAATCACAGGCCTGGTACCATCTACCCATGGTTAAATTACACAGCCCAGTAGTGCAGAGCTGAATGTTGGCCCCCTGAATCATCTAGAAATGAAGGCCATCAACTAAACCCAACTTATACCAGTCAAACCTTCAAGGACACCAAAGAAAATACAAGCAAAAAGCACCATACAAAGAAGAGCGACTTCAAAGATTAAATGAACATCAGCCCACACACATACAAAACAACCAGTGCAAGAACTCTGAAACTCTAAAAGCCAGAATGTCTTCTTATCCCCAAACAACTGCACTAGCTCCCTAGCAATGGTTTTTAACCAGACCAAAATGGCTGAAACGACAAACAGAATTTAGAATCTGGATGGAAACAAAGATCACAGAAATTCAGGAGAAAGTCAAAACAAAATCCAAGGAATATAAGGAATCCAAAAATGATTCAACAACTGAAAGACAAAATAGCCATTTTAAGAAAGAACAAAACTGATCATAAGAGCTGAAATACTCACTACAAGAATTCTGTAATACAATCAGAAATTATTAACAGGAAGACAGACTAAGATGAGCAAAATAGAATAAGATTTTAAGGCCAGTTCTTCAAATCAACTCTATCAGAAAGAAATTTTAATTCTTTTTAAAATAAACAATACCTCCAAGAAATATAGAATTATGTAGAGACCAGACCTACAAAGAATTGGCATTCCTGAAAGAGACACAGAGACAAAAAGCAACTTGGAAAACATATTTAAGCATATTGTCTATGAAAATTTTCTGAAGCATACTAGAAAAGTTCACATTCAAATTGAGAAAATACAAAGAACCCCTGCAAGATGACCATTTCCAAGACACATAGAAATCAGATTCCCCAAGGTCAATGAAATATATATATATATAAAAGAGCTGCAGAGAAGGGACAGGTTGCTCACAAAAGAAAACCCCATCAAGAAACTTGCAAATTCTTCAGGAGAATCTGTACAAGTCAGAAGAGATTGGAGCCCATATTCATCATTCTTAAAGATAATTTCAACCAAGAATTTTATATCCGGCCAAACTAATCTTCATAAACAAATGAGAAATATGATCAATAATGAACATCAGTAATAAATCAATAATGAAAAACCTACCAACCAGAAAGAGCCCTGGACCAGACTTTCCTGCAGATGGATTCACATCCGAATTCTACCAAAATATAAAGAAGACCTGGTACCATTGCCACTGAAACTATTCCAAAAAATAGAGCACTATTTGCAATAGCAAAGACATGGAATCAACCTAAATGCCTATCAATGGTGTACTAGATAAAGAAAATGTTGTACTTATACACCATGGAATACTATGCAGGCATAAAGAAAAACAAAATAATCCCATCACCATGGTTGGAAGTAATTTTTTTAGAAAATGAAATAACCTTATTTTCAGTGAAATGGATACAACTGGAGGTTATTATCTTAAACAAATTAACACAGAAACAGAAAACCTAACACTGCATATAAATGGGAACTAAATATTGAATACACGTGTACACAAAAAAGGAAACAATAGACACCATAGTTTACGTGAGGGTGAGGGGTGGAAGGAGGATGAGGATTAAAAAAATGCATATCAGGTACTATACTCAATAGTTGGGTGAACAATTTGTACATCAAAGCCTGACGTGCAATTTGCCCAGGTAACAAACTTTCACCTGTACTCACTGAAACTAAAATAAAATTTTTAAAAGGAAGTTTTTTTAACTTTCATTTTACGTTCAGGGGTACCTGTGCAGGTTTGTTATACAGGTAATCTCATGTCATGGGGGTTTGTTTTACAAATTGTTCCATCACCCACATGTTAAGTCTAGTGTCCATTAGTTATTTTTCCTGATCCTCTCCCCCTCCTCCCTTCCACTGTCTGTTGTTCCCCTCTATGTGTCCATGTGTTCTCATCATTTAGCCCCCAATTATAAGTGAGAACATGCAGTATTGGTTTACTATTCCTGTGTTAGTTTGCTAAGGATAATGGCTTCCAGCTCCATTGCTGTTCATACAAAGGACATGATCTCATTCTTTTTTCTGGCTGCATAGTATTCCATGGTGTATATTTAACATATTTTCTTCATCCTTTCTACCATTGATGGACATTTAGGTTGATTTCATGAGTTTGCTATTGTGAATAGTGCTGCAGTGAACATAAGCATTCATATGTTTTATGGCAGAAAAATTTATATTACTTTGAATATATACCCAGTCATGGGATTGCTGGGTTGAATGGTATTTCTGTTTTTAGGTCTTTGAGCAATCACCACACTGCCTTTCACAATGGTTGAACTAGTTAACACACCCACAAACAGTGTATAAGTGTTCCTTTTTCTCCAAAACCTTGCCAATACCTGCTATGTTTTGTTGTTAATAATAACAATTCTAACTGGTGTGAGATGGTATCTCACTGTGGTTTTAATTTGCATTTCTCTTATGATCAGTGATATTAAGCTTTTTTAATATGCTCATTGGCCACAGGTATGCCTTCTTTTGAAAAGTGTCTGTTCATGTCATTTGCCCACTTTTTAATGGGATTGTTTGTTTTAATCTAGTAGATTTTTTTTAAGTTTCTTATAGATGCTGGATATTAGATCTTTTTCAGATGCATAGTTTCCAAAAAATTTATTTCATTCTTTAGGTTGTCTGTTTACTTGGTTGATAGGTTTTTTTGCTATGCAGAAGCTCTTTAGATTGATTAGACTTCATTTGTCAATTTTTGTTTTTGTTGCAATTGAAAAGGAGTTAATTTTTTAAATTATTTATATATCTCTTTGTCATGATAGAGAGGTGTCAGAATAGATAGGTTCATGAAATTTCTCTTCACCAAAATAAATTATCAATATTAACTAAAATTACAAATACTTCTAGTACAAATAGCATAGTATATATAGTATAAAATTGAGTTAAAATTTACTGAAAATAAATGCTCTAGAATCACTCATCTTGTTTCACTAAAAATTCTCATATTTCTGTTAGTATGATTGTAATATTTTACCTTGTATTTAAATACATATCAGAATAAAAAATAAAACAAATAAAAAAGGAGCAAAGCTGGAGGCATCACCTTACCTGACTTCCAAATACTGTATAAAGCAATAATAACCAAAACGGCATGGTACTTGTATAAAAATAAAAACAAAGATCAATGCGACAAAATTGAGAACCCAAAATTAATTCTACACACTTATGGTCACATATTTTTTGACAAAGCTGCCAAAAACACACATGGAAGAAAAGATAGTCTCTTCAATATATGGTGCTGGAAAAACTGGATATCCATATGAAGAAGAATGAAACTAGACCCTTATCTTTAACTGCATACAAACATCATTTCAAAATAGATTATAGACTTAAGTATAATACTCAAAACTATAAAACTATCAGAAAAAACCACAAGGAAAACAGTTCATAACATTAGTCTGATCAATAATTTTTTTTGGTGGTACATGAAAAGCACAGTCAATAAAACAAAAATAGACAGATGGGATTACACTGAACTAAAAAGCTTCTGTACAAGAAAAGATACAATGAACAGAGCAAAGAGGCAACTTACAGAATGGAAGAAAATATTTGCAAACCATCCATCTGATAATAGGCTAATATTCATGATATATAACGAACTCAAATCATGCAATAGAAAAACACCCCCCCCAAATAATCTGATTAATAAATGGACAAAAGGTCTGAAAAGACATATCTTAAAAGAAGACATACAAAGGGCCAGCAGGCATATAAGAAATTCACAAATTCACAATATCACTAATCACTGGGGAAATGCAAATCAAAACCACAATGAGATATCTCCTCACTTTTGTTAGAATGGCTACTATCAAGAAGAAAGTAAAATATCAAATGCTGTCAAGGACACGAAGAAAGGAAACTATTGTACACTACTGCTAGGATTGTAGACTAGCCTGGCCATTATGGAAAACACTGCGGAGATTCCTCAAAATATTAAATTAAACCACCACATAACCTAGTAATTTCACCACTGGGTTTATATGGAAAGATATTTAAATCAGTATGTTGAAAACATATCTGCACTCCTGTGTTTATAAAGCATCATTCACAATTGCCAATAAAAGGAATCAACCTAAGTGTCCTTTAGCAGATGAATTAACAAAGAAAATGTGGTATACATACACAGTGGTATGCTATTCTGCTATAAAAATGGAAAAATCCTGTCATTAATGGCAGAAGGGATCAACCTAAAGGACACAATATTAAGGAAAATAAGCGAGGCACAGAAAGAAAACTACAGTGATTTCACTTATAGGTGTAATTTAGAAAAGTTGATCTCACAGAAGTAAAGAGTAGCATACTGTTTACCAGAGGCTGGGGATGGGAGTGGAGAATGGAAGATGGAAACATTTGCTCAATTGGTACAAAGTTCCAGTCAGAAAGAAAGAATAAGTTTTGGTGCTCTCTTACATAGTGGGATGGCAATAACTAATAAATATGTTTGTATATTTTCAGGCAGCTGTAAATAACAATCTTGAAAGTTATCTTCACAAAAAATGACAAAGGTTTGGTGGGATGGGCATGCTAACAACACTGAGTTTATCATTATACAATGCACACATGTTGAAACATCACACTGTATTGCATAAGCATAGACAACGATTACATGCCAATTATAAACAAAATAAAGACAAACACTTGAAAATAAAGTTAAACTAAGAAGGAAGATATTTACTCCCACCCAAATTTTCAGCAGATATAATTTCTGAACTCAAACTATAGTCCAAATAGTGTTATTTGGACTTTCATGAAGATGCATATTTTAAAATTCATATATGTTTCCATATGTGTGAAAAGAAATTTTTGAAGTGTAAATATATAAAATCTCAATAAAAATGAACATTAACAGATGAACTTGTGTAATCAGTTTTGATGATAGTATTAAAGTAGAGATCATAAGAGTGATGGAAAAGGACTTTTTGTAGCAACAAGATACCAAATTATAAACAAGACCTAAAGGCATGCCAGGAAAGGGATAAGTCATGTACCATCCCCAACACCTAAAGGTTAGACTATATTCTAACTGCAACAAGGTTTTTTTTTCTTTCTTTTTCTCTAGCAACTGAACAAACACTGGCCCCAAAATAAGCAAAATCGAGACAATTGCAGCTCACTGACCACCAGATGCTAACTTACCCTCACACTTCCTTAAGCCATAGCTACAGCTTGGATTAGACAAGGGACTAATTTCAGTACCTTGTTCCTGATCATACACCACTGCTACACACCTGGATTGTGTGCACAGAGTTTTCACACATCCTATACAGCAAGGGCCCCCAGTCCCTGGGCCATGGAGACAGAGTCTTGCTCTGTCACCCAGGCTGGAGTGCAGTGTCACGATCTGGGCTCACTGCAACCTCCGCCTTTAAAGTTCAAGCAATTTTCCTGTCTCAGCCTCCCTAGTAGCTAGGATTACTAGGGTGCACCACCATGCTCGGTTAATTTTTGTATTTTGAGTAGAGACAGAGTTTTGCCATGTTGGTCTCAAACTCCAGACCTCAAGTGATCTGCTCACCTCAGCCTCCCAAATGCTGGGATTACAGGTGTGAACCATGGGGACCAGCCTGCTTCATCTGTATTTACAGCTGCTCCCCATCCTTCACACTACCTCCTGAGTTCCGCCTCCTGTCAGATCACTGGCTGCATTAGATTCTTACAGGAGATTGAACCCTATTGTGAACTGTGTATGCAAGGTTTCATGCTGCTTATGAGAATTGGATGCCTGATGATCTGTCACTGTCTCCCATTACCCCAAGATGGGACTGTCCAGTTGCAGGAAAAGAAGCTCAGGCATCCCACTGATTCTAAATTATGGTGAATTGTATAATTATTTCATTATATATTACAATATAATAATAATAGAACTAAAGTGCGCAACAAATGTAAAAATATAGTGAAAGGCCCCTAACTTATTTACATTTAAAGTTAACCTTACACACACTCCTGAAAATATAATAAATAGTTTAAAAGTGGGTTGATTTCTCATTGAGTGAGATAAAATTGGTGTGTGAGGTGAATGGAATGATGTTAAAGTAGGAACAGCAATGGAGAGATCAATTAAGACCTGTGGTGTGCTGCTTTTTGACATTTTATAAAGTGAAGTTTGAAGAAAGTAGTCAGAAAAACAGAAAACTCTGGAGGTGTGTTGCCAAACTTAGCACATCATTTAAAAAAATAAATAAATAATACAAAAACTTAAAAAAGATGCCCAGTTGAATTTGAACTTCAGATGAACAATAAATTTTTTCACAAATATCTTTTAAATATGCATGAAGTAAACATTATTCATTATCCAAAGTTCAAATTTAAATGCATGTTTTGTATTTACCTAGCAACCCCACACTGGAGATTTTCTAGGAAAAGAGCAGTAACAAAAGATGCTGTCCACTGGGCACAATGGCTCATGCCTGTAATCCCCTCACTTTAGGAGGCAGAGGCGGGCGGATCACTTAAGGCCAGAAATTCAGAGACCAGCCTGGCCAACATGGCAAAACCCTATCTCCACAAAATATCATGAAATAAAAATTAGCCAGCGTGGTGGCGCACGCCTGTAATCTCAGCTACTTGGGAGGTTGGGGCATGAGAATCACTTGAGTCCAGGAGTCGGAGGTTGCAGTGAGCCCAGATTGTGCCACTGCACTCCAGCCTGGGCAATAGAGGGAGACTGTCTCCAAAAACAAAACAAAAGAAAACAAAACAAAAAGGAAGCTGTCAAAATACCCACCAAAAGGACTCCATCCAATGTTATGAAGAAGGAATTGGAAGGAAAAGTCCTCCCCCCTCACCTTGTTCTAAAAGTCTTGGAACTCAGCAAGCAGTTCTATTACTATGTACTATTTTTTTTTTCTATTAAGCCTTCCTTTACAATGTTGCAATTTGTCACCCTGTTAAAAAATAGTTTGATTCTGTATTAGTAAAGCTATAAATTCAGTTTTTCAGAAACCACAATGACAGTTTTTTAAATAAGGTAGAAGTTGAATTATCTTACATTAAATCCCTGACTTAAGCAGCTCATGGCGGGTATTTTGCCCAGCTAAAACCAAAGTGTTTACAATAGAAAGAGGGGAGGTCAGATATTTGACTAAAATGCCAACTCTCCCACACTATCTATCACGTGACCACCAGGGAACAATGACACAAAATGACATATCTCTACTAGTCATAACAGAAGTAGAAGAAAAAGCCCCTGGCTAGCTACTCCTCATAAGACAGTTATTGATCTACATAATACCATAGACCTGGTTGTAGGCATTCCTATATCTCATGAGCAGAGGAGGAATCTCTTTACAAATCTGCCAGCTTTTCTGGTCAGTTATAAATGCATCAGGGAGTATAACACACAAAATTACTAAGACTTCAGTGATGTTTTTGTTTATTAACTTCTTCAGGGCTCAAGGGGAGCAGTTAAGTAGTTCCTTCATTACTGTAACAGATCTCCCTGGTAGGCCAACATAAAAAATTTCTACAAGAAGTTTGAGAGTTTGTAGAGATACCACTGAGTCAGAAATGACACATGAGCATATGTGCTTGTTCCATCTAGGCTGTAACACGGACTACATGCATGCCAATGAATTTTTATCACTGTTCTAAGAGTTAGAAGAAAACAAGACATTTATAGACCAGTTATAACAGTAATGGATTGTACCTATGAAGTATAAACTGGCAAAGGAATATAAATACAGAATTGAATATGTCTATCTTAGTTACGAGAGAGACTAGAGAGCCTAGAAATAACTGGAAACATCATAAAAACAAAAACAGTGATGGCTTTAGAACTGTGCATGTAGTCTCCTCCCATATTCTGAGAATCAAATTAAATTTGGAATTATTAAAGCCTACGTAATTTTAAGAGCTGAAATTTTCCTACTCACTTGACATTTGGCATGTTTTGTTTGGCTGACTGGCACTTTGTGTAGGTCACTACTTTCCATTTATCCACTTTAGTTCCCCATTGAGAACAATCTTAGAGAACTTGGCTGGGCCTCAGCCCTCTCCCTCACCATTTTCTTAACACCATTTTCTGAATTTTGTCCTTGCTTCCCATAAACCTTACTTCACCTTGCAGGAATCTTCATGATCTACACAACTATTTCCTTTGTGAACTTATGTCAAATCCAAATGGAATTGTCATGCCCTTTCAATTCTGTGATTCAGACTGTCAGTCTTTCCTTGAGGGGGCTAGCACTTTCTTCCCCAATTAGTATCCTTCATCCCTCCATCTATACAGATATCAGTTCAATCCAAACTGGGGCCTTTCAGTCAAAAGACATACTATTAGTATCTTTATATTCCAAGAGGGCCCCTAGGCTGGCTTGAATCTTCCAAGCATATCATGCATATGGAAATTTATTGATAGAATGAAAGTCTCCTTTGTTAGAAAAGTAGATCCTGGTCACAAAATTTATCTTCCTAGCCCACCAAAAGCATGCTTGGTGGGATCCCAGGGGCTTGTTTTGTTTTAACCTACAACCTCTAATGTTTATGTTCTGCCAGAACTCTAACCCAAGTAGACATAGAACAATTTCTGTTTTGCCAGAGGGATTAATTGCCTAATAATTCAGAAAAAGCAAATGTTGAGGAATTCAGACTGTTGAGCCAGAATGCTTGGGTTCAAATTTCATTTCTAATTCTTATTAGCTGTGTTATCTAAGGCAAATTATTAACTCTATATCTCAGTTTCTAAGATGTACTGTGAGGATAACAATATTATCTACCTCATGGCATTATTGTAATGATAAAATAGTGAATATAAAGGTATAAAAAGATAACTTAGATCAACATTCCCTGGGTTGGAACTGGAAAACAAATCAAAAGGCTACAAAAAAATTCAAAATATTCTTGCAATTACAAAAAAAGCTAAAAAATAGGCAAAATAGTGAGGAACTATTAGACAGAGGTCTATAACAGAAAAGGAATCTAGTGTTGAGTCCAGAACATGGAACCTATTTTTCTCTGGGGGAAAGGAATATTTGCTGAGTCTAAAGTAATGCGTGAGAGGAAGATCTGTACTTTTGGTGACTTCATTGTGCTAGGAAGATAAAATTCATAGTCCTCAGTCTACCAAGAGTGGGTAGTTTTGATCTTGACCTATAATGGCCAGAAAATCATGAATAAAAGTGAATTGAACCAAACGGAAGCTGTAATGAGCTACAACCCAACTTTAGTTAATTTTGGAATCCTCAAAAATACTAAACTCTAAATTTGGATTAAGATAATCCCGGATTTCTACTGACCTCAGAAACCCATAGAAACACACACACACTCACACACACACACACACACACACACACACACACTTCCTTTGGAGGAAGATATCATTATCCTCGACCTCAAATTTCTACAAATAATATTTAAAATAGAGTATAGCATATAATCAAGGAATAAAAAAAGCACAAAAGCAAGAAAACAAGAAACTATGAGCAAGAACTAGGAGAGAAAATCAGACAATGGAAACAAATTCACCAGGATTGTAAATACTACAATTATCAGACACAAGTTATAAAATAATTATGCTTAGTATGTGCAAGGAAATCAAAGTCAAGCCAAAAGTTTCTTACAGAGAATTTGAATTATTCAGGTCCTCATAATAAGGGATCTAACAATTGGGAAAAAGTACTAAGTTGAAATTCTAGGACTGAAGAGTATAAGGAAACAAAATTAAGTGGATGGGTTTAATAGCTTTTTAGATATAAATCAAGCTATATTGGTGAACTAAATGCTGATAAGAAGAAATGATCCAAATGATGTTTAAAAGAGACAGAAAAATAAAGATAATATTAACAAATATAGAAGGAAGTGTAACATAGGTTTAAATTGGAGTCTCAAAGAAATAGGAAAAAGAGAATGAAGCAGAATATATTTGAAGAGATAAAGACTGAGACTTTCCCAGAATTCCTGGGTTATTATACATAAAGCCTTGAAGAAAATGCTAGGCACACACAAAACATGTAATAAATTTAAACTACTATTCTACCTCTTGATAGTTTCCTGATGTTTCTTTGATACCACCTTTCCCCAAGTCCACAAACACTTCATTTTAGTTTTCCTGAGTCACATGTCATAATTTGGAATTGGCAAGAGAGGTTTCACAAAAGAGTGAAGAAGTAAGAACACGGGAAAGAATGCTGTTGATGGGTCAGAAGTTTGGGTGGAAAAGAAGTTATACCCAGAAGGTTGACTGATTGAGAGGTCAGCACAAATTTGGGTGACTAGGAGTCTCCATGAATTCACAAAATAGTGTTGTAAGCGAGTATGAGACAGAAGTCAAAAGATAGGAGTTTGGGATGAGAAAATAAGATCCCTAATTATAAAACTTAGATGTGGAATAGTACTAGTGCTCATTAGCTTCATGGTATGACTATGGCTGTGGGGTTCCTAAATAAAAGTAGAGGAGAAATACCTAGTTTATATGAAATCTTATCTACAGGGATATTGAAATCACCCAGGATAAAAGCAAGAATAAAGTGTAATGGGTAAATATCAGGTGACAAGATTACAAAGCTTCCAATTAATGGTAAAGAATAATCTGGTACTCATTAGATGATAGAAACTATTATGGGTAACAAGTATAGAGAAAATGGTAGCTCTGTGGAAAGTGGGGGTTTGGTGTCATGATAATAGACTAGCCAAGAAAATATAGGAGAAGTTATTCCAGATCTCTAAAAAAGACAAGAATATACATGTGACATGTGTATTGTAGAATAGTAGTCATGCAGTACCAGGGCTTCCAGGTATTCTATTGATCCCTTTGTTTCTCTCCCCTTGTCTTCCTTCATTGCTACCCTTTCCATCAGACAGAAGAGAGATAGAACACACATCAAAAAAGATTCAAAATATGTTTAATCCCTGAATAGCAACGTGGATATATTTTAGTCCAGTCTCATTCAGGGATGGGGGAAGCAAAGTAAGCTTAGCCCTTCATGGGTGAAGGAAGAGGATGAGATGTGTCTCAAGGTTTTTTAGATAAAGTACTAGAAGCCCTATTGGGAAGGGAATGATGCCGTCCATTGTGATGACCCCAGAAATATAGCATGAAATTACAATTTTCTTCATCCTCTTTTTCACTCTCTGAGGAGCTTTCACCAAAGGCATGAGGCTTTTGATAAATGCAGCAGCATTTAGATGAGCGATAGTCCAAGTGCTCATTGTCAACACTGTCTCTTAACCATTCCACCCTTTTGTCTGGCTTGTTTTTCTGTAAGGTAGTGAGCAGAATTCTATTTTTTTTTTACCTCATTTTCCAGTGTAACTGTGGGCTCTGAAATAATTTCCGTCATCTTAGATGTTGCTTCTTCCATAGCAGAACTGGAAGGGGAACAAAGGAGGAGAAGTGATGTGTCTGTAGAGTCTGGGGGAAATATGGATCTGAATCCAAATCAGAGTCAGAATTAGAATTGGGATGCTGTGTCTGTTTTTTTTGCTTTAGGTTCCACAGCTGTAAAGTACTCAGCTCACTCTTGCTTCTGACGTTGCATTTATTCAAAATCAGACCCCAGAATCATGGAGCAGAGTTTTGATACCAAGGAAACTAAAGAGTTTTGTTACCGGAATCATGGAGCAAAGTTTTGTTACCAAGGAAACTAAAGAGGTGTCAGACAGGAAAGCTGGACGAACCTGGTTTGATATCCTGTCAGATTAGGAAGTAAATGGTATTTTAAAATGTGTAAATTTGATGGGAGGTAGGACTAGATTGCAGCTCCGGACAGAGCAGCATACGGAGGCTTGCATTGTGAATTTTAGCTCCAGATCGACTGCAATAACAGACCAGCAATCCTGAGAGGACCCACAGACCCTCTAAAGGAAGCAGACTGCTCCTGCAGGACACGGGAGACAACCTAAATACTGTGAGTGCCCCAACCATGGAAGTGGAAAAGGGAGACCCTCCTCTCCCAAACAGACATCCCCAATGGAGAAGCTGAAGGTCTGTTTGTGGGAGAAGTTCCCAACTTTACCTGGAGCCGAGTCAAGTTAGAGAGCCAAACCCAGCGAAACACAGGGATAGAGGAAGTAGCAGAAAGGCACTGGGAGCTCGCTGGATCCCCAAGCAGACAATTCCTGCCTGGCACCACAGGGATCCATCAGGAGGGTGGCCAGAGGAGCAGGGGGTAAAACTCCACAATGAGAAGAACTTCTCTAGCTGAAATTTCTAACAATTTGAACAGGGCGAGAAGTCTCAAGGCCAGAACTCAGGGGAGGGCGCGAATCCAGTTTGCAGACTTCACAGGTGGGGAAAGAACTAAAGCCCTTTTCATTTGCAAATGTGAAGAAAACCTTGGGAAAATTTTCAAGCCTGACTGGCCCTTCACCTGGAAACAGGTTCAGGGCTGTTGCTGAGGGCATGGTGGGAGTGAGACCAGCCCTTCGGTTTGAGTGAGAGCTGAGTAAGGTCTGTGGCTACCAGCTTTACCCCACTTCCCTGACAACCTGTATGACTCAGCAGAGGCAGCCATAATCTGCCTTGGTAAACAACTCCAGTGACCTGGGAGTCTCACCCCCATCCACCACTGCAGCCACAGCAAGACTCAACTAAGGAAAGTCTGAGCTCAGACACGGCCCTGCCCCCACCCAATGGTCCTTCCCTACCCACCCTGGTGGCAGGAGACAAAGGACATATAACCTTGGGAGTTGTAGGGCCCTATCCACCACCAGTCCCTCTCCACACTACTACAGCTGATGTTTTCTGGAAAGTGCCACCTCCTGGTAGGAGGCCAACCAGCACAAAAATAGGCCATTATACCACCAAAACTGAGGACCCCCATGGAGTCCATTGCCCCTTGTGTCACCTCCACTGGAACAGGCACTGGTATCCATGACTGAGAGACCCATAGACAGTTAATATCACAGGACTCTGTGCAGATAACCCCCAGTACCAGCCCAGAGCCAGGTAGACTCACTGGGTGGCTAGACCCAGAAGAGAGACAACAATCACTGCAGTTCAGTTCACAGGAAGCCACATCCACACGAAAAGGGGGAGAGTACTACATAAAGGGAACAGCCTGTGGGAAAATATAATATGAACAACAGCCTTCAGCCCTAGACCTTCCCTCTGACAGAGTCTACCCAAATGAGAAGGAAGCAGAAAACCAACCCTGGTAATATGACAAAACAAGGCTCCTCAACACCCCCCGACCCGAGTTCACCAGCAATGGATCCAAACCAAGAAGAAATCTCTGATTTACCTGAAAAAGAAAGCAGGAGGTCAGTTATTAAGCTAATCAGGGAGAGATCAAAGTAAGGCAAAGCCCAATGCAAGTAAGTCCAAAAAATAATACAAAAAGTGAAGGGAGAAATATCCAATGAAATAGATAGCTTAAAGAAAAAAAAAATTAAAAATTCAGGAAACATTGGACACACTTTTAGAAATGTGTGATGCTCTGGAAAGTCTCAGCAATAGAATTGAACAAGTAGAAGAAAGAAATTCAGAGCTTGAAGACAAAGTCTTTGAATTAACCCAATCCAACAAAGACAAAGAAAAAAGAATAAGAAAATATAAACAAAGCCTCCAAGAAGTTTTGGATTATGTTAAACAACCAAACCTAAGAATAATCGGTATTCCTGAGGAAGAAAACAACTCTGAAAGCTTGGAAAACATATTTAGGGGAATAATCAAGGAAAACTTTCCCAGCCTTGCTAGAGACCTAGACATGCAAATACAAGAAGCACAAAGAACACCTGGGAAATCTATTGCAAAAAGATCTTCACCTAGGCACATTGTCATCAGGTTATCGAAAGTTAAGATGAAGGAAAGAATCTTAAGAGTTTTGAGACAGAAGCACCAGGAAACCTATAAAGGAAAACCTAACAGATTAACAGCAGATTTCTCAGCAGAAACCCTACAACCTAGAAGGGATTGGGGTCCTATCTTCAGCCTTCTCAAACAAAACAATTATCAGCCAAGAATTTTTTATCCAGCCAAATGAAGCATCATATATGAAGGAAAGATACTGTGATTTTCAGACAAACAAATATTGAGAGAATTCACCATTACAAAGCCACCATTACAAGAACTTCTAAAAGAAGCTCTAAATCATGAAACACATCCTGGAAACACATCAAAACAGAATCTCTTTAAAGCATAAATTACAAAGGGCCTATAAAACAAAAACACGAGTTAAAACAACAACAACAAAAACAAAGTACACAGGCAACAAAGAGCATGATGAATGCAAGAGTACCTCACATTTCAATACTAACATTGAATGTAAATACCCTACATGCTCCACTTAAAAGATGCAGAACCACATAATGGATAAGAATTAACCAACCGTCTACTGTCTTCAGGAGACTCACCTAACACAAAAAGACTCACATAAACTTAAAGTAAAGGCGTACAAAAAGGCATTTCATGCAAATGGACACCAAAACTGAGCAGGAGTAGATATTCTTATATCAGACAAAATGAACTTTAAAGCAACAGTGGTTAAAAGACACAAAGAGGGACATTATATAATGGTAAAAAGGCCTGATACAACAGGAAAACCGCATAATCTTAAACAAATATTCACCTAAGACTAGAGATCCCAAATTTATAAAACAATTACTAATAGAATGAAGAAATGAGATAGATAGAATCATAATAGTGGGGGACTTCAATACTCCACTGACAGCAATAGACAGGTCATCAAGACAGAAAGTCAACAAAGAAACAATGGATTTAAACTATACCTTGGAACAAATGGACTTAACAGATATCTACAGAGCATTTCATCCAACAACTGCAGAATACACATTCTATTCAACAGTGCATGGAACTTCTCCAAGATAGACCATATGATAGGCCATAAAATGAACCTCAACAAATTTAAGAAAATTGAAATTATATCAAATACTCTCTCAGACCAAAGTGGAATAAAACTGGAAATGAACTCCAAAAGGACTTTCAAAACCATGCAAATACATGGAAATTAAATAACCTGCTCCTGAATGAGCATTGGGCCAAAAACAAAATCAAGATGAAAATTTTAAAATTCTTCAAAATGAATGACAATAATGACACAACCTATCAAAAACTTTCGGATACAGCTAAGGAGGCGCTAAGAGGAAAGTTCATAGCCCTAAACACCTACAACAAAAAGTCTGAAAAAGTGCATACAGACAATATAAGGTTACACCTCAAGCAACTAGAGAAACAAGAACAAACCAAACCCAAACCCAGCAGACAAAGAACATAACCAAGATCAGAGAAGAACTGCATGAAATTGAAAAAAAAAATTTTACGAAAGATAAATGAAACAAAAAGTTGATTCATTGAAAAGATAAATAAAATTGAGAGACCATTAGCAAGATTAACCAAGAAAATAAGAGAGACTATCCAAATAACCTCACAGAGAAATGAAACAGGAGATATTTCAACTAACACCACTGAAATACAAAAGATCATTCAGGGCTAATATGAACACCTTTACACACATAAACTAGAAAATCTGGAAGAGATTAATAAATTCCTGGAAAAACACAACCCTCCTAGTGTAAGGTTCTTGTATCAGTTTGAACCCCAAGAGCATGCCAACAGACAACACGAGGCAGTGTGGAGCAACATGCTGTTTTAATCAGTGCCTGGGTGCAGGCGGGCTGAGGCCTAAAATGGCGTCCACATCAAGTGATGATAGGACAAAGGTTTTATAGTCTCCTGTAAACAGGAAGTGTCCTGGTCTGACGTAACTGCTACATTGTTCCCAGATAGCTTCTTTCTTGATCTTCAGGGGTACGTGTCTTCCAGCCAGAGTAGGTGTCTTCTGGCCGGCCCTTTTCATGCTTCTGCTATCTTGCCGGCGCACGCTGCTGGTGCACACTGCTGACACAAGTGGCCCTTGCGCCTTGGGACTGGGCCTGAGAAGGGAGGAGTTATTCATCTCCTTAAGCTTTCAGGCCCCGGGAGAATCTTACATTCCTGTCTATTTGGTTAGAGAAAAGGGAAAAGGGACCACTTACTCAATAATTACTTCAGGCATGACATAGGGGGTGACGTGGACATCTTGGAAAAAGAAAATCTTAATTTTGGGGGTATTGTTGAGAGACGGGTTGGTATTTACCATGTCGCTGTAGCAGAAGCATCATCTGGATTGTCTGGAAACACGTCTGTGCCTGTAAGACAGTTACGTTCAGAGGACAAAAAGGTGTTAACAGGGAGAGGCATGGCCTTATTTGCTGCTTCACGAATGAAAGACCATGTCTGGATTAAGGAGGAGAGGTAATATCTGAGTGGCTCAGAGTCTGGTAAGGGTGGAGACCCCAAGACAAAAGTTTGGCCATATATGATTTCAAAGGGACTATAAAAAGAGGGTGCTTTTGGTGTTGTGTGGAGTCTTATAAGGGTGAAAGGGAGATTTTTTGTTTACGACTGGTGAGTTTTTAGAGCCAGCTTGGTGAGTTGGGCTTTAAGGACAGACGTAATTTTTTCAACTTTGCCTGAGAATTGAGGCCTATAGGGTGTGTGGAGAACCCATTTTATACCTAAGGATGTAGAGATGCCTTGGATAATTTGGCTGATGAAGGAGGGTCCGTTGTTGGACTGGATGAATGTTGGAAGTCCAAAACGGAGAATTATATGCATGAAGAGAGTTTGTGTGATGACATTTATACCTTCTGAAGTTGTTGGGAATGCTTTTATCTACCTGGAGAAAGTACAGATAAAGACTAGAAGATAGTGGAGCCGTTTATTGGCCAGCATGTGAGTGAAGTCCATTTGTTAATTTTGCCTGGGTACCTGGCCCTGGGCTTGGTGGGTAGGAAAAGGTGGCTGGAAGGAGCCTTGGGGTGACACTGAGTGGCAGACAGAGCAGGACTAGGTAATTTCTCAAACATGGCTGGAAAGGTGAGGGCAAGTGAGAATAGGGCAGAGAAGTTGCAAGAGAGGTTGTAACTGATATGGAAAGGGTTGTGGAGGCTTTGGAGGTGAGGAAGGCTTTGAGAGTGAGGAAGAATAAAGCACCTTTCCTTGACATACCATGGTCCTTGCTTTTGAAGGTTTTGGGCTTGGAAGTCCTCCTTTTCTTCTGAGGAGTAAAGAGGAGAGAAAAAGGACAGGGACAGAAACTGGCCTTGCATGGGTTGGAGGGCTACTTGTTTGGTTATCTGATCTGCTAGCCTATTTCCAGCTGATATAGGATCATCCGGGGTTTGGTGGCCCCTGCAATAAATGATGGCAACTTTCTGTAGAAGCCTGGCAGCTTGAAGGAGTTTGCTGATGAGAGAGCCATTTATGGCAGGAGTGTTTTTTGCAATTAGGAAGCCTCGTTTTTTCCAGATGGACGAGTGTGAGTACACTATGTAGAATGTATAACGAGAATTTGAATATATGTTGATTTGTTGTCTGGCTGCTAGAGTGAGAGCTTGAGGAAGAGCGACGAGTTCAGCTTTTTTAGAGGTGGTGCTTAGCAAGAGCAGATTGGCTTCAATAGTGTGTGTGTGTGGGGTGACACTATAGCATAGCCAGCATGCCAGCGTCCTTGATGTAGGAAGGAGCTGCCATCTACAAACTAAGTAAAGGGGGCATCTGGAAAGGGTTGTTCTGTTAGGTTTGGAAAAGGTATAAGGAAGGTTTGAACAGTGTTTACACAGAAGTGTGTAGGGTCTTGGGCGGTTGTAACTTCAGGTAAGAGCATGGCTGTGTTTAGACGGGAGCTGGTTAGTATGGTGATTGGTAGGAGGGGGTTTTCTATGAATAGAGCATACAGTTGGAGGAGCCATGGGGCAGAGATGAGACTTAGTACACTGCAGTGAGCTAACATGTTTTTGATGTTATGGGTTGAATAAACTGTTAGGTTGGCATGGAGAGATAGTTTTAGGCTTTCAAGGGTGAGGACAGCAGCTGCCACCAATGCTTGAAGGCAGGCAGGCCATCGGAGAATGGTGGCTTTAAGCTGTTTAGAGAGGTAGGCAACAACCTGGGCGGTAGGTCCCTTAGACTGGGTTAGAATACATAATGCAACTTTACATCATCTGTCGATATAGAGGGAGAAAGGTTTGGTGAGGTCTGGGAGAGTGAGGATGAGGCTGAGGTGAGAGCCTTCTGGAGTAGATGGAAAGGTTGGGTAATAGGCTGTGCAGAGTTTAATGGCACATAGAGAGGGCCTTTAGCAGCCTGGTATAATGGTTTGGCAGATAGAGCGAAGGAGGGAACCCAGAGCCTACAATATCCCACTAGTCCTAGAAAAGAGAGATTTTTTTGCTTAGTTTGCGGAGGCAGGAGGGACTGGAGGAGGGATATGTGGTCGGTTGTGAGCTCTCAGGTTCATGGGGTAAGAGTTAGGCATAGATAGGTGACTGAGGGGGGTGCATATTTTTGTTTCTTTAGGGGAGACCTAATACTCGCATTTTGGGAAGAAGTTTAAAAGAGAGATAGTATGGTAGTTGCAGTTTTTTTGAGAGGGGCTACACAGGAGCAGATCATTAATACATTGAAAGAGAGTGGACAGCTTTAGGGATAAGCTACAGAGGTCATGAGCAAGGGCCTTTTGGACACAGAAAAGTGGGGGCTGTCTCTGAAACCTTGAGGTAGTATGCACCAGGTGAGCTCACATGAAAGGTGGGTGTCGGGGGTATTCCACATAAAGGAAAAGAGGTTTTGGGAATCAGAGTGTAAAGGAATTATGAAAAAAAAGCATCCTTTAGGTTTAGAACAGAAAAATGAGTGGTATCGGAGGGAATTGTGGAAAGTAAAGTATATGGGTAAGGAACTACTGGACATACTGGGAGTACAGCTTGGTTAATGAGCCTGAGGTCCTAGACTAAGTGATAAGCTCCATCTAGCTTTTTCACAGGTAGAACTGGTGTGTTAAAAGGGGAGTTTGTTGGGCAGAGTAGGTGACTGGAGAGGAGACGAGAAATGATAGGCTTTAGGCTTATGAGAGCTACTTGGGGGATGGCATACTACTTCTGTGATAGGAACTGGGTGGGCTATTTAAGGGTATTGTGGACAGGGGTGTGGTGTCCTGCGACTGAGGGTGTGGAAGTATCCTAAACAGCGGGGTTAACTACAGATGGGGGACAAGAAAAAGTTGCACGTTTTAAGGTGGGTGGTTGGAGGAGTAGAAGAAAGTTAGAAGCCCCAGAGGGGTCTGGGTTGATGTGTTGGGTACTATGGGGAATGTGGAAGTGGAAAGTAGTGTGGAGTTTTGGAAAGATATTTCTGCCTAGGAGAGTAGTTGGGCATGAGGGCAGGACTAAGAAAGAGTGAGTGAAGGAAAAGGTGTGAAGGGAGCAGAAAAGTGGAGGGGGGACTCGAGGTTTGGAGACTTGTCCATTAATTCCTACAACAGACACCTGGGAGGACTGGGTGGTTCCTGAAAAATTAGGTAAAGCAGAGTAGGTTGCCTGGTATTAATTTAAAAATATACTGGCCTACCTGCCACCATCAGGGTTACCCTTGGCTTGGATGAGGCAAAGGTAGTTGCCAGGGTGTCTGTTCCAGGGCACCATCATTCTTCAGTGGCAAGGCCGATGAGATATAAGTAGGAGGTTTTGGCTAGCTCAGGAAGGGATGGGGGCAGTCCTTGTGGGAGCTGCTTACAGTCCGACTTCCAGTGGGGTTCTCCGCAGAGAG
Organism: Homo sapiens; assembly: GCF_000001405.40. Taxonomy (NCBI): domain Eukaryota; kingdom Metazoa; phylum Chordata; class Mammalia; order Primates; family Hominidae; genus Homo; species Homo sapiens. The sequence goes on along the minus strand of NC_000023.11, from coordinate 57,220,787 downwards.
GGGCATGGACTGCTGGCTTTACCTGGGTTTGGGCATTGTCTGGACCAGTGGCCTTCATTGCCACACTTGAAATAGGCGCCAGGTGGAGGTGGATTTTTAGGAGGCTTCTGTGTGGAGCTGCGGCCCCGTGGGCCTGCAGGGCCCCTGATGGTGGAGGCAAGCATTTGAAACTCTGCCTGTTTTTGCCTTTTACTTTCCTCATTACAATTGTTGAAGACTTTGAAGGCTAAATTAAGAAGGACTTGTTGTGGGGTTTGACGGCCGTCGTCAAGCTTCTGGAGCTTGAGCCAAACATTGGGGGTGGATTAGGAGATGAACTGAAGGTTTAAAATACTGATTCCTTCTGAGGGTTTGAAGGGGAAAGCGCGGTTGAGTTAATAGGCAGTGGAGGATAGACAGAGGCGTAAGGTGGCAGGATAGGTTTACAAGCCTCAGGAGAGGGCGTTGGGGAGGAGAATAGGTATAGGTAATATTAGAATTGTTCTGAGGAGGGGACGGTGTAGAAAAATAAGTGGATACAGCTGACTGGGAAGATGGCAGCTGAGAAGACAATGAGGAGGCTTGGGGGGTTAAAGAAGATGGTTGAGAGGAAGAGGTAGGGGCTGGGAGGGGTGGACAGCAGTCTGCTGGATTTAATGAGAAAAAAAGAGGTACGGTTGGGAGGAGAAAGGTGATTAGGGCGGCTAGAATGGAGGGGAAGGATTTGAACAGATAAGCAAGAATTGCAGAGGACAGGTTGTGATCTGAGTGTAAAAAGGCCTGGACGTAAGGAATTTCTTGCCATTTCTCCAGTCGTCAGCATTAATTGCTTAAATAAGTTAGAATTGCAAAGTTGAATGTTCCATTTGCGGGCCATTTGGACCCATTATTTAATTCATATTGTGGCCAGACTGAATTGCAAAAAAAAAAAAAAAAAAAAAAAAAGACAAGGCGCTTAGGGCACATATCTAGCTTGAGGCCTAATGTTTGCAGGTTTTTTTATGAGGCAGCCTAGAGGACTGTTTTTTTTTTTGGAACAGAGGACCGGGAGTTTCCCATAAGGGAGGGTGGGCTTGGGAGAACAGGGAAAAGGAGGCCATCCTGGACAGCCGGAGGGAGAAGATAAAAGGAGCCATCATCACTGCTGCCTTTTTTGTTCCTGGAACAGGATTAAATGGCTTAGAGGCGTCCCCTTAAGACTAGATAATTATCGGGTGCCTGGCACATGCCAGAGCCTTCTTGGACCAATGTTGGGGCTTTGGACTGGAGAAACCAAGAGAGGCTGTGCAGATTTTTCTCTGTTAACTGGGCTTCTGGGGAAACTTACCAGTAGGCGAGATCAGTGACCGACTGCATGCACAGAGAGGCGACTGGAGGCTGAGGACCTTCCTTTGTCCAGCTGCTGTGGCCTGCTCTTTGGGGTGGAGGGCTAGGTCCATGGGGGATGCAGACCTGAGCCCCTCCCAGATTTCAGCACCAAAATATAAGGTTCTTGTAACAGTTTGAACCCCGAGAGTGCACCAACAGACAACACGAGGCAGTGTGGAGCAACATGCTGTCTTAATGAGTGCCTGGGTGCAGGCGGGCTGAGGCTTAAAATGGCGTTAGCACCAAGTGAGGATGGGACAAATGTTTTACAGTCTCCTGTAAACAGGAAGTGTCCTAGTCTGACGTAACTGCTATGTTTTACCCATATGGCCTCTTTCTCAATCTTCAGGGGTAGGTGTCTTCTGACTGGCTATTTTTCTGCCTCTGCTATCTTGCTGGTGCATGCTGCCGCACACACTGCTGACGCAAGTGGCCTTGCGCCTTGGGACTGGGCCTGAGAAGCGAGGAGTTATATATCTCCTTAAGCTTTCAGGCCATGGGGACAATCTTACACCTAGCTTAATCAGCAAGAAGTAGATACCCTGAAGAGACCAATAACAAGCAGCGAGATTTAAATGATAATTTAAAAATTACCAACATAAAAAAAGTCCAGGACCAAACAGATTCACAGCAGAATTCTACCATACATTCAAGGAAGAACTGGTACCAATCCTGTGGACATTATTCCACAAGATATATAGAGAAGGAACCCTCCCTAATTCATTCTCTGAAGCCAGCATCACCCTAATACCAAAACCAGGAGAGAACATAACCAAAAAGGAAAACTACAGACCACTATCCTTGATGAACATAGATGCTAAAGTCCTTAACAGAATACTAGCTAACTGAATCCAACAACATATCTAAAAGGTAATCCACCACAATCAAGTGGGTTTCATACCAGGGATGCAGGGGTGGTTAAAGATATGCAACTCAATAAATGTGATACACCATATAAACAGAATTTAAAACAAAAATCACATGATCATCTCAATAGATGCAGAAAAAGCATTTGACAAAATCCAGCATCGCTTTAGATTAAAACCCCCAGCAAAATTGGCATACAAGGGACATACCTTAATGTAGTAAAAGACATCTATGACAAACCCAGAGTCAACAAAATACTGAATGGGGAAAAGTTGAAAGCATTCCCTCTGAGAATGGAAACAAGACAAGGACTGTCACTATATCACCACTCCTCTTCATCATAGTATTGGAAGATCTAGCCAGAGCAATCAGACAAGAGAAATAAATAAAAGGCATCCAAATCAGTAAAGAGGAACTCAAACTGTCCCTGTTTACTAATGATATAATCATTTACCTTGAAAATCCTAAGGACTCCTCCAGAAAGCTCCTAGAACTGATAAAATAATTCAGCAAAGTTTCTGGATACAAGATTAATGTACACAAATCAGTAGCTTTTCTGTACACCAACAGTGACCAAGTGGAGAATCAAATCAAGGAAAACTATAAAACACTGCTGAAAGAAATCATAGATGACACAAACAAATGGAAACACATGCCATGCTCATAAATGGGTAGAATCAATATTGTAAAAATGACCATACTGCCAAAAGCAATCTACAAATTCAATGCAATCTCCATCAAAATACCACCATCATTCTTCACAGCATTAGAAAAAACAATTCTAAAATTCATATGGAAACAAAAAAGAGCCCATATAGACAAAGCAAGACTAAGCAAAAAGAACAAATCTGCAGGCATCACACTACCTGATTTCAAACTATGCTATAAGGCCATAGTCACCAAAACAGCATGGTACTGGTATAAAAATAGGCACATAGACCAATGGAACAGAATAAGAACCCAGAAATAAACCAAAATGCTTACAGCCAACTGATGTTCGACAAAGCAAATAAAAGCATAAAGTGGGGAAAAGACACCCTTTTCAACAAATAGTTCTGGGAAAATTGGCTAGCCACATGTGGCAGAATGAAACTGGATCCTCATCTCTCACCTTATTCAAAAATCAACTCAGGATGGATTAAAGACTTAAACCTAAGACCTAAAACTATAAAAACTCTAGAAGATAACACTGGAAAAACCTTTCTAGACATTGGCTTAGGCAATAATTTTATGACCAAAAACCCAAAAGCAAATGCAATAAAAAGAAAGATAAATAGCTGGGACCTAATTCAACAAAATAGCTTTTGAATGACAAAAAAAAAAAAACAGTCGTCAAAGTAAACAGACAACACAGAGTGGGAGAAAATCTTCACAATCTATACATCTGACAAAGGACTAATATCCAGACTCTACAACGAACTCAAACAAATCAGTAAGGAAAAAAACAATCAATCCCATCAAAAAGTGGGCTAAGGACATGAATAGACAATTCTTAAAAGAAGATATACAAATGGCCAACAAACACATGAAAAAATGTTCAACATCACTAATGATCAGGGAAATGCAAATCAAAACCACAATGCGATACCACCTTATTCCTGAAAGAATGGCCATAATAAAAAAATCAAAAAACAGTAGATGTTGGTGTAAATGAGGTGATCAGGGAACACTTCTTCTACATTGCTAGTGGAAATGTAAACTAGTGCAGCTGCTATGGAAAACAGTGTGGAGATTCCTTAAAGACCTAAAAGTAGAACTACCATTTGATCCAGCAATCCCACAACTGGGTATCTACCCAGAAAAAAAGAAGTTATTATTCGAAAAAGATACTTGCACACGCATGTTTATAGCGGCACAATTAACAATTGCAAAATCGTGCAACCAACCCAAATGCCCATCAATCAACAAATGGATAAACTTTGGTATATATATATACGTATATATATATACGTATATATATATACGTATATATATACATATATATACATATACATATATATACATATACGTATATATATATATACATATACGTATATATATATATATACATATACGTATATATATATATATACATATACGTATATATATAATAGAATACTACTAAGCCATAAAAAGGAATGATTAATAGCATTTGCAATGACCTGGATGAGATTGGAGACTATAATTCTAAGTGAAATAACTCAGGAATGGAAAACCAAACATTGTATGTTCTCACTGATATGTGGGAGCTAAGCTATGAGGACACAAAGGCATAAGAATGATACAGTGGGCTTTGGGGACTTGTGGAGAAGCATGGGAGAGGGGCAAAAGAGAGAAAAGACAACATATATGGTGCAGTATATACTGCTCGGGTGATGGGTGCACCAGGATTTCACAAATCACCACTAAATGACTTACTCATGTAACCAAAAACCACCTGTACCCCAATAACTTACAGAAAAACAAAATTTAAAAAAAATGTAAATTTATTTTAAAATGGCTCAGAAAATCCCACCAATGGATTTTCGTTTCTGATTTTCATTTGAACAGTGACACTACACACACACATACGCGTACACACTTCTCCCCTACATAAAGCATTTTGTTATTGTTGTTGTTGTTACTTTATGTTTTGGGATACATGAGCAGAACGTGCAGGTATATATATATATATATATATATATATATGAGTGCCATGGTGGTTTGCTGTACCCAACAACCTGTCATCTAGGTTTTTAGCTATTTGTCCTGATGCTCTCCTTCCCCTTGCCCCCACCACCTGACAGGTTTCAGAGTGTGTTGTGCCCCTCTCTGTGTCCATGTGTTCTTATTGTTCTACTCCCACTTACGAATGAGAACATGTGGTGTTTGGTGTCCTGTTCCCGTGTTAGTTTGCTGAGAATGATGGCTTCCAGCTTTATCCATGCCCCTGCAAAGGATATAATCTCATTCATTTTTATGGCTGCATAGTATTCCATGGTGCATATGTACCACATTTTCTTTAAGCAGTCTACCATTGATGGGCATTTGGGTTGGTTCCATGTCTTTGATATTGTAAATAGTGCTGCAGTAAACATATGTGTGCATGTATCTTTATAATAGAATTATTTATATTCCTTTGGGTATATACCCAGTAATAGGATTCCCGGGTCAAATGGTATTTCTGATTGTAGGTTTTTGAGGAATTGCCACACTGTCTTCCACAATGGTTGAGCTAATTTACATTCCCACCAACAGTGTAAAAGCATTCCTATTTATTCACAGCCTCATCAGCATCTGTTGTTTCTCAACTTTTTAATAATTGTCATTCTGACTGGCGTGAGATGGTATTTCACTGTGGTTCTGATTTGCATTTCTCTAATGATCAGTGATGTGGAGGTTTTTTTCATATGTTTGTTGGTCACATAAATGTCTTCTTTTGGGAAGTGCCTGTTTATGTTCTTTCCCCACTTTTTGATGGTGGTGTTTTCTTTTTTTTTTTTTTGTAAGTTTGTTTAAGTATTTTGTAAATTTTGGATATTAGACCCCTGCCAGATGGGTAGATTGCAAAATTTTTCTCACATTCTCTAGGTTGCCTCTTCCCTCAGATGTTAGTTTCTTTTGCTGTACAGAAGCTCTTTAGTTTAATTAGATCCCATTTGTCAATTTTAGATCACAAAGCATTTTCTATGTGTATGTGACTATAGTGTATTATAGATACTGACGAGTGTTAGAGATAAGACTGGAAAAAATTCAGGTACCAAATAATGAAGGGAATTTGGATCTTATGCTGGAGTTTTCACAGAACTATTGAAGGTTGATTGGCCAAATAATAAAATTTTCTGTGTTTCGAAACTTTCTGTATAGTAACAATGTAAAGTCATAATAGGGATAGTTTGGAGATTAATGCTTCATGTATCATACTCCATGTAACAATTAATCAGGCAGATCACAAGATCAGGAGTTTGAGACTGGCCTGGCTAACATGGCGAAATCCCGTCTCTACTAAAAATACAAAAAAATTAGCCAGGCATCATGGCACGCACCTGTAATCCCAGCTACTCAGGAGGCTGAGGCAGGATAATCGCTTGAACTCAAGAGGTGGAGGTTGCAGTGAGCTGAGATCGCACCATTGCACTCCAGCCTGGATGACAGAGCAAGATTCCATCTCAAAAAGAAAAAAAATAAATAAAACAGCATGACAGAACTCCAACAAACCACAAAAATTGACAGAGGCAGAATAGAGAACTAGTAAATCTACAAAGCAAACAGATAACAACATTATGATGGAACAAAACCACACATATCAATATTAATCTTGGTAGTAAATGAATTAAATGTTTCACTTAAAATATATCGATTGGCATAAAGGATAAAAATAACAAACCAACGCTATGTGGCTTACAAGAAACAAACCTACTGCTAAAGAAACAGACTGAAGTTAAAAGTGGAAAAATCTATTTCATGCAAACAGGAAACAAAAGTAAAGAAGAGTAGCTATACTTATATCAAAGGCAACAGACTTTAAATCAACAACAGTAAAAAAAGACAAATAACACAATTATATAATAATAAAGGGATCAATTTAATAAGAGGATATATCAATGCACCCAACATCAGAGCATCCAACTTTATATAACAAATATTACCATATCTAAAAATATAGACAACAATACAGCAATAGCAGGGGACTTCAACACCTCATTGACAGCCCTAGATAGATAATCCAGAAAAATAAAGGAACACTGAACATAGTTTGCACAATAGACCAAATGGATCTAGCAGACATCTACAGACAATTCTATTCAACAGCTGCAGAATATACATTCTTATTACCAGCACGTGGGACATTCTCCAACATAGGCTATATGTTGTCACACAAAATAAATCCCAATAAGTTAAAAAAACCAAAATCATACCAAGTATCTTACAAACAACAGTGGAACACAACTGGAAAGCAACTTCAAAATGAACTTTTGAAACTATACAAACACATAGAAATTAAATAACGTACTCCTGAAGCGTCTTTTGATTGATGATAAAATAAAAATGGAAATCAAAAATTTTTTGAAATGAATGACAATGAAACCACAAAATACCAAAAATTCTGGGATACAGAAAAAGCAGTCTGAAGAGGAAAGTTTATAGCATTAAATGCATACATCAAAAGAATGGAAAGATCACAAATTAACAACCTAATGTCACATTTCAATAAACTAGAAAACAGGAACAAACCAAACATATGGCTGCCGGAAGAAAAGAAATAACAAAGATCGAAGTAGAAGTAAGTGAAATTGAGAACAAAAATCAATACAAAGTATCAATGAAACCAAATGATTTTTCTTCGAAATGATAAACCAAATTGATAGCCCACTAGCTAGACCACCCAAGAAAAGAAGAGAGAAGATCCAAATCAACAATCACGAGTTTAAAAGGAGACATTACAACTGATACTACAAAAGTATGAAGCATAATCAGAGACTTTTATGAACCAGTATATGCTTACAAATGAGAAGCCATAGAGAAATTTATCAATTCCTGGAAGCTGCAACCTTTCAAGATTCAACCAGAAAGAAATCCTGAATAGACCAGTAATGAGTAGTATACCTGAATTAGTAATAAAAACAACCCCTCCCCAAAACAACAACAACAACAACAAACCTGGACCAGATGAATTCACAGCTAAATTCTACAAAATGCACAAGAAATAACTGGTACCAACCCTCCTGAAATTATTCTAATGGATTAGAAAGGTGAAAATACTAACTCATTCTAGGAAGCCAGGATCACACTGATATTAAAGTTAGTCAAGGACACAACAACAAAAATAAAACCACAGGACACCATTTTCAGTAAACGGGAATAGTTATGATTCATATCTTTCATTGTTTTATGTAGTCCCATATTTTTCAAAGGCTTTTGAATTCTTTTTATACTTTAAAAATTCGTTTTCTAAATGCATCAATGCAAAGGACTTATCTTCAAGTTCTGAGATTCTTTCGTCTGCTCAGTGTAGTCTATTATTGAAGATTTCAAATATATTTTTTAATTTCTTCAATGAATATTTTATTTTCAGAAGTTTTGTTTTATTTTTTAAATGTATCTCTCTTTGGTAAATTTCTTATTTCATATCCTGAATTGATTTTTTATTTTATTCTGTTACTTTTCAGATTTCACCTGTATCCTGTTCACTTTCTTTAAAGTCTGCATTTTGAATTGTTAACTGGCATAGTGAAGACTTGTTTTTGGTTAGAATCCATTGTTAGAAAATTACTGTGTTTCTTTGGAGGTGTCATAGCATCTGGTTTTTAAGATTGTTATCAGTATCATTGTGCACATTCCTTTGCAACTTGTGTAACAGTCACTACTTTTTTTGTTTGTAGAGACAGGGTCTGGCTCTGTCACCTAGGCTGGGGTGCAGTGGGATAATCACAGCTTACAGCAGCCTTAAACTCCTTGTTTCAAGCAATCCTTCTGCCACATCAGCTCCCCAAGTTGCTGAGACTACTGTTGCCACCTACAGGCCTGGCTAATTAAAAAACTGTAGAGACAGGGTCTTGTTATGTTGCCCAGGCCGGTCTCACACTCTGGGCTTCATGCAATCATCTTGCCTTGGCCTCCAAAACTGCTGAGATTATAGGTGTGAGCTACAGTGGCCAGCCCACTTATTTTTAAATTTACCTTTGTTGGGGTGGGACTTGTTTATCCTGAGGATGTGTCTATAATTAATGTTGAATAGGGTCATTTTTCTTTGCTTCTGGGTACATTCAGTGGCATAGACTCTGTATAATTTCCTTGCCTATAAATAGACTAGTGTGATGGCTTTCTCAAATATCAGTTGTGGTAATAATGTCCTGCATGGGTGAGCAGTCTCAAGTCCTCCTGAGTAGCCAGGGTGGCATGGTTGATGGTGGCTGTAGTGGTCATGCAAAGCTTGTCTCATTCACAAGCACTATGCAATTGTGTCAGCAAATGTTGTAATGGGCTGTGCAGGTTGACCTCCCAGCCAGTAGGTGGTGTTTGCAGATGAAAATTAACCATGGTTGTGGCACTAGAGTTTATGTTTCATCTTTGTTAACCAGTAGAAGTACTCAGGTGTCCCAGGCAATGGGCCAGGTTGTAAAACTCCCAGGGGTCCTGGTTCCATGCTCTGCCTCCAAGAAGGAGGAAGGGCAAAGCTGGGTGGGGCTAGGCAAGGCAGGATCACACTCTGACCCCAAAATGACAGGTGCAAATGCTGTCTCTGATGGGTGTTGGAAGGCAGTTCTCAGGTCCCTTTAGTAGTGTTCCAGAGACGAGTGAAGAAACTGCTGCCTTGCCAAAGAGGCAGCACAAGGAAAGAGAGATGGCTTGGGCTCCAAAGGTGGTAGTGAGACCCGAATTACTCTTGTGCTTCAACCTTATGAGGCTGCCACTGGAGTTGCATTAAACTTATATATCAATTAGGAGAGGATTAAAATATTTAATATATTGAGACTTCCAATCTATCAGCATGGTATGCCTCTCCACTTATCAGCTCTTTATTGATTTCATTCATCAGCACTTGTGTCAATCAGCATAGACTTCCAATATATGTTTTTATAAATTTACACATAATGATCTAATTTTGAGGACTATTATACAGGGAACTGTGTTTTTCATGTCTTATTTGGAATGGTTATTGCTATATTGTATAAAATACATATTTTAGATGCATTGACTATTTAGCATGCATACTTGTTAAGCTCACATATTATTTAAAGGACATTTTCACCAACTTTGATGGGGATTTCTACATAGGTAATTATATCAAATGAAAATGGGAAGAGTTGTATTTCTTTTTCTCAAATTTCTATGGCTTTCATTTCTTTTTCTTGCTTTATTTCACTGGCTAGGACTTCCAGTACCATCTTCAATAGAAATGGTGGGAATAAACTTTCCTATTTGTCTTTCATTTTATGAAGAAAGCATTCAGCCTCTTACCTCTGTTATGCTAACTGTAAGTTCTTTGTAGATGCTCTTTGAAAGGTTGAGTAAGATCCCTTCTATTCCCACTAATTTCTCATCAAAAATGCTTGTTAAATTTTGTCAAATAATTTTACTTCATTGTTGAAATTTTTATGATGCTTGGCTTCTTTTTATTAATCATATTATATATTGCATTGCATTGTTTTGAAATATTAAAACAGGCATGCCTTCTTGTAATAGGTCATGGTTTATAATTATTTGTATATGTTTCTGGATTGACTTGCTAATCATTTGTTGAGTATTGTCGTGCGTATGGTCATGAGTGGTATTATTCTGTAGTTTTATTTTCTTATACTGTTTTTGTTTTATTTACTATTAGAAAAAATTCTGGCTCCAAAATATGAGTTGGGACTTGGGGCAGAACAAGATGGCAGACTAGAAGTCTACACAGATTTTCCCTCCACCCCATAAGGACACAAATGTAACAACTACAAATGAAAGTGCCTTCATAAGAACCAAGAATCAGGTGAGTACTCACAGTACCTGGTTTTAACTCTACACCACTGAGAAGCACTGAAGAGGTGAGGAACGAAGAGTTGTATCCCTAACACTGCCCATCCCTCACCCCTGGCAGGGGCAGCATGGTGCAGAGATCATTTCTGTGCATTGAGGAGAGGGAGAGCACAGCAATTTTGAGGTCTTGTTATAACATAAAAAAAAAAACCACATAATTAACCCAGCTGACACCCACCCATGGAGGGAGCATTAAAACCAGTCATAGCCAGAGGGGACTCGCCAATACCAGCAGTTCAAACCTGAGTTCCCAAAAGACTGACTGTTTCAGACTAAAGTGCTATGGGGCCCTAAATAACCTTGAAAGGCAGTCTAGGCCACAAGGACTGCCACTGCAGTTGAGTCCTGGTGCTGAATTGGACCCAGAAACAGTGGATTTGCAGGTGGCGCAGATGACCTACTGAGAAAACAGCCATGGTAGCTAAAAAAGTGCTGGCATCACTCCTTCCATAACTCCAGGCTAAAAAGCTTATGGCTCTGAAAGAGACTCATTCCCACTGTCTGAGGAGAGGGAAGTGTGGGGAGGACTTTTTCTTGCATTTTGGGTACCAGGTCAGCCATGGCAAAACAGGGCACCATGGGTCAGAATCATCAGGCCTCCTTTCCAGGCCCTAGCTCCTGGGTGAAATTTCTAGACACTCCCTGATAAAAAAGGGAACTGACACCCACGAAGGGAAGGATGCAGTCCTGGCAGAATTAAATGTCTGTTAACTAAAGAGCCCTTTGACCTGAATAAGAAATAGCAATATCCAGGTACTACATCAAGAGTCTTGGGTGAGACTTTGAGACTTGCTTTTTTCTGGTGAAACTCAGAACATTCTAAGCTGTGGTGGCCATGGAGCCAAGACTCTGTTCCCCTTGATAAAAGTGGAAGAAAAATTAAAGGGAATTTTGTCTTGTACCTGAGGTGCCAGTTCAGCAACAAAAGGAAAAAGTACCAAGAGGGCACTTGGAGACCCCAATTCCAGGACTTGGTTCTTGGATATTTCTAGACCTACCCTGGGACAGAGGGGAGCCAACTTCCCTTAAAGGAGAGTCCTAGGCTGTTGAGAACAGGCCCCCAAATCTGGCCATAAACTGGCCCCAAAACTAGCCATAAACAAAATCTCTGCAGCACTGTGAAATGTTTGTGATGGCCATGACACCCACGCTGAAGGTTGTGGGTTTACCAGCATGAGGGCAAGGAACACATGGCACACCCAGGGTGGAAAACTGCTGAAGGCATTCCTGAACCACTAACAATAGCGTGAGCGATCTGTGCCCTAAGAACGTGTTCCTGCTGCAGATAACTAGCCAGAGCCCATCCCTTTGTTATGGCCCATCCCTTTGTTTCCCATAAGGAATACTTTTAGTAAATCTATAATCTATAGAAACAATGCTTATCACTGGCTTGCTGTCAGTAAATATGTGGGTAAGTCTCTGTTCAGGGCTCTCAGCTCTGAAGGTTGTGAGACCCCTGATTTCCCACTCCACACCCTATATTTCTGTGTGTATGTCTTAATTCCTCTAGCGCTGCTGAGTTAGGGTCTCCACGACTGAGCTGGTCCCAGCAAGTGGCACCCAACGTGGGGGCTCAAACCCAGGTTGAAGGGTTGCCAGAGCGATGTTTGGACAATGTTGAACTAAGCTGGAAGACACCTGAGTACTCTTAAGCAATACCTGTGGTGAGTAAGAAGGGGAGCTCAGAAGCAACACGGTAACAATGGGACAAGTGTGGGCTCTGGTTCATTCCACCTTGGAACCTTTTCACACTAATGATGAGGAAGAAGGAAAGTATAATGAAGTAACAGAAGAGATGACAGAGCAGGTTTGTTTGCCAGCTAAAGCTAAAGTGGCGAAGGAGGAAGAGGTTCATCCCTACCCTTCTGCATCCCCTCCTTATTTTGAAGAAAAAGAGTGGCCTGACCCTCCAGATCTTTCTTTTCCGGAGAATACTGGGTGAAAGTAGTTACCCCAGTGACTGTTTGAATAGTGCCTCGAGCGACCGCTCTCAGTTCTATTCAGGCAGAAATTCAGCAAGCTAGACAAGAGGGTGATATAGAGGCTTGGCAGTTCCCTGTTAGAATACACCCCCCAGATCAACAGGGAAATATTATAGCTACATTTGAGCCTTTTCCTTTTAAATTCGGGAAATGCCATGAGAAGCCCGTCCCAGACCCCATTCCAAACAGGGGCATTTCCGGCTCAGGCCATTCCCTCACCCCTGTACAATGTCTGTCCCCTGACACAGCCAGTAGTGTCACAGTAGATTTATGCTGCACAAAAGCTGTGAGCCTTCTGCACCTGGGGAATCCCCGCAAAAAGTTCCAACATGGGTCTGTGGATCCTTGCCAGCAGGGATGATAGGATTACTTCTAGGCAGGTCTAGTTTAAATTTAAAAGGGGTGCAAGTACAAACAGGAGTCATTGATTCAGACTACAATGGGGAAATTCAAATTGTTATATCTACTTCTGTTCCCTGGAAAGCAGAGCCAGGAGAGCATATAGCACAACTCCTGATTGTGCTGGATGTGGAAATGGGGAAAAGTAAAACTAAACGAACAGGAGGATTTGGAATCACAAATAAACAAGGCAAAGCAGCTTATTGGGTGAATCAAATTACTGATAAACGTCCTACCTGTGAAATAACTATTCAGGGAAAGAAATTTAAAGGTTTGGTAGATACAAGAATGGACATTTCAATCATTTCTCTACAGCACTGGCCATCTGTGTGGCCAATTCAACCCATTCAATTCAACATAGTTGGAGTTGGTAAAGCCCCTGAAATATACCAAAGTAGTTATATTTTTCATTGTGAAGGGCCTGATGGACAACCTGAGACTATTCAACCAATTATAACTTCTGTACCTATAAATTTAGGGAAAGAGATTTATTACAACAATGGAGAGCACAAGTTCCAATTCCTGAGCAATCATACAGCCCTGAAAGTCAACATATGATGCATAAAATGGGGTATGTCCCTGGCATGGGACTAGAAAAAAATTTGCAAGGTTTGAAGGAATCACTTCAAGCAGAAAGACAAAGTTCTCACCAAGGTTTAGTATATCATTTTTGATGGCAGCCATTGTTAAGCCTCCATCACCTATACCTTTGAAATTGTTGAGATAAGCCAATTTGCATAGAATGATGGCCACTGAGTAAAGAGAAACTGGAGGCTTTAGAGGACTTAGTTACTGAACAATTAGAAAAAGGACACATAGTTCCAATATTTTCCCCTTGAAATTCTCCAGTTTTTGTAATTAAGAAAAAATCAGGTAAATGGAGAATGTTAACTGACTTAAGAGCCATTAATTCAGTTATACAACCTATGGGGACATTGCAGCCAGGACTGCCTTCTCCTGCTATGATTCCAAGAAATTGGCCTTTAATAGTCATTGATTTAAAAGACTGTTTCTTTACTATCCCCTTAGCTGAGCAAGACTGTGAATGGTTTGCATTTACAATTCTTGCAGTAAACAACCTGCAGCCTGCTAAGCATTTTCACTGGAAAGTGTTGCCACAAGGCATGTTAAACAGTCCAACAATTTGCCAGACTTATATAGGGCAAGCAATTGAACCTACTCTTAAAAAATTTTCACAGTGTTACATTATTCATTATATGGATGATATACTTTGTGCTGCCCCCACTCGAGAAATATTACTCCAATGTTATGATCACTTGCAAAATTCGATTTCTCACACTGGTTTAATTATAGCTCCTGATAAAATTCAGACTACTACTCCTTACTCCTACTTAGGGACTTTAGTAAATGACACTATCATTGTGCCCCAGAAAGTAATCATATATAGGGATCAATTGAAAACATTAAATGACTTTCAAAAATTATTACAGGACATTACTTGGATATGACCTGCTCTAGGCATTCCTACCTATGCTGTGAGTAATCTATTTTCTATCCTTAGAGGAGATCCTAGTCTCACTAGCCCTGGGCAATTAACAAAAGAAGCTGAGGCAGAGCTGCAGCTAATTGAAAAGCAAGTCCATAAAGCTCAAATAAATAGAATAGATCCAGAAAAGACCCCACATTTGCTAATTTTTTCAACTCAGCATTCACCTGCTGGTGTTATTGTTCAAGAGCAAGATCTTGTAGAATGGCTTTTTCTTCCACATACTAATTCACAGACTCTAACTCCTTATTTGGATCAAATCGCTACTACGATAGGAAATGGGAGAACTCGGATTGTTAAATTACATGGATATGATCCTGAAAAAATTATTGTCCTTCTCATGAAGGCACAAATACAGCAAGCTTTTATAAATACTCTTATTTGGCAAACCCATTTAGCTGACTTCATGGGTATTCTCGATAATCATTTTCCTAAAACGAAACTGTTTCAATTTTTGAAATTAACTAATTGGATTCTCCATAAAATAACTAAATTTAAACAAATTGAAGGTGCTGAGAATGTTTTTACAGATGGGTCTAGTAATGGTAAAGCTTCTTATTCTGGCTCAAAAGGTAAAGTTTTTCAGATGCCCTATACTTCAGCTCAAAAAGCAGAGCTTGTACCTGTAATTGAGGTATTGACTGCTTTGATATGCCTGTTAATGTGATTTCTGATTCTTCATACATGGTTCATTCCACACAGTTAATTGAAAGTGCTCAGTTATGATTTCATACAGATGAACAACTGATGACTTTATTTACCCAATTGCAAACAGCAGTTAGGAGTAGAATGCATGCTTTTTACATCACTCATATTAGGGCTCATACACCTCTTCCAGGACCTTTAACTGAAGGGAATTGAATGGCTGATTGCCTAGTTATTACTGCAATATTTAACGCTAGACATTTTCACAATTTAACCAATGTTAATGCCTCTGGTCTCAAAAGCAGATACAGCATTACCTGGAAAGAAGCTAAAACTATTATCCAGTGATGTCCAACTTGCAAAATGGTACATTCCTCATCTTTTACAGGAGGAGTTAGTCCTCGAAGATTGGAATCTAATTCTCTTTGGCAAATGGATGTCACACATATTCCCTCATTTGAGAGACTAGCTTATGTACAGGTATGTGTGGACACCTTTTCTCACTTTGTCTGGGCTAGATGCCAATCAGGAGTCTCCTGCCTGTGTTAAATGTCACCTTTTGCAGTGTTTTGTGGTGATGGCGTTCCAGCTTCTATTAAAACAGATAATGCCTCAGGCTATACTAGCCAAGCTCTAGCTACATTTTTCTTTATATGGAATATTAAACACGTTACTAGCATCCCATATAATTCTCAAGGACATGCCACAGTAGAAAGAATGAATCTCTCCCTGAAACAGCAATTGCAAAAGCAAAAGGGGAGAAAAAAGGACTATGGAACACCCCATATGCAATTGAATCTAGCATTATTGACTTTAAAGTTTTTGAGCCTGTCTAAAGGCCAAATGCTATTAGCAGTTGAACAGCATCTACAGAAACCAGCTGCAAAGAAAGAAGCAGAACTACTGGTTTGGTGGAGAGATCTGATAACAAAAAGTTGGGAAATAGGTAAAATAGTAAATTGGGGTAGAGGTTATGCTTGTGTTTCTCCAGGCCAAAATCAACAGCTGATTTGGATACCATCAAGCCACCTGAAACTTTATCATGAGCCAGATGCTGAAGAAGAGATTTTGGAAAGAAAACCAGAGGAAAGTGGGACAGCCAGTCACAATGAGTAATTTAATGATAGCTATGATAGTCGTGATCACCATTGACATGAGTATTCCTTTAACAATGGCTGACACAGAGAACAATTATACTTATTGGGTATATTTATCAACCTTGGCTGGCAATAATGCCAGGATGCAATCACTCTATGACACAGTTACACATGCTTTCTGATCTCGGTATTTGCCATAATAAATCTGCTCCCATAATCGAGGGATACCACCCTCAAAAACCTATTTGTAAACAGATTTGGACCTGGACAGAAATAATGAGCGTACTTGTTTGGGAAGATTGCATTGCAGAACAGGCAGAGGTGGCGCACAATGATTCCCATGGAATCATTATGGATTTGTCCCCTAAGGAGATGTTTAGCTTGAATTGCACCTCTCAGTCTGTGTGCCATGGCCACACTATGTTCAGGTGGTCTAAACAAAACAGTCAGATGGTAGAAATGCTAAGAAATACAGCAAGAGTTCCTGTTATCTGGAAACATGGCAGTATAGTGGCACCTCAACCTCAACTGATATGGCCTGCTCTAGGAGCTAAACATAAGGATTTGTGGAAACTGTTAATAGCTCTTAATAAGATAAAATTTGGGAAAGAATAAAAAAGCATCTAGAAGAACACTCTACAAACTTGTCTTTGGATATTGCAAAATTAAAAGAACAAATATTTAAACATCCCAGGCACAGCTGACCTTAATGCCAGGAACTGGAGTGCTTAAAGGAGCTGCAGATGGATTAGCAGCTAGTAACCCATTAAAATAGATAAAAATACTTGGAGGCTCTGTGATTTCAATGATGATTGTGTTATTAATCTGTGTTGTTTGTCTTTGTGTGGTCTGCATATGTGGATCCCGACTCCTGCGAGAAGTAGCTCACTGTGATAAAGCCACTTTGCTTTCATCACTTTGCAAAACAAAGGGGGACATATTGGGAACAGGTCCTCAAATCTGGCCATAAACTGGCCTCAAAACTGGCCATAAATAAAATCTCTGCAGCACCGTGACATGTTCATGATGGCCATGACACCCACGCTGAAGGTTGTGTGTTTACCAGAATAAGGGCAAGGAACACCTGGCCCACCCAGGGCAGAAAACTGCTTAAAAGTGTTCCTGAACCACAAACAATAGCATGAGTGATCTGTACCTTAAGAACATGTTCCTGCTGCAGATAACTAGCCAGAGCCCATCCCTTTGTTTTGGCCCATCCCTTTGTTTCCCATAAGGAATACTTTAAGTAAATCTATAATCTATAGAAACAATGCTTATCACTGGCTTGCTGTCAATAAATATGTGGGTAAATCTCTGTTCAGGGCTCTCAGCTCTGAAGGCTGTGAGACCCCTGATTTCCTACCCCACACCCTATATTTCTGTGTGTGTGTCTTTAATTCCTTTAGCGTCACTGGGTTATGGTCTCCACCACTGAGCTGGTGTCAGCACTAGGCCATGCAGCATTTAGCACAAGCTGACTAAAGAGCCCTTGGACCTTAAGAAAACAATAGTGTTAGTCTGGCAAAATTCCTAGCAGGGCTCTGGTGGTGGTGATGATGGGGTGAGGCTTTTCAGTCTCCAGAATGGGGAGGGAGAAGTGGCAAAAACTGTGTCTTCTGGTTTGAGTGCCAGCCCAGCCACAGTACAATAAAACACGAGGCAGACTTCCAGAATTTTTAGATTTAGTCTCTGGGTCCCAGATGACATCTACAGACTTTCCCAGGGACTTGGGGAACATGCTTCACTGAAGGACAAGACATAGGCCTGGCTGGATTTACCACCTGATGACTGTAGAGCCTGTGGGCCTTAAGTGTACATAGATAGTAGCTAGAAATTAGTTACAGCAGGCCTCGGGCAAGAACCAGTGCTGTGCTGGGCTCAGTTCTGTCCCCATGCAGTCCTAATGGTGGTGGCCAAGAAAGTGCTTGTGTCACTACACCCCAAGTTCCAGGTGGCTAAAACAGAGAGAGAAACTCCATTTGCTTAGGAGAAAGTAAAGAAAGAGAACAAGAGTCTCAGCTTGGTTATCCAGGTAATTTTTCCACATATTTCCCAAGACTATCAAGGTATTACCTCTATGAGTCTGTGAGACTCATGGTGTTACTGAGCTTGGGGTGCCCCACAAAGCAGATAAAGATTATATTACCACCCTCAAGTCTGTTTGAATTTCTGGAAAGCCTTTCCAAGAAGGACAAAAACAATAAAGCCCAGAAAGAGAGGACTGCAACAAATACTTAACTTTTCAATGCTCAGACACTAATGAACATTTACAAGTATCAAGAGCATCCAAGAAATAATGACCTCACCACATAAACTAAATAAGGCACGAGGAACCAATCCTGGAGAAACAGAGATATGTGATCTCTCAGACAGATAATTTATAAATAGCTGTGTGAGGAAACTCAAAAAATTCAGGATAATATAGGGAAGTAATTCAGAATTCTATCAGAAAAACTTAACAAAGAGATTTAAATAAGTATAAAGAAGTAGAAATTCTGGAGGTGAAAAATGCAATCATCAAATGTAAGAATGTATTACAGTCTTTTAATAACAGAATTATCAAGCAGAAAAAAAATATTACTAAGCTAGAAGACAGGCTATTTGAAAATACAAAGCCAGAGGAGGCAAAAGAGAAAAACAATGAAGCATGCCTACAGGATCTTGAAAATAGCCTCAAAAGGGAAATCTAAGAGTTACTGGTCTTATAGAGAAGGTACTGTAACAGATATGGGTAGAATGATTATTCAGAGGGATAATAACAGAGAACTTCCCAAACCTAAAGAAAAAAATGTCAATATCCAAGAAGGTTATAAAAAATGGATAACAGAACAAAACTTGATGATATGTTGCCTACAAAAAGGTTACAGAACACCAAGCAAACTTAATCACAAGATTAATTCAAGGCATTTAATAATCAAGTTCCTAAAGGTCAAGAATAAAGAAAGGATCCTGAAAGCAACAAGACAAAAGAAACCAGTAATATACAAAGGAGATATAATGTGTGTAGCAGCAGACAGACTTCTTTTTTTTTTTTATGGAGTAAAAAGTAACAGAGCTAAAGGCTCTGTTGCCCAGGCTGGAGTGCAGTAGTGCAATCTGGGCTCACTGCAGACTCCACCTCCCTGGTTCAAGCAATTCTCTGCCTCAGCCTCCCAAGTAGCTGGGATTACAGGTGCCCACCAACACATTAGGCTAATTTCTGTACTTTTAGTAGACGGGGTTTCACCATCTTGGCCAGGCTGGTCATGAACTCCTGACCTTGTGTTCCACACTCCTCAGCCTCCCAAAGTGCTGGGATTACAGGCATGAGCCACCGTGCCCAGCCCTGGCAACAGACTTTTAAGTGAAAACCTTACAGGCCAGGAGAGAGTGGCATAACATGTTTAAATTGCTGAAGAAAAAAAAAAAAAAACTTTTACCCTAGCATAGCATAATTAGTGAAAATATTCTTAAAATATAAAGGGGGAATTAAAAATTTGTCAGCAAACAAATGCTGATAAATTTTACCAATATCATAACAATTCTATGAGAAATGCCAAAGGGAGTAATTTAATAAGAAAAAAAAGAATGTTTATGATCAATAAAAAATCATCAGATGGTACAAAACTCACTGGTAATGGTAAGTAAAAAGAAAAATAGAATATTATAACACAGTAATAGTGATGTGCAAATTACTTTTAAGTAGAAATACTAAATGATGAACCAATCAAAAATAATTACAACTTTTCAAGACAGATAATACAATAAGATATGAATAGAAATGAAAAAAATTAAACAGTGGAAGGATGAGGCTGGGCGCAGTGGCTCATGCCTTTAATCCCAGCACTTTGGGAGGCCAAGGTGGGTGGATCATGAGGTCAGGAGATCAAGACCATCCTGGCCAATATGGTGAAATCCTGTCTCTACTAATATACAAAACATTAGCCAGGCATGGTGGTACATGCCTGTAATTCCAGCTATTCGGGAGGCTGAGGCAGGGGAATCACTTGAACCTGTGTGGCGGAGATTGCAGTGGGCCAGGATCGTGCCATTGCACTCCAGCCTGGTGACAGAACGAGATTCTGTCTCAAAAAAAAAAAAAAAAAAGTGAAAGTATGAAGTTAAGATGCAGAGTCTTTATTATTTTTTTCCTTGCTTATTGATGCAAACAGTGTTAAAGTTGTTAATGGATTATAAGACATTATTTGCAAGCCTATTGTAATCCCAAACCAAAAACATACAGATACATAAAAAATAAAAATGAAGAAACTAAATTATTTCACCAGAAAAATTCACCTTCATTAAAAAAAAGGCAGGAAAAAGAAAAAAGAAGGAAGAGAAGATAAGAAAACAAATAGCAAAATGGCAGGAGTAAATCCTTACTTATTGATAATAACATTGAATGTAAATAGACTAAATTATCTAATCTAAAGCTGTACATTAGCTGAAGGGATAACAAAACAGAACTTAATGATCTGTTGCCTACAAGAAACACACTTCACTTATAAAGACACACAGAAACTGAAAATAAAAAAATTAAAAACGTATTCGATATTAATTAAAACTTAAAAAGAGAGGAAGTACATACATTTATATCAGAAAAAATAAATTTCTAGATGAAAACTGTAAGAAGAGTCAAAGAAGATTTCTACTTAATGGTAAAGAGGTTAGGGTTAATTCAACAAGAAGATATGACAATTTAAATTATACATGCCTCCAGTGCTGGAGCACCTAGATATAAAAAACTAATATTATTATTACTAAGGAGAGAGATAGATTACAACACAATAATAGCTGGAGACTTGAACACTCTACTTTCTGCATTGGACAGATCTTCCAGAAAGAAAATCAACAACATAAAAATTGAACTTAACCCACAGTATAGACCAAATAGACCTAATAGATACTTACAGAACATGTCATCCAATGGTTGCAGGGTACACATACTGTTCTTCAGCATGTGAGTCTTTCTCAAGGATAGACAGTATGTTAGGTCACAAACAAGTCTTAAAGCATTCAAAAAATCGAGATAATATCAAGAATATTCTCTGGCCACAATGGGATAAAGCTAAAAATCAACAATAGAAATTTGGGATACTGTACAAATACACAGAAATTAATCAAGGTGTTCCTGAATGACCAGTGGGTTACTAAAAAAATTGAGAAGGAAATTGAAAATTCTATTGAAACAACTGATAAAAAAAACACAACATACCAAGACCTATGGGATACAGCAAAAGCAGTTTATAGCTATAGATATCCACATAAAAAATAAGAAAAACTTTAGATAAACAACCTAATGATGCATTGTAAAGAAGTACAAAAGAAGGAGCAAAGTAGATAAAGGAAAGGGAAAAATAGTGAACAAGAGGCAGGAGTAACTTGTAGCTCCCACTGAGAGACACAGAAGAGTGTGTGGAGACTCACATTCTGAACTTTTGCTCCAAGAACTACCACAGGAACATACCAGGAAAACAAAAAGAATTCCCAGACCCTTTGAAAGAAACAGCTTGCAGCTGCAAACTCCATAAAACACCACAAAAAACTGTGACTGTCCAAAGTGTGAGAGGGGGAACGTCTGCCTCCAAATACAAATTCTCACTGGAGAACGTGAAAATCCAGATTAAGAAAGGATTTTACCTTACCTAGAACTGGAACAAATTTAGAGAGCCAGGTGAAATATAAAAGTAGAAGAAGAAGCAGGAAAAGCCCTGTAGGCACTCACAGTTCCCAGGGAAGCTCAGGGATGGCATTTCTAAGTTTATCACCAAGTCTCCATGGGGAGGGCTGTCAGTAAAATTGGGGACGAAACACATGGAGAAGAAAACCTCAAGCTGAACTTTGTAATAACTTTTGACCAAGCATTAAATATCCTGGGTAAAATCCAGGGGTAGGGTGGGCATGAATGAGAAGTACAGATATGAGCATAGAGGTCATGGCAGGTGGGGAGCAGAGGGGCCTGACAGCCATGCATGCTTTCTCAGCACTGAGGCTTGTAGCCTGGGGCAAGATCTCAGTTCTGCTCACTGGCTGCCTGGATAAAAACTCAGACCTGTTGGTGGGGCATGGTGAGAGTGAGACTGGCTAGGTTGACTGAATGGGAGTTGGGTGAGGCCTGTAACATCCAGCTTTCCCCTATTTCTCTGGTGACCTGTATGACAGCAGAGGCAGCCATAATCCCCCTAAGAACAAAACTCTATTGGCCTTAGAATCACAGCCTCATCCTCATCAGTGGTCACAGCAATTCCTACCAAAGAAGAGTCTGAACTCAGACATGCCTAACCATGCCCCCACATGATGATGATCTTTTCCTAGCTGCCCTGGTAGCAGAAGACACAAATCATAACCTCTTGGGAGCTCTATGGCCCCACCCCTAACTGCAGAAACCCAAATACTTATTCAGGCCACCTTAGGGCAAGCATGTATTTTTCCTATACTACTGCAGCTGAAGCTCCCTTGAAAGCACTACCCTTTGGTTGGAGGCCAACAAACTCAATCCATTACACCAACTAATAGAAGAATAACACTGCTTCAAAAAACAAAGAAAACAACAGCTAAATCCACCAACTATAACATCCTGGCTAACCAGAGGTCCTGAGTCTGTTCACATAACAAGTTCACTGCTAGCACAACCAGCATCCAAGGAAACCAGTGCGCTAAACAAAACTACAGCCAAAGACACTCACAAAGTCCACTTCACTTCCCTGCTACCTTCACTGGAGCACTTGCTAGGATCCATGGCCAAGAGACCTGTAAATGGATCACACCACAGGACTCTTTGCAGACACTCCTCTGTATCAGCCTGGAACCCGGTAGCTCTGCTGGGTGGCTAGGTAAAGAAGAGCAATAACAACTGCTGCAGTTTGGATCTCAAGAAGCCTGATCCATGGGGAAAAAAGGAGAGCATCACATCAAGGAATCATCCTGTGAGACAAAAAAAAAATATCTGAATAGCAGCCCTTGAGCCCCAGGTTTCTCCTCTGACATACTCTACCCAAATGAGAAGAAACCAGAACAACAGTTCTGATAATATGACAAAGCAAGTTCTTTAACATCCCCAAAAGGTCATACTAGCTCATCAGCAATGAATCTAAACCAATAAAAAATCTCTGAATTGCCCGAGAAAGAATTGAGAAAGATGATTATTAAACTACTCAATGAGGCATCACAGAAAGGTGAAAACCAAATTTAAAAAACAAAAGAACAAATAATACAGATAAGGATGAAAACAATCTACAGAAAAAAATAGCATAAATAAAAATAAGCACTTCTGGAAATGAAAGACACACTTGGAGAAATGCAAAATACAGTGAAAATTTCAACAACAGACTAGAACAAGTAGAAGGAAGAACTTCAGACCTCAAAGACAAGGCTTTCATATTAACCCAGTTTGACAAAGACAAAGAAAAAAATTAAAAATAAATAAAAAAACATCCAGGAAGCTTGGGATTTAGTTAAATGACCAAACCTAAGAATAATTCATATTCCCCAAAAGAAGAGAAATTTAAAAGTTTGGATAAACTTACTTGAAGAAATAAAGGAAAACATCCCTGACCTTGCATGAGATGCAGACGTCCAAATACAAGAAGCTCAAAGAACACCCAGGAAATTCACTGAAAAAGATCAACACCTAGGCACATTGTCACTAGGTTATCTAAAGTCACTATGAAGGAAAGAATGTTAAGAGCTGTCAGGCAACAGCATCAGGTACCCAAATTTTTTTAATGATTAAAGCCCTCAGCAAAATCGGCATAAAAGAGATATACTTCAATTTAATAAAAGCTATCTATTGCATATCCACAGCCAACACTATACTGAACAAGTTGAAAATATTTTCCCTGAAAACTGAAACAAGACAGGAATGTCCACTTTCACCACTTTTATTCAACATAGTACTGGAAGTCCTAATCAAAGCAATCATTCAAGAGAAAGAAATAAAGGGTATCCAGATTGGTAGAGAGGAAGTCAAAGTGTCACTGTTCACCAACGATATGATTGTATACCTAGAAAACCCTAAAGACTCATCCAGAAAGATCCTAAAACTGATAAATGAATTTAGTGAAGTTTCAGGATACAAAATTAATGTACACAAATTAGTAGCTCTGCTATACACCAACAGTGACCAAGCTGAGAATCAAATCAAGAACTCAATCACTTTCACAATAGCTCCAAAATAAATAAAATACTTACAAATATACCTAACCAAGGAGGTAAAAGACCTCTACAAGGAAAACTACAAAACACTGCTGAAATGTTCATGGATGGGTAGAATCAATATTGTAGAAATGTTCATACTGCCAAAAGCAATCTACAAATTCAATGCAATTCCCATCAAAATACCAACATCATTCTTCACAGAACTAGAAAAAACTATGCTAAAATTCATATGGAAACAAAAAGGAGCCCACATAGCCTAATCAAGACTATGCCAAAACAACAAATCTGCAAGCATCACATTACCCAACTTCAAACTATACTATAAGGCTATAACCACCAAAATAGCATGGCGCTGGTATAAAAATAGGCACATAGACCAATGGACCAGAAGAGAGAACCAGAAGTAAAACCAAATGCTTACAGCCAACTGATCTTCAACAAAGCAAACAGAAACATAAAGTAAGGAAAGGACATGCTTTCAACAAATGGTGCTGGGATAATTGGCAAGCCACATGTAGGAGAATGAAACTGGATCTTTATTTCTGATTTTATAAAATGTCAACTAAACATGGATTCAGGACTTAAACCTAAGACCTGAAACCCTAAAAATTCTGGAAGATAACATCAGAAAACCTTTTCTAGACATTGGCTTAGGCAAAGACTTTATGATCAAGAATCCAAAAGTAAATGCAACAAAAACACAGATAAATTGATGGGACTTAATTAAACTAAAAAGCCTCACAGCAAAAGAAATAATCAGCAGAGTAAACAGACAACCCACAGAATGAAAGAAAATATTTGCAAACTGCATCTGAAAAAGGACTAATACCTAGAATCCACAAGAAACTCAAACAAATCAGCAAGAATAAAACAAATAATCCCGTCAAAAAGTGGGATAAAGACATGAATAGACAATTCTCAAAAGAAGACAGACAAATGGTCAACAAACATGCTATAAAATGCACATCATCACTAATTATCAAGAAAATGAAAACCAAAACCACAATGCTGTCTTACTCCTACAAGAATGGCGATAATTTAAAAATTTAAAAAAAATAGATGTTGATGTGGATGTGGTGAAAAGGAAACACTTTTACACTGCTGGTGGGAATGTAAACTAGTACGATCACTATGGGAAACAGTATGGAAATTCCATAAAGAACTAAAAGTAGATCTACCATTTGATCAAGTAGTCTCAGTACTGGGTATCTACCAAGAGAGAAAGAAGTCATTAGTGAAAAAGACTTGCACATGCATGTTTATAGCAGCAGAATTTGCAATTACAAAAATATGGAGCCAGTCCAAATGTCCATCAATCAATGAGTAGATAAAGAAAATGTGATATATACACACTTACACACACACACACACATACACACACACCATGGAATATTACTGAGCTATACAAAGAAATAAAATAATGGCATTTGCAGCAACTGGATGGAGCTGGAGACTATTATTCTAAGTAAAGTAACTCAGGAATGGAAAATGAAACACTTATAGCTCTCACTTATAAGTAGGAGATATGCTATGAGGACTCAACAGCATAAGAATGACACAATAGACTTTGGGTACTGAGTGGAAGGGGGGGAGTAGGTGAGGGATAAAAGATTACACATTGGGTACAGTATACACTGCTTGGGTGATGGGTCCACCAAAATCTCAGAAATCACCACTAAAGAACTTTTCCATGTAATCAAACATCACCTGCTCCTCAAAAACCTACTGATATAAAAATAAATAAATAAATAAATCTTAATAAAATCAGAAAAGAGAAAAAGCACAGAAAATGCATAGTTAGAAGAAAATAACAAACATTAGAGAAGAAATAAATAAAATTGAAATGAATAAATTAATGCAAAAGATCAATGAAGTGCTTATAAATAGTTAAAGAAAATTGACAAATTTTAGCCAGAAAAAAAGAGAAAGAAAATCCAAATAAATAAAATCAGAGGTGAAAAAGTAGGCATTACAACTGCAGAAATATAAAGGATCATGATTGGATACTATGAGTAATTATATGCCATAAATTGAAAAATGTAGAAGAAATGGACAAATTCCTAGATACATTAAACCTGTCAAGATTGAACCCGGAATAAATCCAAACCTGAACAAACAAATAAGAAGTAATGAGATCAAAGCCTTAATAAAAAGTCCCCTAGTAATGATAAGCCCAGCACCTGATAGCTTTACTGCTGAATTCTATCAAACATTTAAAGAAGAACTAATACAACCCTACTCAAATGATTCTGAAATATGGAAGAAGAGGCAATTATTCCAAATTCATTATATGAGGCCAATATTTAACTGATGCCAAAACCAGACAAAGACACATTTAAAAAAACACACAAAAACTATAGGTCAATATTTCTGATTAATATTTATTCAAAAAACTGCAACAAAATACTAGCAAACCAAATTCAACAATACATTAAAAAGATCACTCATCACAACTAACTTATTTATTCTTGCAATGCAAGAACGGTTCAGCATACTCAATCAATGTGATTCATCATATCAACAGAATTAAGGGTTAAAAACTATGTCTGTTTCAATTGATGCTGAAAAGATATTTGATAAAATTCAATCTCCCTTCATAATAAATATCGGGGAATGTGCCCCCGATAGTCACATAGGTTCTTTTCTATTTTCCCTAAGTGTTGTCCAGGTTGAGAAATAAAGGGACAGAGTACAAAAGAGAGAAATTTTAAAGCTGGGCATCCGGGGGAGACATAATATGTCGGTAGGTTCCGTGATGCTCCACAAGCTGCAAAACCAGCAATTTTTATTAGTGATTTTCAAAGGGGAGGGAGTGTACAAATAGGGTGTGGGTCACAGAGATCACATGCTTCACAAGGTAATAGAATATCACAAGGCAAATGGAGGCAGGGTGAGATCACAGGACCACAGGACAGGGGTGAAATTAAAATTGCTAATGAAGTTTCAGGCACCATTGTCATTGATAACATCTTATCAGGAGACAGGGTTTGAGAGCAACCAGTCTGAACAAAATTTATTAGGCAGGAATTTCCTCATCCTAATAAGTCTGGGAGCACTATGGGAGACTGGGGCTTATTTCATCCCTACAGTTTCGACCATAGAAGATGGCCACACCCAAGGGGGCCATTTAGAGGCCTACCCTCAGGGGCACATTCTCTTTCCCAGGGATGTTCCTTGCTGAGAAACAGAATTCAGTGATATTTCTCCCATTTGCTTTTGAAAGAAGAGAAATATGGCTGTGTTCCACCCAGCTCACCAGTGGTCAGAGTTTAAGGTTATCTCTCTTGTTCCCTGAACATTGCTGTTATCCTGTTCTTTCTTCAAGGTGCCCAGATTTCATATTGTTCAAACACACATGCTCTACAATTTGTGCAGTTAACACAATCATCACAGGGTCCTGAGGTGACATACATCCTCCTCAGCTTATGAGATGACAGGATTAAGAGATTAAAGTAAAGACAGGCATAGGAAATCACAAGGGTATGGATTGGGGAAGTGATAAGCGTCCATGAAATCTTCACAATTTATCTTTAGAGACTGCAGTAAAGACAGGCATAAGAAATAAAAGTATTAATTTGGGGAACTAATAAATGTCCACGAAATCTTCACAATCCACGTGCTTCTGCCATGGCTTCAGCCAGTCCTTCCATTTGGGGTCCCTGACTTCCTGTAACAAATAAAAACCCTCAACAAACTGGCTGTAGATGGAACATACCTCAATATAATAAAAGCCATATACATCAGACCCATAGCAAGTATCATCCAGAATGTGGAAAAACTGAAAGCATTTCCTTTAATATCAGAAACACAACAAGGATACTCACTTTCACCACTGTTACTCAACATAGTACTAGAAATCCTATCTAGAGCAATAAGACAAGAAAAAGTAATAAAGGGCATCCAAATTGAAAAGAACAAAGTCAAATTATTCTTGTTTTCAAATGATATAATCTTATGTTTGGAAAACTTTAAAGATGCCACAAAAAAAAACTATTCAAACTGATAATATTTAGTTGCAGGATACAAAATCTACATCATAAATCAGTTGCATATTTATATGCCAACAATGCTCAGTCTAAAAAGAAATATAAAAGCAATCACATTTACAATAGCCACAAATGAAATTAAAATTAACCTAACCAAAGAAGTGAAAGGCTTCTACAATGCAAACTACAAAACATTTATTTAAAAAAAATTGAAAAGAACACCAAAAGAGGAGAGATTTCATGTGGATTTGAAGGGCCAATATTGTTAAAATGTCCATATTACCCAAAGCAATCTATAGATTTTATGCAATCCCCATCAAAATAACAATGACATTCTTCACAGAAATAGAAAAAACAATCCTAGAATTTATATGGAACCACAAAAGACCAAGAATAGCCTATCCTAAGCAAAAAGAAAACTAGAGGAATCACATTACCTGACTTCAAGTTATACTACAGACATGGAAACCAAAACAGCATGGTTCTTGCATAAAAAGATGCATAGACCAATAGAAGAGAATAGAGAACCCCAAAGCAAATCCATTCAGCTAGAGTAAACTCCATTTTGATAAACGTGACAAGAACACACACTGAGGAAAAGACCTTCTCTTCAATAAATTGTGCTGGGAAAATGATATCCACATGCAGAAGAAGGAAACTAGAACCCTATCTCTTACAATTTACAAAATCAAATCAAAAGGAACTAAAGACTTCAATGAGACCTCAAACTATAAAACTACTAGAAGAAAACTTTGGGGAAATTCTCCAGGACATTGGTCTGCATGAAAATATTTGTGTAATACCCTACAAGCATAGCCAACCAGAACAAAAATGGACAAATGGGATCACATCAAGTTAAAAAGCTTCTGCACAGCAGCGAAAAAAAATAAAAAATTGAAGAGACAACCCTGAGAGTGGTGGAAAATATTTGCAAATTACACATCTGACAAGGGATTAATAATCACAATATATAAGGAGCTCAAACAATCATATAGGAAAGAATATAATAATATAATTTTTAAATGAGCAAAATATTTGAATAGACATTTCTCAAAAGAAGACACACAAATGGCAAACAGGCATATGAAAAGATGTCAAGCATCATTAATCTTCAGAGAAATGCAAGTCAAAACTACAATGAGATACTATCTCACTCCACTTAAAATGGCTTATATACAAAAGACAGGCAATAACAAATGCTGGTGAGAATGTGGAGAGAAGAGAGAACTCATACACTGTTGATAGGAATGTAAACCAGTAAAACCACTATGGAGAACAGTTTGGAGATTTCTTAAAATACTAAAAATAGGTTACCATACAAACCAGTAATCTCATGGCTGGGTTTATATCCCCAAAGAAAGGACATCAGTATACTAAAAAGATATCTGCATTCCCATGTTTACTGCAGCATTGTTCACAACAGCCAAAATGTGGAAGCAACCTAAATATCCATCAATAAATGAATGTATAAAGAAAATGTGGGGGGGATATTGCAGGATGGCCGAACATTAACAGCTCGGGTCTGCAGCTCCCAGCGAGACCAACATAGAAGGTGGGTGATTTCTGCATTCCCAACAAAGGTATACTGTTTATCTCATTCAGAGAGGTTAGGCAATGGATGCATCCCAAGGAGGGTGAGCAGAAGCAGGGTGGAGAATTACCTCACCCGGGAGTGCAAGGAGCGGGTGGAGGGGCTTCCCTTTCCCAGCCAAAGGAAGCCATGAGGAACTGCACTATCCAGCCCAGATACTATGCTTTTCCCACAGTTTTTGCAATCCACAGACCAAGAGATTCCCTTATGTGCCTACACCACCAGGGCCCCGACTTTCAAGCACAAAACTGGGCGGCTGTTTGGTCAGACACCAAGCTAGCTGCAGAAGTTTTTTTTTTTTTTTTTTTCTACCACAGTGGCACCTGGAACCCAAGCGAGACAAAACTGTTTGCTGCCCTGGAAAGGGGGCTGAAGCCAGGGAGCCAAGTGGTCTTGCTCAGTGAGTCCCACTCCCACAGAGCCCAGCAAGCTAAGAATCACTGGCTTGAAATTATCATTGCCAGCACAGCAGTCTGAAGTCAACCTGGGAGGAACTTGGTCAGTGGATGGGCATCCAAGATTACTGAGGCTTGAGTAGGCAGTTTTCCCGTGACAGCGCTAAGGAGGCCTGGAAGTTGGGACTGTGAGGAACTCAACACAGCACAGCAAAGTGGCTGTGGCCAGACTGCCTCTCTAGATACCTCTTCACTGGGCAGGGTATCTCTGAAAGAAAGGCACCAGCCCCAGTCAGGGGGTTATAGATAAAACTCACATCTCCCTGTGACAGAGCACCTGGGGAAAGGGGCAGCTGTGGGCGCGGCTTCAGCAGACTTAAACTTTCCTGCATGCTAGCTCTGAAGAAAGCAGTAATTTTGACAAATACGGTTCTCCTAGCATAGCACTCAAGCTCTGCTAAGGGACAGACAGCCTCCTCAAGTGGGTCCCTGACACCAATGCCTCCTGACTGAGAGAAACCTCCCAAGAGGGGTTGACAGACACCTCATACAAGAGAGCTCTGGCTGGCATCGGGCTGGTGCCCCTCTGGGATGAAGCTTCCAGAGGAAGGAGCAGGCAACCATCTTTGTTGTTCTGCAGCCCCCACTGGTGATACCCAAACAAATAGGGTCTGGAGTGGACCTCCAGCAAATATCAGCAGACCTGCAGAAGACGGGCCTGATTGTTAGAAGAAAAACTAACAAACAGAAAGCAATACCATCAACATCAACATAAAGGACCCCCACACAGAAACCCCATTTAAAGGTCATCTGCTTGAAAGACCAAAGGTAGATAAATCCATGAAGATGAGGAAAAACCAGTGCCAAAATGCTGAAAATTCCAGGAACCAGAATGCCTCTTCTCCAAATGATCACAACTCCTCTCCAGCATGGGCACAAAACTGGATGGAGAATGAGTTTGATGAATTGAAAGAAGTAGGCTTCAGAAGCTGGTTAATAACAAACTCCTCTTAGTTAAAGGAGCATGTTTTAACCAAATGCAGGGAAGCCAAGAACCTTGACAAAAGGTTACAGGAAATGCTAACTATAATAACAAGTTTAGAGAAGAACATAAATGACCTGATGGAGCCAAAAAACACAGCACAAGAATGTCATGAAGCCTACACAAGTATTAACAGCCAAACTGATCAAGTGGAAGAAAGGATATCAGAGATTGAAGATCAACTTACTAAAATAAGTCATGAAGGAAAAATTAGAGAAAAAAGAGTTAAAAGGAAAGAACCAAGACTTCAAGAGATATGGGGCTATGTGAAAAGACCAAACCTACAATTGACTGGGGTCCCTGAACGTGACTGGGAGAATGGAATCAAGTTGGAAAACACACTTCAGGATATTATCCAGGAGAACTTCCCCAACCTAGCAAGAAAGATGAACATTCAAATTCAGGAAATACAGAGAACACCACTAAGATATTCCACAAGAAAAGCAACATCAAGACACATAATTATCAGATTCTCGAAGGTAGAAACAAAGGAAAAAATGTGAAGGAAAGCCAGAGAGAAAGGTAAGTTTACCTACAAAAGGAAGCCCATGAGAACAAAGACACAATGTAGCAGAATCTCTGGGACACAGCTAAAGCAGTGTTTAGAGGTAAATTTATAGCACTAAATGCCCACAAGAGAAAGCAGGAAAGATCTAAAATTCACATCCTAACATCAAAATTAAAAGAACTACAGGAGCAACAGCAAACAAAACCAAACCTAGCAGAAGACGAGAAATAACTAAGATTAGAGCAGAACTGAATGAGATAGAGACACGAAACACCTTTCAAAAAATCAATGAATGCAGGAGCTGTTTTTTTTAAGATTAACAAAATAGACCACTAGCCAGACTAATAAAGAAAAAAGAGAGAAGAATCAAATAGACACAATAAAAAATAATAAAGGGGACATCACACCACTGATCCCTCAGAAATACAAACTACCATCAGAGAATAGTATAAACACCTATATGCAAATAACTAGAAAATCTAGAAGAAATAGATAAATTCCTGGATGCATACACCCTCCCAAGACTAAACCAGGAAGAACTCCAATTCCTGAATAGACCAATAACAAGTTCTGAAATTGAGACAGTAATTAGTGACCTACCCACCAAAAAATGCCCAGGACCAGACAGATTCAAAGCTGAATTCTACCAGAGGTACAAAGAGGCGATAGTACTATTTCTTCTGAAACTATTCCAAGCAATAGAAAAAGAGGACTCCTCTCTAACTCTTTCTATGAGGCCAGCACCATCCTGATATCAAAACCTGGCAGAGACACAATAAAAAAGGAAAATTTCAGGTTATTATCCCTGTTGGGCACTGATGCAAAATTCCTCAATAGAATACTAGTAAACCAAATCTAGCAGCACATCAAAAAGCTTATCCACCATGAACAAGTCGGCTTCATCCTTGAGATGCAAGGCTGGTTCAACATAAGCAAATAGATAAACGTAATCAATCACATAAACAGAACCAATGACAAAACCACATTATCTCAATAGATGCAGAAAAGACCTCCGATAAAATTCAATACCCCTTCATGCTAAAAACTCTCAAAAAACTAGGTATTGATGCAACATATCTCAAAATAATAAGGGCTATTTGTGACAAACCCATGGCCAATATCACACTGAAGGGACAAAACCTGAAAGCTTTACCTTTGAAAACCATCACAAGATAAGGACGCCCTCTCTCACTGCTCATATTCAATATAGTATTGGAAGTTCTGGTCAGAGCAATCAGGCAAGAGAAAGAAATAAAGCGTATTAAAATAGAAAGAGAGGAAGTAAAATTGTCTCTGTTAGAAGATAAAATGATTGTATATTTAGAGAACCCCATCTTCTCAACCCAAAAACTCCTTAAGCTAATGAACAACTTCAGCAAAGTCTCAGGATACAAAATCAATGTGCAAAAATTACAAGCATTCCTATACACCAATAATAGACAAGCAGAGAGCCAAATTATGAGTGAACCCCCATTCACAATTGCTACAAAGAAAATAAAATACCTAGAAATACAACTTACAGGGGACATGAAAGACTTCTTCAAGGAGAACTGAAACCACTCCACTGCTCAAGAAAATAAAAGGGGACACAAATGGAAAAAAAATTGATGTTCATGGATAGAAACAATCAATATTGTGAAAATAACCACACTGCTCAAAATGATTTATAGATTTAATGCCATTCCCATCAAGCTACTATTGACTTTCTTCACAGAACTAGAAAAAACTACTTTACATTTCACACGGAACCAAAAATGAGCCTGTGTAGCCAAGACAATCCTAAGAGAAAAAAAATCAAAGCTGGAGGCATCATGCTACCTTACTTCAAACTATACTACAAGGGTACAGTAATCAAAACAGCATGATTCTGGTATTAAAACAGATATATACACCAATGGAACAGAACAGAGGCCTCAGAAATAACACAACTTATCTACAATGATCTGATCGTTGACAAAACTGACAAAAACAAGCAATGGGGAAAGGATTCTTTACTTAATAAATGGCGCTGGGGAGACTGGCTAGCCATATGCAGAAAACAGAAACTGGACTCCTTTCTTACACCTTATACAAAAATTAACTCAAGATGGTTTAAAGACTTAAATGTGAAACCTAAAACCTTCAAAACCCTAGAAGAAAACTTAGGCAATATCATTCAGCAAATAAACATAGGCAAAGACTTCATGACTAAAACAACAAAAGCAATTGCAACAAAAGCCAAAATTGACAAGTGGGATCTAATTAAACTAAAGAGTTTCTGCTCAGCAAAAGAAACTGTTATCAAAGTGAACAGGCAACACATGGAATAGGAGAAAATTTTTGCAATTTATCCATGTGAAAAAGGTCTAATATCAAGAATCTAAAAGGAACTTAAACAAATTTACAAGAAGAAAAAACATCAAAATATGGGTAAGGGATATGTACAGACACCTCTCAAAAGAAGACATTTATGTGGCCAAGAAACATATGAAAACAAGCTCATCACCACCGGTCATTAGAGAAATGCAAATCAAAACCACAATGAAATACCATCTTATGCAAGTTAGAATGACAATCATTAAAAAGTCTGAAAACAACAGATGCCGGCAGGATGTGGAGGAAAAGGAACACTTTTACACTGTTTGTGGGAGTGTAAATTAGTTCAACCATTGTGGAAGACAGTGTGGTGATTCCTCAAGGATCTAGAACCAGAAATACCATTGGTCCCAGTAATCCCATTACTGAGTATAAACCCAAAGTAGTGATTATAAATCATTCTACTATAAAGACTCCTGCACATGTATGTTTCTTGCAGCACTATTTGCAATAGCAATGACCTGGAACCAACCCAAATGCCCATCAATGATAGACTAGATAAAGGAAATGTGGCACATATTCACCATGGAATACTACACAGCCATAAAAAAGAATGAGTTCATGTCCTTTATGTCCTTTGCAGGGATATGGATGAAGCTGGAGACCGTCATCCTCAGCAAACTAACACAGAAACAGACACCAAATGCTGCATGTTCTCACTCATAAATGGGAGTTGAGCAATGAGAATACATGGACACAGGGAGGGGAACATCACACACCAAGGCCTGTTGGGGGGTGGGGGGAAAGGCGAGGGAGAGCATTAGGACAAATACCTAATGCATGCAGGGCTTAAAACCTAGTTGACAGTTTGATAGGTGTGGTAAATCACCATGGCATATGTATACTTATGTAACAAACCTGCATGTTCATCACATGTATCCCAGAACCTAAAGTAAAACACGCACACACACATACACGCACACACGAACACACACACACACACACACACACACACACACACACAGAGACAGAGAGAGACAGAGAAAAAAATGTGGTACTTCTACACAATGGATTTCTATTCAGCCATAAAAATAAATGAGATCCTTTAATTTGCAACAAGGATGGAAGTGGAAGTCATTTTACTAAATGAAGTAAACCAGGCACAGAAAGACAAACATCATATGTTCTCAGTTATTTGTAGGATCTAAAAATCAAAACAGTTGAATTCATTGAGATAGAGAGTAGAAAGAGACCAGAGGCTGGGAAGGGTAGTGCTGGGGCTGAGGGGTGGGCAGTTGGGGATGGTGAGTTAATAAAAAATTAGCCAGAAACAATGAATAAGATCTAGTTTTTGGTAGCATAACATGGTGACTATAGTTATTAATAATTTTATTGTACATTTAAAGATGACTAAAAGAGTATAATTGGCTTGTATGTAACACAAATAATAAATGCTTGAGGAAATGGATACCCCACTTTACTGATGTGATTATGCATTGCACGCCTGTATCGAAACATCTCATGCAGCTCATAAATATATACACCTACTATTTATCCACACAAATAAAAATAATAAAAAAACTAAAGCATGTCACAATCTTGTTTTGTTGCAGATTTCCATGTTCCAGCACTTTGCTAATAAACAAAGATATTCTTTCTGTAGGGGAAAAAAAAGACACTTGGAAAACCTTTTCTCTTTTTCTCTTTCCAAAGGAGATTATATGGAATTGGGGTTATTTTTTCTTCAAGTGTTATATACTTGCTAATGAAATAAATTGAGCCTCAGCATTTCCCTTTTGAAAGTTTTACAAGTACAAATTCAACTTCTTCATAGTTATGGAAGTTTTCTGGTTATCTATTTCAACTTGGTTTACTTTTGGAACTTTTACTGTTCAGAAAATCACTTCACTTCATTTAGGTTGTCAAATTTCTGTGAATATAATTGTCCAGGGCTATAGTGATATCCCCTCTTTTATTCTTTATTGGGGGAACCCACCCCCAATATTTCAACGTAGGTTCTTTCTATTTTCCATAAGTGTCGGCTGGCTGAGAAATAAAGAGAGACAGTACAAAGAGAGGAATTTTACAGCTGGGCCACCAGGGTGACAATACATATCGGTAGGACTGTGATGCTCGCCTGAGCCTCAAACCAGCAAGTTTTTATTAAGGGTTTTAAAAAGGAGAGGGGGTGTAAGAACAGGGAGTAGGTATAAAGATCACATGCTTCAAAGGGCAAAAAGCAGAACTACTAATAAGGGTCTAACAAAGATCACATGCTTCTGAGGGAACAGGACAAAAGGCAAAAGCAGAACCACTGATAAGGGTCCAACAAAGATGACAGGACAAACGACAAAAGCAGAACTACTAATAAGGGTCTATGTTCAGTGGTGCATGTATTGTCTTGATAAACATCTTAAACAACAGAAAACAGGGTTCAAGAGCAGAGAACGGTCTGACCACAAATTTACCAGGGTAGTTTTCCCCCACCCTAGTAAGCCTGAGGGTACTGAAGGAGACCAGGGCATATCTCAGTCCTCATCTCAACCACATAAGACAGACATTCCCAGAGTGGCTCCCAGGGTATTAATATTAATATTTCTTGCTAGGAAAAAAATTTAGCGATATCTCCTACTTGCACGTCCATTTATAGGCTCTCTGCAAGAAGAAAAATATGGTTCTTTTTGCCCGACCCCACAGGCAGTCAGACCTTATG
Source organism: Homo sapiens (assembly GCF_000001405.40). Lineage (NCBI taxonomy): Eukaryota > Metazoa > Chordata > Mammalia > Primates > Hominidae > Homo > Homo sapiens. The sequence continues at coordinate 57,183,799 of NC_000023.11, read as the reverse complement.
GTTGTCTTCCCTCGTTCCCTAAAAATCGCTGTTATTCTGTTCTTTTTCAAGATGCACTGATTTCATATTGTCCAAACACAAGTTTTACAATCAATTTGTACAGTTAACACAATTATCACAGTGATCCTGAGGTGATGTACATCCTCAGCTTATGAAGATAACAGGATTAGGAGATTAAAGTAAAGACAGGCATATGAAATTATAAAGGTATTATTTGGGAACTGATAAATATCCATATTAAAATGAAATCTTCACAATTTATGTTCCTCTGCCATGGCTCCAGCTGGTCCCTCCATTTGAGATCCCTGACTTCCCGCAACAATTCTTAACATTCTTAATATTGCTGATAGATTTCTGTGTCACTATTGATAGATGTTTATCAGTATTATTCATTTTTTAAGAACGTATAATTTGATTTGATTGATTTTTCTAGTGTATATCTATTTTCAATGTATTAATTACTAATCTGCACATTATGACTAACTTCCCATCTGCTTGCTTCAGGCTTAGTTATAGTACCTTAAGGTGAAGTTTAGAATACTTATTTAAACTACTTTTTTTGTAATACAAGATTTTTTAAAATTTTATTTTAGGCTCAGGGTTTGATATGCAGGTTTGTTATATAGATAAACTTGTGTCATGGGGGTTTGTAGTATACCTTACTTCATTACCAAGGTACGAAGCCTTGTAACTCAAAAGTTATTTTGTCTGCTCCTCTCTATCCTCCCACCTTCTGCCCTCAGGTAGGCCTCCATGTCTGTTGTTCCTCTTTGTGTGTATATGTGTTTGTGTGTGTGTGTGTGTCCTCATCATTTAGCTTCCACTTACAAATGGGAACATGCAGTATTTGATTTTCTGTTTCTGCATTAGTTTTCTAGGGATAATGGCCTCCAGCTCCAACTATGTACCTACAATGGACATGATCTCAGTCTTCTTTAAGGCTCCATAATATTCTATGGTGTATATGTACCACATTTTCTTTATTCAATTTACCTTTGATGGACATTACATTGATTTCATGTCTTTGCTATTGTGAAGAGTGCTGCAATGAACATACATGTGCATGTGTCTTTATGATAGAACGATTGATATTCCTTTGTATATATACCCAGTAATGGAATTTAGAATGGCAAGTCTATATTAAGCTCTTTGAGGAGTTGTGCCGCACTGCTTTCTACAATGGTTGAAATAATTTGCACTCCCACCAACAGAGGGAAATCATTCCTTTTTCTCCACAAACTCGCCAGCATCTTTTTAATAATAGCCATTATTAAAATGGTATGAGATGGTATCTTATTGTGGTTTCGAGTTGCATTGCTGTAAAGATCAGTGATATTGAGCTTTTCTATATGCTTGTTGGCTGCATGCATGTTTTGTTTTGAAAAGTGTCTGTTAATGTCCTTTGCCCACTTTTTTTCTTGTAAATTTGTTTAAGATCCTTACAGATGCTGGATATTAGACCTTTGCCAGATGCATAACTTGCAAATATTTTCTAATATTCTATAAATTGTCTGTTTACTCTGTTGATAGCTTATTTTTCTGTGGAAAAGCTCTTTCGATCTAATTTGTCAATTATTGCTTTTGTTGCAATTGCTTTCAGCATCTTCATTATAAACTCTTTGCAAGTTCCTATGCCCAGAATGATATTCCCTAGGTTGTCTCCCAGGGTTTTTATAGCTTTGTTCGTTTGTTTTTACACTTCAGTCTTTAATAAATCTTGAGTTGATTTTTGTATATAGTGTAAGGAAGGGTTCCAGGTTCAATTTTATGCATATAGATAGCCAGTTATCCCAGCATCATTTATTGAACAGGGAGGGTTTTTTTTCTATTGCTTGTTTTTGTTAGCTTTGCCAAAGATGAGATGGTTAAAGGTGTGCAGTGTTACTTCTAAGCTATCTATTCTGTTACATTGGTCTATGTTTTTGTTTGTGTACCAGTACCATGCAGTTTTGATTATTGCAGCCCTATAGTATAGTTTGAAGTTGGGTAGCATCATGCTCCAGCTTTGTGCTTTTTGCTTAGGATTGCCTTGGCTATTCAGGCTTTTTTATGGTTCCATATAAATTTTAAAATAGTTTTTTCTAGTTCTGTGAAGAATGTCATTGGTAGTTTGATAGGAAGAGCATTGAATCTTTAATGAATTTGGGCCAAATAGCCATTTTTAACATATTAATTATTCCTAAATATAAGCATGGAATGCTTTTTCATTTGTTTGTGTCATCCTGATTTCTTTGAGCAGTCTTTTGTAGTTATCCTTGTAGAGATCTTTCACTTCTCTGGTTAGCTGTATGCCTAGGTATTTTATTTTTTATGGAAATTGTGAATGGGCTTCCTGATTTGGTTCTTGGCTTGGCTGTTGGTGGTATATTAAAACGATAGCGATTTTTGTACATTGATTTCAAATTCTAAAGCTTTGTTGAAGTTGTTTTCAATTATGAAACTTTTGGGCAGGGAATACAGGGTTTTCTAGATATAGAATCATGTGGTCTGCAAACAGAAATACTTTCACTTCCTTTTCTCTTATTTTGATGCTGTTTATTTCTTTCTCTTGCCTGATTGCTCTGGCCAGGACTTCCAATATATTTGGGTTTTCAAGGTGAACGCTTCTAGCTTTTCCCCATTCAGTATGATGTTGGTAGTGAGTTTTTCATACGTGACTCTCATTATTTTGAGGTATGTTCCTTCAAAATCTAGTTTGTTGAGAGCTTTTAACATGAAGGATATTAAATTTTATCAAAAACCTTTTCTGTATCTATTGAGATGATTATCTGGTTTTTGTCTTTAGTTCTGTTTATAAGATAAATCATGTTTATTGACTTGCATATGTTGAAGCAATCTTGAAAAAGCTGACTTGATCATGGCAGATTCATTTTTTTGATGTGTTGCAGGATTTAGTTTATCGGTGTTTTATTCAGGATTTTTGCAACGATGTTCATGAAGGATATTGGCCTGAAGTTGTCTCTTTTGTTGTTATTGTATTTCTGCTAGGTTTTGATGTCAGGATAATGCTGGCCTCATAGAATGCAGTGGGGAGGAGACCTTCCTTATTAATATTTTGGAAGATTTTCAGTAGAAATGGTACCAGCTCTTCTTTTTACCTCTGGTGGAATTCAGCTGTGCATTCTTCTGATCCTGGGCTTTCTGTTGTTGTTGTTGTTGTTTGGTTGGCAGGCTATTTATTACTGATTCAATTTTGGAGCTCTTTATTGTTCTGTTCATGGATTCAATTTATTTCTGCTTTTGCCTTGGGAGATTGCATGTGTCCAGGAATTCTTCCATTTCTTCTTGATTTTTTAGTTGTGTGCATAGAGGTGTTCATAATAATATGATTGTTATTTGTATAACCATAATATTTCTGAGTGTTTATTGGTAATACTTCTTTAGTCATTTCTAATTTAGTTCATTTGAATCTTCTCTGCTTCCTTTTTATGAGTCCAGCTAGCAGTCTATTTATCCTATATTTTTTAAAAATGGCTCATTGGTTCGTTCATATTTTGAATGGTTTTTCATATTGCAATCTCCTTCAGTTCAGCTCTGATTTTGGTTAATTCTTGTCTTCTGCTAGCTTTGGGGTTCATTTGTTTTTGCTACTCTAGCTCCTAGTTGTAATGTTAGATTGTTAATTTGAAATATTTCTCACCTGTTGATGTGGGTGTTTAGTGCTATAAATGTACTGCTTAACACTGCCTTAGTTGTGTCCCAGAAATTCTGGTATGTTGTATCTTTGTTCCCATTAGTCTCAAAGAACTTCTTGCGACCTGCCTAATTTCATTATTTACCCCAAAGTCATTCAAGAGCAGATTGTTTAATTTCCATATAATTGTATGGTTTTGAGGAATTTTCTTAGTCTGAAATTATATTTTTATTGTGCTGTTATCTGAGGGTGTTGTTATTATATTTTTGGTTCTTTTACATTTGCTTTTTTTTATATATTTGATCATGTGGTTGATTTTAGAGTATGTGCCATGTGGCAGTGAAAAAAATGTATATTCTGTTGCTTTTGGGTGGAGAATTTTGTATATGTCTATCAAATCCATTTGGTCCAGTGCTGGGTTCAGGTCCTGAATATCTTTGTTAATTCTGGGCCTTGATGTTCTGTCTAATACTGTCAGTGGGTTGCTGAAGACTCCCACTATTATTGTATGGGATTTTAACTTTCTTTGATGGTCTCTAAGAACTTGCTTTATGAATCTTGGTGCTCCTGTATTGGGTGCATATGTGTTTATAATAGGTCTTCTTGTTGAATTGAACCCTTTACCATTATGGAATGCTGTTTGTTGTCTTATTTGATCTTTGTTGGTTTAAAGTCTGTTTTGTCTGAAATTAGGATTGCAACCCCTGCTTTTTCTGATTTCCATTTGTTTGGTAGATTTTTTCTTTATCCCTTTATTTTGAGCCAATGGGTGTCATTGCATGTGAGATGGGTCTCTTGAAGACAGCACACCAATGGGACTTGGTTCTTTGTCCAATGTGCCACTCTGTGCCTTTTAATTGAGGCATGTAGACTGTTTATATTTAAGGTTAGTATTGATATGTGTGGCTTTGACACTGTCATCATTACGTTAGCTGGTTTTATCCAGACATTTTTGTATAGTTGCTTTATACTATCTCTGGTCTATGTACTCAAGGGTGCTTTTGTAGTGGTAGGTAATGGTCTTTCCTTTTTATAGGAAAGCTCCTTCTTTTAGGAGCTCTTGCAAGGTAGGTCTGGAGGTAATGAATTCCCTCAGTACTGGCTTGCCTGAATAGGATGTTATTTCTTCTTATCGAAGCTTGGTTTGGCTGGATATAAAATTCTTGGTTCCAATATTTTTTCTTTAATTATGTTGAATATAGGCCCCTAATCTCCTCTGGCTTGTATGTTTTCTGATTCATGGGTAGCTTGTGAGAAGTGTGGCTTGAAATCTATGGTTTCTGTCTTGGTTAAAAAGCTTATGGCCTGGGGCAGTTTTGACTTCTGAGTGAAGGCTGCCTGGAACCCAAGTAGCTGCTGCTAGCAGAACACTGTTGTGTGAGACCTGTCTTGTCAAGTACATGGGAGCTGAATGGAGCTTACAGCCACCTGCTACTCTCTGCTTCCCATGTGAAACTTTTATGCAGCAGAGGCAGCTGTGCTTCTTCCTGAAATATTACCCCAGCAACTAGGGAACTGCCCTCTGATTCCCATTGAAGCTGCTGCTTGCACCCACATGTAAGGAGCCAGAGTGTGGACTTGCTTGACCCAGCCTCCACCAACTTTGCCCTTTTCTTGCCGTGGTAGTATAACACAAAGCACAGGGACTTTGGGGAGCTCCATGGCCTTATCCACCTCCTAAGACACCAGAGTACCTCTTCTGGGTAACATAGAACAAGAACAAATACCACTGCTACCACTGTAGCAGGCAATCTATTGCAAGTGCCACCTCCTAGCTGGTGGACAACCAGCACAGAACATTATAACATCTGCAGGCACAATAACACAGTGTTTAGGAAAAAGAAAACTTTTTGTGCAACCTCAGCTATAATAATTGTCTGCATCATTCTGGCTAAGCAAGAGATCTTGAGTCTGTCCATGTGCCCAGTACATTACTACTAGAGCTGGCATTTGAGAAAGCCAACATAGTAATGTTATTAATAACCAAGAAAATCTCCATAGTCTATTTCACTCCCTTCCCACCCCCATCAGGGCCGGTGCTGGGACCCACTGCTAGGAGACAAGAGGACAGACAGGTCACATTACTGGATTCCTTGTAAACACTCTATGGCATCAGCCTGAAGTGTGGCAGCCCCACTGGGTGGCTAGACCCAGAGGAGTTTAAAGATATAGTAGTTTGGCCCTCAGGGACTGCTACTCTTAGGGGAAGGGGAAATGGGGAGGCTGTGCCACATTAAGAAAGCACCCCATGGGAGAAAATAAACAGACTGCAGGCCAAGCATTCCTGAACTTTCCACTTGTGGGAAGTTTCTTTCAGCAGAGACATAGTTGCACTGCTAGGCTCAGTGGGAAAAGTCTGCAGCTTTATCCCAACAGTCAGACAGCCCAGGCACTCATGAAGGGTCCTGAAGAAGTAGACTTCTTTTCCCTTCACACCCATCACTGCAGACACAGGTGGGGCTTCTCCACAGGAGTTCTATGTAGATGCATCTGTATACAGACTTTCTTCTTTTTTTTTTTTTTTCAGTCATCAGGTTTCATTTATTGGAGGTATATATATATATATATATATATATATATATATATATTTAAATTTTGAACATTAAATAATAAAAAAGAAAAGATTTGTTGCTCCCGAACCGACCCACATTTGTTTTAATTTTTTTTGAAATCTTAAAATTATTTATTATATATATATTATTATTATTATTATTATACTTTAAGTGTACAGACTTTCTGAAACACTCCAGGGTGACTACATCCCCACAGGAGGAGTGCCTTCCAGGTTGCAGGAGACAGTCACAATCTTTCTCTACTTGGAACATCAGCATTCCTGCATATGAAAAGAGGTGCCTGTCTGATCTGAATAGCCAGAACACTGAGTCAAGAGGATGATTGGGAGGCAGATTGCTTTCCCATTGACCTGTAAGTGCAGCCCTGGTGTCTCCCTCACTTCCCACTGAAAAGATATCAGCGCATTTCACTGAGTACTTTCCCAGACACCTCTGTCAAGGATGGGACTTCTCACTATTGGGGTATTACATTTACTCACCTGCTTTAGTCACAGCCAGTTTTTCCTTGTGGATTGCTCCTACTGGCCTGAAGCCTGAACTGTTCAACCAAGTGAAAAAAATACTGGGGATTTTTTTTTTAAGTGCAAACTACTGGGGGAACAAGATAAGCTTTATGGGACCTCTGCCATTCCAGCCCCAGAGGAGATGGAGAACTTGCTCACGCCTCTAGCACATCACTACTAGAAGCAGCACCTGAGAAAACCATCACACAAACATTCTCTGTTACCAAGGAACTCACACAGAATCTTTACCACTGAAAACACCCAGAGCCAAAGCTAGGTAACAATAAACTATAAACATTAAAGTCACATACTCAAAGGGGGAAAAATTACTTTATAAAAGCAAACCCAATGGAATAAAAAATAAATGCAAAAATAATTAGAAGAAATAGACTACCCAAGTGAGAAGAAACCAAAAAAATAATTCTGACAATATAAACAAAAACTGGGTTCTATAACATCTGAAAAAGATCATACTATCTCTCCAGCATTGGATCCAAGTGAAAACAAAATCTTTGAAAAACCAGATGAAGAATTTAAAAGGTTATTAAGTCACTCAAGGAGACACAAAGGAAAGTTAAAACCAACATAAAAAAATTATTGAAACAATTCAGGATATGAGTGAAAATTCTTCTAATGAAATGGATAATTTAAAGAAACAATAATCAGAACTTCTGAAAATAAAATACAATTTATTGAACTACAAAATGCAGTGGAAAGTTTTAACAATAGATTAGACCAAGTAGAAGGAATTTCAGAACTCAAAGAGAAAGCTTTTGAATTAATCCAATTGGACAAAAATAAATTAAAAAAAAAAAACAATTACATGAAATAAAGTCTCCAAAAAATATGGGATTATACAAAATGGCCAAACCTAAGAATCAAAGGTGTTCTTGAGGGAGAAGAAAAGGCAAAAAGTTTGGAAAAAATATTTGAGGGAATAATTGAGGGAAAATTTCTTGGTCTTGCTAGAGATACAGACATGCAAATACAAGAAGCTCAAAAAACTCATGGGAGATTAATTGCAAAAAGGACATCACCAAAGCACACATTCATCAGGCTATATAAAGTCAATGTGAAGGAAAAAAAATTCTAAAAGCAGTGAGACAAAAGCATCAGATAACTTATAAAGAAAAACTTATCAGTCTAAAAGCAGACTTCTAAGCAGAAACCTTATAAACCAGAACCAATTGGGGTCCTATCTTTAGCCTTCTTAAACAGAATAAGTGTCACCTGAGAATTTTGTATTCAGTAAAAATAATTTTCATATATGAAGAAGAAATAAAGTATTTTTCAGACAAGCAAATTGCTGAGGTTATCCATCAACACTAGATCAGCCCTACAATAAATGCTAAAAGGAGTTCTAAAGCTTGAAACGGAGGTTCAATATAGACCAGAATAGAACCTCTTGTAAATATAAAACTCACAGGGCCTATAAAACAATAACACAATAAAGAAAACAAAATATCTAGGTAAAAGTCAACATGAAGACTGGAATAGTACCTCACATCTCAATATTAACATTGAATGTAAATCATCTAAATGCTCCACTTAAAAGATACAGGTTGGCAAAATAGATAAGAAGTTACAAACCAAATATCTGCTATCTTCCAGAGAGTCATGTAACACAAAATAATTCTTATGGATTCAAGGTAAAGGGGTGGAAAAATATACCATATGTAAATGAAAACCAAAAGCATTCAGGAGTAGTTATTCTTATATCACATAAAACAGACTTTAGAACAACAATAGTAAAAGACAAAGAAGGTTATATAATGATAAAAGGAAAATTCCAACAAGAAGATATTACAATCCTAATTATATATGCACCTAACTCTGGAGCTCCTAGGTTCATAAAACAATTACTACCAGACCTAAGAAAAGAGATAGACAGTGACGCAGTAGTAATGGAGGACTTCAACACTCCACTGACAACAAGAGACAGATCATTGAAGCAGAAAGTCAATGAAGAAGGACTAAACTTAAACTGCACTCTAGAACAAGTGGACCTAACAAATATTTATAGAATATTTTCCCAAGAACTGCAGAAAATACATTATCACCACACATAACATTTTCCAAGATAGATGATATGATAGCCCAGAAAACAAGCCTCAATAAATTTTTATAAATCAAAATCATACCGAGCATCTTCTCAAATCACAGTGGAATAAAAGCAGAAATCAATTCCAACAGGAACTCTCAAAATTATACAAATGTATAAAATTTAAACAATATGCTTCTGAAAAATTTTTGGCTTAACAATGAAATCAAGATGGAAATTTAAAAATTATTTGAAATAAATGATAACAGTGACACAAGTTATCAAAACCTCTGGCATACAGCAAAAGCAGGGCTAAGAGGAAACTTTATAGCACTAAACACCTACATCAAAAAATCTGAATGATCACAAATTGACAACCTGACAAAACACATCAAGGAACTAGAGAAACAAGAACAAACCAAATTCAAAGCTAGTAAAAGAAAGGAAATGAAGATCAGAAAAGAACTAAATGAATTTGATTCCCCCCAAAAATTAATAAAATAAGAAGATTGTTCTTTGAAAAGATAAACAAAATTGGTAGACCATTAGCTATGTTAACCAAGAAAAGACAATAAAAGATTCAAATAAATTCAACTAGAAATGAAAATTGGGACATAACAACCAACAACATAATAATGCAAAGGATTATTTGACACTACCATGAACAACTCTATGCTCACAAACTAGAAAATCTAGAGGAACTGAATAAATTTCTGGTAACATATGCACACACACAGCTTGAATCAGGAAGAAACAAATTCTGAACAAACCAATAATAATCAGTGAGACTGAATTCATAATTAAAAAAAGAAAACTGCCAAGAACAAAAAAAAAAAAATCTCGGGGCTAGAGAGATTCCAGATTCACAGTTGAATTCTACAAAACATTCAAAGAATAGTTGGTATCAATTCCAGTAAAACTATTCCAAAAGATTGAGAAGAATCTTAAATATCCTCCCTAAGTTATTTTACAAAGCCATTATTACCCTGATACCAAAGCCAGGAAAGGGCATAAAAAATGAAAACTACAGACAAATATTCCTGATGAATTATAGATGCAAAAATCCTGAAAAAATACTACCAAACCTAATCCAACAGTATATCAAAAAGATAATTCTCCATGATAAATTGGGTTTCATCCCAGGGATGCAGGAATGTTTCAACATATCCAGGTAAATAAATATGATTCATCCCATAAACAGAATTAAAAACAAAAATCACATGATTATCTCAATAAATAAGAAAAAAACATTCAATAATATCTAGCATTTCTTTAGAATAAAAACTGTCAACAAACTAGCCATATAAGAAATATACCTCAAAATATTAAAAACCATATGACAAACCCACAGCCAACATCATACTCAATGGAGAAAAGTTGTAAACGTTCCCCCTAAGAATTGGAACAAGGTTGCCTATTTTCATCACTTCTATTCAACTTAATGCTAGAAGTTTTAGCCAGAGCAACCAGGTGAGAGAAAGAAATAAAGGGCATCCAAATAGGACAAAAAGTCAAACTACCTCTTTTTGCTGATAATATAATCTTATACCTAGAAGACATTAAAGACTCCTCCAAAAGGCTCCTTCATCTGATAAGTGAATTCAGTAAAGTCTGATTACAAAAGTAATGCACACAAATCAGTAGCACTGCTATACACCAACACTGACCAAGCTGATAATCAAATCAAGAACTCAATTCCTTTTACAATAGCAACTGAAAAAATAAAATACCCAGGAGTATCCTTAAACAAAGGAAGTGAAAAATCTCTATAAGGAGAGCTACAATATACTGCTGAAAGAAATAATAGATGACACAGATAAAATAAAAATGCATCCCATGCTTATTGATTGGAAGAGTGAATATTGTGAAAATGACCATACTGCCTAAAGCAATCTACAGATGCAATGCAGTCCCTATAAAAATTTTAACATCACTTTGATACAGAAATTCAGGGTAGAGAAGGGTGTGGTCCCTTTAAGTGATACGGAAGTGGGGAAGGGCATGGTCCCTGGATAGGGTTCCACCCCCATAGACTTAGATGAGGACAGGCATTTTTGTTTTCCTGCTCAAATGTAGCATTTCCCAAGACTACCCTCGCCTGTCAAGCCCCCATCCTGTGCCTATAAAAACACAGAGACCTTAGCAGTCAGACACACAGGTGGCTGGACGTCGAGAGGAACACATTAGAGGAGGAACACATAGCACATAGGTGGCTGGACGTCGAGAGGAATGCAGCAGTGTAGGAGCACACCAGCAGGCTGGCAGGCCATCAACCAGTGGAATGAGGCAGAGTTTGGCCCAGGCAGTTGGAGGAGAGCCCAGGCCACTGACTGGCCTGACTCTAGGAGAAAACCATCTCCTTTCTCACTTCCCCATCTGCTGAGAGCTATTTCCACTCAATAAAACCTTGTATTAATTCTCCAAGCCCACGTGTGATTCAATTCTTCTAGTACACCAAGGCAAGAACCCCGGGTTACAGAAAGTCCTTTGCCCTTGTGATAAGGTAGTGGGTCTAATTGAGTTCGTTAACACAAGCCACCTATAGACGGCAAAGCTAAAAGAGCACACGATAGCACACGCCCACTGGGGCTTCAGGAGCTGTAAACATCCATACCTAGACACTGTCATGAGGTTGGAGCCCCACAACCTGCCCATCTGTATGCTCCCCTAGAGATCTGAGCAGCAGAGCACTGAAGAAACGAGCCACTCCCCACGTCTCACACCCTGTGAGGGGGACAAGGGAACTCTTCCCATCTCAATTTCTCACAGAATTAGAAAAAATAATTTTAAAATTTATTCGAAACCAAAAAACAACCCAAAAAGCCAAGGAAATCCTAAGCAAAAAGAACGAAGCTATAGGTATCACATTACCTGACTTCAAATTGTACTACAAGGCTATAGCAACCAAAACAGCATGGTACTGCTATAAAACTAGTCTAATAGACCAATGAAATAGAATAGAGAACCCATAAATAAAGCCAAATACTTACAATCAAGTGATGGTCAACAAAGCATACAAAAACCTAAACTGGGGAAAAGACACACTATTCTATAAATGTGCTAGGAAAATTGGATAGTTACATGCAGAAGAATAACACTGGATTGCTTACCTTGTACAGAAATCAACTCAAAATGGATTTAAAAAATTTAGATCTAAAACCTGAAACCATAAAAATTATACAAGAAATCCTTGGAAAACTCTGCACATCAGTCTAGGCAAATATTATGACTAAGACCTCAAAAGCAAATGCAACAAAACCAAAAATAAATAAATGGGGTTTAATTAAACTAAAAATCTTCTGCTCAGCAAAAGAAATAATCAGCACAGTAAACAGATAACCTAAAAAACAGGAGAAATTATTTGCAAATTATTCATCTGACAGAAGACTAATATCCAGAATCTACAAGGAACTCGAACAAATCAGCAATAAAAAAACCAAGTAATTCTATTAAAAAGGGGGCAAATGACATGACTAGACATTTCTCAAAAGAAAATATACAAATGGCCAAGAAACATATGAAAAAATGTTCATCATCACTAATCATCAGGGAAATGAAAATTAAAATGAAAATGAGATACCACCTTAACCAAGCCATAATAGCCATTATTAAAAAGTCAAAAAACAATAGATGTTGGCATGGATGTGGTAAAAAGGGAATATTTGTATACTGCTAGTGGGAATGTAAATTAGTACAACCTCTAAGGAAAATCACATGGAAATTGCTCGAAGAATGAAAAGTCGATCTAACATTTGATCCAGCAATCCCACTACTGAGTATCTACCCAAAGGAAAAGAAATCACTATATCAAAAAGACACCTGTATGTGTATGTTTATCACAGCACAATTCACAATTGCAAAGATATGGAATCAACCTAAGGGCCCACTAACCAATTATTGGATAAATAACATGTGGTATATACATACCATGGAATACTACTCAACCATAAAAAAAGAATAATATATTTTGCCACAACTTGGATGGAACTGGAGGCCATTATTCTAAGTAAAGTAACTCAGTGATCAAAAAATAAATACAGGCCGGTTGCAGTGGCACATGCCTGAAATTCTAGCAGTTTGGAAAGCCGACATGGGCAGATCACTTAAGGTCAGGAGTTCGAAACCAGCCTGGCCAACATGGTGAAACCCTGTCTCTACTAAAAATATAAAAAAAAAAATAGCTGGTCATGGTGGCGAGCGCCTGTAATCCCAGCTACTAGGGAGGTTGAGGCAGGAGAATTGCTTAAACCCGGGAGATGGAGGTTGCCGTGAGCCAAGATCACGCCACTGCATTCCAGTCTGGGCAACAGAGTGTGACTCCATGACACACACACACACACACACACACACATAAAGTAAATACTGTGTGTTCACACTTATAAGTAGGATCTACACCACAGGTTTGCAAAAACATACAGAGTGGTATATTGGATATTAAAGACTCAGAAGGCAGAGTGTAGAAGGGGGTCAAGGAATTAAAAACTACTTATTGGGTACAATGTACAGTACTCGGGTGACAGGTGCACTAAAATCCCACACTTCACCTCTATACAAGTAATTCATGTAACCAAAAACCACTTGTACCCCTACAGTTACCAAAATAAAAAAATTAAAATAGTCATAGCAGCACTATTCACTATAACCAACAGGTAGAAGCAACTCAAATGTCAATCAACAGATGAATGAATAGACAAAATTGGTATAGTCATACAATAGAATATTATTCAGCCCTTTAAAGAAAGAAAGTTTGTCACATGTTACAACATGAATAAACTTTGAGGATGCTATGCAAGCAAAAAAGCCAGTAACAACAACAACAACAACAACAAATACTCTGTGACTCCACATATATAAAGTATTTGCCAGCCTAGGCAACATGGCAAAACCCAGTTTCTACAACAAAAACAAAAGTTAGCCAGTAGTGGTGGTATGCATCTGTAGTTTCAGCTATTCAAGAGGCTGAGGTGGAAGAACTGGGTGAGCCCAGGAGTTTGAGGCTGCAGTGTGCCGTGATTGTGCCACTGCACTGCAGCTTTGATGTTTGAACACAAACATTCAACCCATAGCACTGAGATAAAGAAGTCAGTTGAAATAGGCCACATAGTTCATGAATCTATTCATATGACATTCTGGAAAAGGGTGTGTGTGTGTGTTTGTGTGTGTGTGTGTGTGTGTGTGTTTAGAAGGAGAGAGAGAGAGATGCTAATGTTAAGGAATTAACTCACACTATTGTTAGACTGGTAAGTCTGAAATTTGCAGGACAGGTCAGCTGGATAAAAATTCCCACAGAAGTCAATGTTGCAGTCTTAAGTGTTGAAAACAGTCAATAGGTAAAATCCCTTCCTCTTCTGGGAACCTCAATCTTTTCTCCTACAACTTTTGATTGGATTAGGCCCACCTACATTATTGAGAGTAATCTGCTTTACTCAAAATCTACTGATTTATATTTTAGTCACATCTTAAAAACACCATCACAACCATATATATATATATATATATATATATATATATATATATATATATATATATATATATATATATATATATATATACTGGTGTTTGACCAAACAACTGGAAATTATAGCCTAGGAAGTTGATACATAAAATTTACTCCCATAGTGAGTAAACGGAGCAGTCATTTTGGAAGGAAGCTTGAAAAGAGAGGAAGGATTGTTATATAGGTGAATCATAGGGCAATTTTTAGGGTGATGAAACCACACACACACACACGTGATGACAGCAATATGAACTAAACTGTGCTTCTCCTCAAAAATCGTATGTTGAAACCCTATCTCCCGATATGACTGTATTTGGAGATAGGGCCTTTAAGGATGTAATTAAATTTAAATTAGATCATAAGGATAAGTCCCTAATCCGATAGTACTGACGTCTTCATAAAAAGCAGAAGAGACAACAGAGCTCTCCTTTTCTCCCTCTTTCTCCACAGATGCACAGAAGCAAAGCCATGTGAAGACACAGTGAGAAGGTGGCCATCTACAGGTCAGGAAGAAGCCCTACCAGAAACCAACCCTGATGGCATCTTTATTTTGGACTTTTAGCCTCCAGAGATCTGAGAAAATAAGTTTCTGTTATTTAAGCTACTCAGTCTATGGTATTTTGTTATGGCAGATCAAGAAGACTAATATGGATGGATATATGACACTATGCTTTTGTCAAAACCCATAGAGTTTTATCAAGTAGAAAGATTACACTTTAGTATTTACAAATTTAAAATATTATAAAATGCATGTAATAATACACATAAGGGGGTAGAGAAGTTATTACTGACCTAATTACCTTTGAAGATGAGTGGAGCCTGCAAGACTAAAGGCAAATGGAAATATACATAAGCACTGTACTGCAGTTGATGAAGTTGTCTCCTCATAGTTTCAGGTTTGCAAAATCACTATACATGTATATTGAAATTGAACAATTAATAAATGGATGGGCAGGTGTTAGGAGCCAGGTTTCTCACTGTTTGAATTGGAGGTTACAAGCTATATTATTCTAGCCTTCTCTTTTAAGCCAAAGGAGAAGGTTAGAATAATGCATGTGATTATTTGATTTGAAGATATCAATATAAAGTCATATTTAGCTTTAAATAAGTACAGATGGTTGCATAAAGAAATGTGTGTTTGTGTGTGTGTGTGTGTGTGTGTGTGTAACACACATATATATCCTTGCTCTATCAGCAGAGAGGACCTAGAACAAATGATGCTCCAGTAGTGATGAGCACACTAGTGGCCAAATTTTGTTTCTAACACAATTATATAATAAAAGAAACCAGGGATCCTTGGAAAAACTGATGATTCCAGAACTAGGGCATAGAATATACAAGATGAGACTGGAGCATCTTGTAAGTGTCAGAAAGTAAGAAATTACTAAAAATTAAAAAAAGCAAGTAAATAAATCTGATCATAAGATGTTAAAATCTAGTCTATATTTTTAAGCATTTGCAAATATTAAAAAAAGAAATTACTAAAAGTAATCATTTAAACTCATTATAATTATATTTCTGTCAATTCATAGTTTAATTCATTTTGAACAATTTGCTTTATAATTATCAGGCCAAATAAAATGACCTTCTAAAACATCACATAAAGATCTTGAAAAGGTCTGCCCAGAACATCCTTGATGTTTATGACTCTAATGACAGGAGGCCCACTCTGGTCTGCTGCAAATACTTCTCAGTTTGTTTTTCTGAAAAGTTGGTGTCACTGGGCCAAAGCTTGCCCAAGTAGGTAAATGCTCCTACCACTATACAATACCTAGTATATATTTTTTTTCTGCTAGAGAATAAATGGATCTCAAATCCCTTACTGAGCCCATCTCTGAAGTATCCCAAGAATTGAAATGCATTTGTACAAAGCTCACCACTTCACATCCTTAACACTGGCAGAAGGAATCATTTAAATGCATAAGAATGATGCTTGGATTCTTACTGGGCTAACACCTTTCTCTGCTGAAAAGACAAAAAAAAATCAAAAGTAATTGTTCTCACAATATAAGTTAAGAAGTGGTTAACTGAGGGGGAAAAGGGGTTTAATACACTGAGACTGGCATTCTCAGTAGTTACAACTGTGAATGCCAGGTATCATTAGAGCTTAGCAAATAATTACAACAGATTGTGCAAGATTAAAATAAAATTACTGTTTGGAAGGGGGTAAGATCTGGTAAAGGGACAGGTGCTGGCCTGGAGGGACAACTGTTCAAGATTCATTGCGAAGGTCATAATCAATTTTTCAAGACACACTGGGATGGTCCCATGTGAGTTAGGGTGGGAGAAGAGGTGATATATACAGCTAGGAAAATGGGGCCGTTTTGTTTATGTGTTACAGTTAAATAAGTGTGGTCAGAGAAATCTAACCTTTTCTTCATAGTTAAAACTAGAGACGTTTGCAAAGCACAGCTCCAGAATGCTCCCATCTTTGTGGCCCTGTGACTTCCAGACATTAGGGCACCCATCCCAACATAAAGCTGTGGCATCAGAGATCTATATAGCGCCTACACTGTGTGTAAATAAAAACTACTTGGATACTATCTTGGGTAGTCGGTCATATAAGCTTCATGGTGAACTATAAACATATGATGAAGCTCCACCGAAGTGTAACGACTGTCTACACATTCCACAAATAGGGCTTCTGAATTGGCTGCAAAATTACCACATACAGCCCAGTAATTGAAGATCAAGTCAGTTTTTATCTAGGCAATTCTACCAAGTATCAAGCACGGTGAGGACCTGCTCTTATTTCCCAGTGCAACAAACCAAAGATAGTGAACTCAATATGATATGATAGGGTGATGATAAGGATGGTTGGGGCGACCTCTCCCCTTTCTTCAAGATCACCGTAACTATGTCTCCTAACAGTAATATGTGCTTTATAAGTGAAATGCTAGCCCAGTGACCAAAACCATAGGTGTAGAATATTCTTGTGCTTTCTTCCAGATTGAATTTGTACCACAGCTTCACATAATACCATTGAAACAGGGAAAGCTCCCTTAATCTCATTTCAGGGCATTCAATGGGGGTGAGTCTTACTTCTTTGGTGCCCTAGTGCTCGGTATACCCTTAGGGGGAGCATGCCTATGGGCAGGTCATGGGGATCGCCAATCCCATGGCAGCATCTAGGGTGGGTGTGTATTACAGTGGACTCTTTCAGTTTTTCTGTCTGCAGGTGGCTTGTGTTTATCAGCTCAATTAGACTGTCTGCCTTATCACAAGGACAGAAGGATTTCTGTATCCCAGGTTCTTGTCTTAGTGTACCAGAAAAATCGGATCCCACATGGGCTTGGAGAAGGAGTGTATGGTTTTATTGATTGAAGGTAGCTCTCAGCAGAAGGATGGAAAGCCAGAGGGGGGATGGAGTGGGAAGGTGGTGTTTCTCTGGGGTCAGGCCGCTCAGAGGCTGTACTCTCCTCCGACCACCCCCAGCTGAATTCCACATCATCCCATTGCTGATGGCCTGTCGGTGGTTGCTGATGCCTGTTGGTGTGCTCTTCCATTACTCTGCTCCTCTCAACAACCAGCCACCTGTGTGTTCTTCCATTTTTGTGTTCCTCTCAACATCCAGCCATTTGTGTCTGCCAGAGTCTTGGGATTTTTTATAGGCACAGGATGGGGGGCATGGCAGGCCAAGGTGGTCTTGGAAAAAGCAACATTTGGGTGTGAAAACAGGAGTGTCTGTCCTCACTTAGGTCTGCAGGCACAGGCCCAAAGGTGGAGTTCTTGCCAGGGACCCCACATTTTTCTACCCAGCCCTTCTCTGTGCCCCTCCCATATTACCATTATACATGCTCAGCTTGAAGAACTTAATATGAATTTCTTTTTTTTCTTTTTTTATTTATATATTTATTATTACTATACTTTTAAGTTTTAGGGTACATGTGCACATTCTGCAGGTTAGTTACATATGTATACATGTGCCATGCTGGTGCGCTGCACCCACTAACTCATCATCTAGCATTAGGTATATCTCCCAATGCTATCCCTCCACCCTCCCCCAACCCCACAACAGTCCCCAGAGTGTGATATTCCCCTTCCTGTGTCCATGTGATCTCATTGTTCAATTCCCATCTATGAGTGAGAATATGCGGTGTTTGGTTTTTTGTTCTTGCGATAGTTTACTGAGAATGATGATTTCCAATTTCATCCATGTACCTACAAAGGACATGAACTCATCCTTTTTTATGGCTGCATAGTATTCCATGGTGTATATGTGCCACATTTTCTTGATCCAGTCTATCATTGTTGGACATTTGGGTTGGTTCCAAGTCTTTGCTATCGTGAATAATGCCGCAGTAAACATACATGTGCGTGTGTCTTTATAGCAGCATGATTTATAGTCCTTTGGGTATATACCCAGTAATGGGATGGCTGGATCAAATGGTATTTCCAGTTCTAGATCCATGAGGAATCGCCACACTGACTTCCACAATGGTTGAACTAGTTTAGAGTCCCACCAACAGTGAAAAAGTGTTCCTATTTCTCCACATCCTCATAGTATGGCCAAAGAAAATGCTATGCCCAATTATTTTATTTCCATTTTATCTACACATTTCAGAATCAATCACATACACAGAGTAGATCCGTATGGCTATTATGCTTATGATAACGAAGGTCCAACCTGAATTTGGGAATGGTGTTAATTCCACCAAAATGGTATGAGTACTATAAAACAAAAAAATGATTAAAATGGAAACTAGTGAGGTAATCTATAATGTCCACAACAATTTCAGCTTATTATTTTGAAAGTCAACCTAAGAGTTGTTATTATTTTTACAAAATGTGTGTTTATTTAATACATTCCCAGAAATGCCACTGCAAAATGCATATTTGCTCATATTTCTTTGACTAGGGTATATCAATGTACCTCTTTCAAACTTGTTTATTTCTAAATTATTTCAAATTGTTCGTGCATTTGAATCATTTCCTGTGGCATATTCTGTTTGGGGTCCATTTATGAAAGCCTTTTACAGGGAATTGGACCAGCCTCCTTTACACTTATCATTTCATATTCACAATTTTAAATGGTCTCATCCCATAATGGTGACTACCAGGGCTATACTAGCACATTAAATGTCCCTCACATCAAAGTTCGTATTGTACTTATAAACCCACAGAGATCTTCTCTACTAAAACAGCTTTATGAATGCATTTTGTTGAGGGTCACTGTCTCCACCTGGAATCTGGAGTCCTAATCTATGTACCTTTTTTGGGAATTAAGGTGATGCAGAAAGAATTTTATAATAGGCCCATTGGGCACCTACAGGAAGGACTTTAATGTTGTCTTACAAAGTTTATCTCCTCATACCATGACATCTAGAAACTATGCAGTACCCACAGTATGTCCCTAAAACACTGATCACTGAGGGACTATTTTTCCCAACTGTTTTTACTGATCCAACCTTGTGCCTTCTCCAAATCCTAAAGATTTTAAAGTCAGGTATATTGTTCAGATTCTGTTTTCTTCTGGCCTTATTTAGCCTTAAATTGACAATCACATCTTGCCATTACCGTCCTTTGAGCCCCTATTGCCTACAAGTTTCAGGCTCAGATAGTTATTATACCTAATATTTACCAGGAAATCATCAGAATTCCACAGCATTTGTTTTGTTTTCCATTTGTTAATTTGACCATACATCGGTTAAGAAATTCATATTAAGGGAGGAGCCAAGATGGCCGAATAGAAACAGCTCTGGTCTACAGCTCCCAGCGTGAGCAACGCAGAAGACGGGTGATTTCTGCATTTCCATCTGAGGTACCGGGTTCATCTCACTAGGTAGTGCCAGACAGTGGGCGCAGGTCAGTGGGTGCACGCATCGTGTGCGAGCCGAAGCAGGGCGAGGCATTGCCTCACTTGAGAAGTGCAAGGGGTCAGGGAGTTCCCTTTCCAAGTCAAAGAAAGGGGTGATGGACAGCACCTGGAAAATCGGGTCACTCCCACCTGAATACTGTGCTTTTCTGACGGGCTTAAAAAACGGCGCACCACGAGATTATATCTCGCACCTGGCTCAGAGGGTCCTACGCCCACGGAGTCTCCCTGATTGCTAGCACAGCAGTCTGAGATCAAACTGCAAGGCGGCAGCGAGGCTGGGGGAGGGGCGCCCTCCATTGCCCAGGCTTGATTAGGTAAACAAAGCAGCCAGGAAGCTCGAACTGGGTGGAGCCCACCACAGCTCAAGGAGGCCTGCCTGCTTCTGTAGGCTCCACCTCTGGGGGCAGGGCACAGACAAAAAAAAAGACAGCAGTAACTTCTGCAGACTTAAATGTCCCTGTCTGACAGCTTTGAAGAGAGCAGTGGTTCTCCCAGCACGCAGCTGGAGATCTGAGAACGGGCAGACTGCCTCCTCAAGTGGGTCCCTGACCCCTGACCCCCAAGCAGCATAACTGGGAGTCACCCCCCAGCAGGGGCACACTGACACCTCACAGGGCAGGGTATTCCAACAGACCTGCAGCTGAGGGTCCTGTCTGTTAGAAGGAAAACTAACAAACAGAAAGGACATCCACACCAAAAACCCATCTGTACATCACCATCATCAAAGACCAAAAGTAGATAAAACCACAAAGATGGGGAAAAAGCAGAACAGAAAAACTGGAAACTCTAAAAAGCAGAGCGCCTCTCCTCCTCCAAAGGAACGCAGTTCGTTACCAGCAAGGGAACAAAGCTGGATGGAGATTGACTTTGACAAGCTGAGAGAAGAAGGCTTCAGACAATCAAATTACTCTGAGCTACGGGAGGACATTCAAACCAAATGCAAAGTAGTTGAAAACTTTGAAAAAAATTTAGAAGAATGTATAACTAGAATAACCAATACAGACAAGTGCTTAAAGGAGCTGATGGAGCTGAAAACCAAGGCTCAAGAACTACGTGAAGAATGCAGAAGCCTCAGGAGCCGATGCGATCAACTGGAAGAAAGGGTATCAGCAATGGAGGATGAAATGAATGAAATGAAGTGAGAAGGGAAGTTTAGAGAAAAAAGAATAAAAAGAAATGAGCAAAGCCTCCAAGAAATACGGGACTATGTGAAAAGACCAAATCTACGTCTGATTGGTGTACCTGAAAGTGATGGGGAGAATGGAACCAAGTTGGAAAACACGCTGCAGGATATTATCCAGGAGAACTTCCCCAATCTAGCAAGACAGGCCAACATTCAGATACAGGAAATACAGAGAACGCCACAAAGATACTCCTCGAGAAGAGCAACTCCAAGAAACATAATTGTCAGATTCACCAAAGTTGAAATGAAGGAAAAAATGTTAAGGGCAGCCAGAGAGAAAGGTTGGGTTACCCTCAAAGGGAAGCCCATCAGACTAACAGCGGATCTCTCGGCAGAAACCCTACAAACCAGAAGAGATTGGGGGCCAATATTCAACATTCTTAAAGAAAAGAATTTTCAACCCAGAATTTCATATCCAGCCAAACTAAGCTTCATAAGCAAAGGAGAAATAAAATATTTTACAGACAAGCAAATGCTGAGAGATTTTGTCACCACCAGGCCTACCCTAAAAGAGCTCCTGAAGGAAGCACTAAATATGGAAAGGAACAACCGGTACCAGCCACTGCAAAATCATGCCAAAATGTAAAGACCATCAAGACTAGGAAGAAACTGCATCAACTAATGAGCAAAATAACCAGCTAACATCATAATGACAGGATCAAATTCACACGTAACAATATTAACTTTAAATGTAAATGGACTAAATGCTCCATTTAAAAGACACAGACTGGCAAATTGGATAAAGAGTCAAGACCCATCAGTGTGCTGTATTCAGGAGACCCATCTCACGTGCAGAGACACACATAGGCTCAAAATAAAGGGATGGGGGAAGATCTACCAAGCAAATGGAAAACTAAAAAAGGCAGGGGTTGCAATCCTAGTTTCTGATAAGACAGACTTTCAACCAACAAAGATCAAAGGAGACAAAGAAGGCCATTACATAACGGTAAAGGGATCAATTCAACAAGAAGAGCTAGCTCTCCTAAATACATATGCACCCAATACAGGCACACCCAGATTCATAAGGCAAGTCCTTAGTGACCTACAAAGAGACTTAGACTCCCACACAATAATAATGGGAGACTTTAACACCCCACTGTCGACATTAGACAGATCAACAAGACAGAAAGTTAACAAGGATATCCAGGAGCCGAACTCAGCTCTGCACCAAGCGGACCTAATAGACATCTACAGAACTCTCCACCCCAAATCAACAGAATATACATTCTTTTCAGCACCACATCACACTTATTCCAAAATTGACCACATAGTTGGAAGCAAAGCACTCCTCAGCAAATGTAAAAGAACAGAAATTATAACAAACTGTCTCTGAAACCACAGTGCAATCAAACTAGAACTCAGGATTAAGAAACTCTCTCAAAACTGCTCAACCTCATGGAAACCGGACAACCTGCTCCTAAATGACTACTGGGTACATAACAAAATGAAGGCAGAAATAAAGATGTTCTTTGAAACAAACAAGAACAAAGACACAACATACCAGAATCTCTGGGACACATTCAAAGCAGTGTGTAGAGGGAAATTTATAGCACTAAATGCCCACAACAGAAAGCAGGAAAGATCTAAAATTGACACCCTAACATCACAATTAAAAGAACTACAGAAGCAAGAGCAAACACATTCAAAAGCTAGCAGAAGGCAAGAAATAACTAAGATCAGAGCAGAACTGAAGGAAATAAAGACACAAAAAACCCTTCAAAAAATCAATCAATCCAGGAGCTGGTTTTTTGAAAAGATCAACAAAATTGAAAGACCATTAGCAAGACTATTAAAGAAAAGAGAGAAGCAAGACTATTAAAGGAGAGAAGAATCAAATAGATGCAATAAAAAAGGACAAAGGGGATATCACTACCGATCCCACAGAAATACAAACTACTATCAGAGAATACTATAAACACCTCTAGGCAAATAAACTAGAAAATCTAGAAGAAATGGATAAATTCCTCAACACATACACCCTCCCAAGACTAAACCAGGAAGAAGTTGAATCTCTGCATAGAACAATAACAGGATCTGAAATTGAGGCAATAATTAATAGCTTACAAACCAAAAAATGTCCAGGAACAGACAGATTCACAGCCAAATTCTACCAGAGGTTCAAGGAGGAGCTGATACCATTCCTTTTGAAACAATTCCAATCAATAGAAAAAGAGGCAATCCTCCCTAACTCATTTTATGAGGCCAGCATCATCCTGATACCAAAGCCTGGCAGAGATACAACAACAAAAAAGATAATTTTAGAACAATATCCCTAATGAACATTGATGCAAAAATCCTCAATAAAATACTGGCAAACCGAAGCCAACAGCACATCAAAAGGCTTATCCACCATGATCAAGTGGGCTTCATCCCTGGGATTCAAGGGTGGTTCAACATACAAAAATCAATAAACGTAATCCAGCATATAAACAGCACCAACGACAAAAACCACATGATTATCTCAATAGATGCAGAAAAGGCCTTTGACAAAATTCAGCAATGCTTCATGCTAAAAATTCTCAATAAATTTGGTATTGATGGGACGTATCTCAAAATAATAAGAGCTATCTATGACAAACCCACAGTCAATATCATACTGCATGGGCAAAAACTGGAAGCATTCCCTTTGAAAACTGGAACAAGACAGGGATGCCCTCTCTCACCACTCCTATTCAACTAGTGTTGGAAGTTCTGGCCAGAACAATGAGGCAGGAGAAGGAAATAAAGGGCATTCATTTAGGAAAAGAGGAAGTCAAATTGTCCCTGTTTGCAGATCACATCATTGTATATCTAGAAAATCCCATTGTCTCAGCCCAAAATCTCCTTAAACTGATAAGCAACTTCAGCAAAGTCTCAGGATACAAAATCAATGTACAAAAATCACAAGCATTTTTATACACCAACAACAGACAAACAGAGCCAAATCATGAGTGAACTCCCATTCACAATTGCTTCAAAGAGAATAAAATACCTAGGAATCCAACTTACAAGGGATGTGAAGGACCTCTTCAAGGAGAACTACAAACCACTGCTCAATGAAATAAAAGAGGATACAAACAAATGGAAGAACATTCCATGCTCATGGGTAGGAAGAATCAATATCATGAAAATGGCCATAATGCCCAAGGTAATTTATAGATTCAATGCCATCCCCATCAAGCTACCAATGACTTTCTTCATAGAATTGGAAAAAACTACTTTAAAGTTCATATGGAACCAAAAAACAGCCCGCATAGCCAAGTCAATCCTAAGCCAAAAGAACAAAGCTGGAGGCATCATGCTACCTGACTTCAAACTATACTACAAGGCTACAGTAACCAAAACAGCATGGTACTGGTACCAAAACAGAGATATAGACAAATGGAACAGAACAGAGCCCTCAGAAATAATGCCACACATCTACAACTATCTGATCTTTGACAAACCTGACAAAAACAAGAAATGGGGAATGGATTCTCTATTTAATAAATGGTACTGTGAAAACTGGCTAGCCATATGTAGAAAGCTGAAACTGGATCCCTTACACCTTATACGAAAATTAATTCAAGATGGATTAAAGACTTACATGTTAGACCTAAAACCATAAAAATCCTAGAAGAAAACCTAGGCAATACCATTCAGGACATGGCATGGGCAAAGACTTCATGTCTAAAACGCCAAAAGCAATGGCAACAAAAGCCAAAATTGACAAATGGGATCTAATTAAACTAAAGAGCTTCTGCACAGCAAAAGAAACCACCATCAGAGTGAATAGGCAACCTGCAGAATGGGAGAAAATTTTTGCAATCTACTCATCTGACAAAGGGCTAATATCCAGAATCTACAATGAACTCAAACAAATTTACAAGAAAAAAACAACCCCATCAAAAAGTGGGCAAAGGATATGAACAGACACTTCTCAAAAGAAGACATTTATGCAGCCAACAGACACATTAAAAAGTGCTCATCATGACTGGCCACCAGAGAAATGCAAATCAAAACCACAGTGAGATACCATCTCACACCAGTTAGAATGGTGATCATTAAAAAGTCAGGAAACAACAGGTGCTGGAGAGGATGTGGACAAATAGGAACACTTTTACACTGTTGGTGGGATTGTAAACTAGTCCAACCATTGTGGAAGTCAGTGTGGCGATTCCTCAGGGATCTCGAACTAGAAATACCATTTGACACAGCCACCCATTACTGGGTATATACCCAAAGGATTATAAATCATGCTTCTATAAAGACACATGCACACGTATGTTAATTGTGGCACTATTCACAATAGCGAAGACTTGGAACCAACCCAAATGTCCAACAATGATAGACTGGATTAAGAAAATGTGGCACATATACGCCATGGAATACTATGCAGCCATAAAAAATGATGAGTTCATGTCCTTTGTAGGGACATGGATGAAGCTGGAAACCATCATTCTCAGCAAACTATCGCAGGGACAGAAAACCAAAGACCGCATGTTCTCACTCATTGGTGCGAATTGAGCAATGAGAACACTTGGACACAGGAAGGGGAAGATCACACACCGGGGCCTGTTGTGGGGTGGGAGAGAGGGGAAGGATAGCATTAGGAGATATACCTAATGTTAAATGATGAGTTAATGGGTGCAGCACACCAACATGGCACTTGTATAAATATGTAACAAACCTGCACATTGTGCACATGTACCCTAAAACTTAAAGTATAATATAAAAAAGAAAGAAAGAAGTTCAAGAGAAAAAATAAAAAATAAAAAATAAAAATTAAACTGAGCAAATTGGCTTAGTAGAATCCTCCAGCAATTATCCTCCTACCCCCTGCGGAACACCAAAATAAACAAGTATTCATGCAAAAAATACCTTTGTAAGAACCAAAACGTCAGGTGATTGATCACAGTACTTGGTTTTAACATAAATATAAGAAAAAATGCATTCAAGAGGATAGAAAGGACAGTCTCACATTGTCTACATGACCCCTCTCCCAATCTAAAACAGGGCAGCCAGAAGAATCTGTGTGTTGGGAGAGAAAGAGTGCAGTCAGTGTGGAGATTGCATGGGAACCCAGTGCCACCTTGTCACAGTGGAATGCAACACCAGGCAGACTTCTACTGGTGCCCATGGAGGGAGCATTTAGACCAGCCCTGGACCAGAAGGGAATCTGATACTCCAGTAGGAGAAACCCAGGTCCTGGCCCAATTTGCCATTGCCTGACTAAAGTAGCTCAGGGCCTCGAAAATTTGAGTGGTAACCAGGCCATCATGACTACAGTCATTGGGTGCATTCTGCTGGTCTCAGATGCTGTGGAATGGAATTGAGATTCAGCAGGACACCAGCTGCAGTTGGTGTGGAGGACCTGTGTGATCCCTCTCCCAATTCCACATAGTGCAGCTCAGAGAAAGACTCTTTCCACTTGGGCAAAGGAGAAATAAAAGTACAAGGGACTTGGTCTTGCAACTGGGTATCAGCTCAGCCACAGTAAAATAAAGCACCAGATCAAATACTGAAGCTTCCAATTCCAGAATTTTGTTCCTGTACATCATTATTAAACCCACCCTGACGAAGAAGGCAATCTGCTGCCCTGGTGGGATAGAACAAGTTCTGGCTGGATTCGCCATCTACAGACTAAAATGTATTTGGACACTGAATAAACATTAGCAGTAGCCAAACAGTGGCAGCTGTGGGCCTTTGGTGAGGTCCAGTACTAGTGTCGGTCTGGAAAGCCCTGGGCTTCAAGTGCAACCCAGCACGGTGACAGGTGCAGTGGTCATAGGAGTGCCTGTGTCACCTCTCCCCCAACTCCAGGCAGCCCAGCACAGAGAGATTCCATCTGATTAGCAGAAAGAGAGGTAACAGAGCAAGAGACTTTGCTTGGAAAACCAGGGAATTCTCTCTTATCTTTTCCAAGTCCACAAAGGCTGTGTATCTAGGAGAATGCAAGAGTTGCAGCATACCAGGGCTCAGGCTGCCACCTAGTGCTGAAATCGCTACAGTCACCACAGGCTTAGGTCACTTAATACTGTATCCTCTGAATTCTTGGAAAACCATTTCCAGAAGATTCAGTATGAACAAGGCCAGACTGCAAAGACTGAAATAAATACATAACTCTTCAATGCCCAGATACTGAAGAATATCCACAAGCATTAAGAACATCCAGGAGACATGATATCACTAAATGAACTAAATAAGACACTAGAAACCAATCCTGAAGTGCCAGAGATATAGAACCTCTCAGAGGCAGAATTCAAAATAGCTATTTTGTGGAAGCTCAATGAACTGCAAGATAACACATAGAAGGTATTCAGAATTCCATCAGAGATTTTACCATAGAAGCTGAAATCATTTTAAAACATCAAACAGATATCTTAGAGCTGAAAAATTCAATTGACAGAATGAAAAATGCATGTGTGTCAATAACAGAGTTGATCAAACAGAAGAAAGAATTAGTAAGCTCAAAGACGTGATATGTCAAAACACACTACCAGAGGATGAAAAAGAATGAAATATGAGAAGGAAGTGAATTGCTCCTGCAAGACCCAGGAGACAGCTCAAATACTGTGAGTGCCCAAACTGTGAAAGTGAGAAAGGGGGATCATGTACCCCTGAACACATACCCTTACAGAGTAACCTGAAGGTCTAGATCACGGGAGAAGGATTTCACCTTGCCTTGAGCTGAGTAAATTTATAGAGCCGAGTGAAATACAGGGGTAGAGGAGAAGCAGGAAAAGCCCTGTGGGCTCTCTGGGTCCCCAGGGAAGCTATGTCTGACTTGTCTCACAGTGTTCCTTGAGGAGGGCTGCCAGAGGAACTGGGAAAAGATCACAGTAGCCAGAGGAACTGGGAAAAGATCACAGTAGAAGGAAACCTCCAGCTGAACTTTGTAACAGTTCCAACTGAACCCAAAGTCTCCTGGCCAGAACTTGGGGGATGACGTGAAACTCGTGTGCAGACTCAAAGGCAGGGAGCCCTGCTTTTTTCTCAGCCTGAAGGCTAGTAGTAGCCTGGAGCAAGTTCTCAGCCCAGCACGCCCCACTGCCTGGAAACAAACTCAGTGCTATTGGGGCATGGTGGGAGTGAGACTAGCCTTTTTGGTTGCGTGGGAGCTGGGTGAGGCCTCTAACTGCCAGCTTCCCCAACTTCCTTGATAACCTGCATGACAAAGCAGAGGCAGCCATAATCCTCCTGGGAAAATAACTCATTGACTGGGAATCACACCCCCATCTGCCATAGCAGCCACAGCAAGCTCCACCCAAGGAGAGTCTCACCTCAGACACACCTAACCCTGCCCCACTAGATGGTCCTTCCCTACCCACCTTGGTAGCTGAAGACAAAGGGCATATTCTCTTGGGAGCACTAGGGCCCCACCTACCACCTGATCCTCCATATCTCTTTAAAGTGTCACCTCGTGGCAGGAGGCCAACCAGCACAAAACCAGTGCATCAAACAACCACAATTAAAGACCCTCACAGAGTCCATTTAACTCTCCTGCCATCCCCACAGCAGCAGGTGCTGGTATCCCTGGATGAGAGACCTGAAGATAGTAAAGATAGTATACATCACAGGACTCTGGGAAGACAACCCCCAGTACCAACCTGGAGCCTGGTAGCTCTGCTGGGTGGCTAGACCCAGAAGAGAAATAACGATCACTACAGTTCAGCTCTCAGGAAGCCACATCCCCAGGAAAAAGAGGAGAGTACTACATAAAAGGAATACCACATGAGACAAAAAAAATCTGAACAGCAGCCTTGAGTCCCAGATCTTCCCTCAGACATAGACTTAACCAAATGAGAAGAAATTAAAAAAAAAATCTGGAAATATAACAAAACAAGGTTGTTTAACACCCCCAAAAACATTACACTAGCTCACCAGCAATGGATACAAACCAAGAAATCCCTGAATTGCCTGAAAACAATTTAAGAAAGTTGATTATTAAGCTAATCAATGAGGCACCAGAGAAAGGTGACATCCAATTTAAAAAAATAAAAATAAAAAGATACAACAAGGCCAGGTGTGGTAGCTTATAACTGTAATCCCAACACTTTGGGAGGCCAAGGTGGGCAGATCACCTGAGGTCAGGAGTTCGAGACCAGCCTGGCCAACATGGTGAAACCCTGTCTCTACTAAAAATGCAATAAAAAAAAAAAATCGCCAGGCATGGTCGTGGGTGCCTGTAGTCCCAGCTACTCAGGAGGCTGAGGCAAGAGAATTGCTTGAACTGGGGAGCAAAGGTTGCAATGAGCCGAGATCATGTCACTGCACTCTGGCCTGGGTGACAAAGTGAGACTGTGTCAAAAAAAAAAAAAAAAAGATACAACATATGAGGGGAGAAATCTTCAGTGAAATAGATAGCATAAATAAAAATAATGACAACTTCAGGAAATAAAGGACACACTTAGGGAAATGCAAAATGTACTAGAAGGTGTCAGCAATAAAATAGAACAAGCAGAGGAAGGAACTTCGGAGCTCAAAGACAAGGTTTTGCTTTAATTCAATCCAACAAGGACAAAGAAGAAAAATTTTTAAATGAACAAAGCTTCCAAGAAGTTTGGGATTATCTTAAACAACTCAACCTAAGAATAATTGGAGTTCCTCAGGAAGAAGAGAAACCTAAAAGTTTGGAAAACATATTTGGGGGAATATTCAAGTAAAACATCCCTGGCATTGCTACAGACCTAGACATCCAAATACAAGAAGCTCAAAGAACACCTGGGAAATTCATCTCAAAAAGATCATTGCCTAGGCAAATTGTCCTCAGGTTATCTGAGGTCAAGACAAAGGTAAGAATCTTAAGAGTTGTGAGGCAAAAGTACAAGGTAACCTATAAAGGAAAACAGATTAACAGAAAATTTCTCAGCAGAAACTCTACGAGCTAGAAGGAATTGGGGCCCTATCTTCAGCCTCATTAAACAAAACAATTACAAGCCAAGAATTTTGTATCCAGCAAAACTAAGATTCATAATTGAAGAAAAGACACAGTGTTTTTTAGACAAACAAAAGCTGAGAGAATTTGCCAATACCAAGACAGCACTACAAGAACTACTAAGGGGAGACTGAAATCTTGAAACAATCCTGGAAACACATCAAAACAAAACCACTTTAAAGCATAAATCTCACAGAACCCATAAAATTAAAATACAATATAAAAAAGGTATACAGGCAACAAATAATACAATGAATGGAATAGTATCTCACATCTCAATACTAACATTGAATATAAATGGCCTAAATGTTCCACTTCAAAGATACAGAATTGCAGAATGAATAAGAATTCACCAAGCAAGTATCTGCTGCCTTCAAGAGACTCACCTAACACATAAGGACTCACATAAACTTAAGGTAAAGGCATGGAAAAAGATATTCTATGCAAATAGACACCAAAAGCAAGCAGGTGTAGCTATTCTTGTAACTGAGAAAACAAACTTTAAATCAAGAGCAGTTTAAAAAGACAAACAGGGACATTACATAATAATAAAAGGCCTTGACCAACAGGGAAATATAACAATCCTAAATACATATGCACCTAACACTGGATCTTCCACATTTATAAAACAATTACTACCAGACCTTAAAAATGAGATAGATAGCAAGACGATAATAGTGGGGGATTTCAAAAGTCCACTGACAGCACTAGACAGGTCATCAAGACAGAGGTCAGCGGGGGGGGAGCCAAGGTGGCCAAATAGGAACAGCTCCAGTCTACATCTCCCAGTGTGAGCAATGCAGAAGACAGGTGATTTCTGCATTTCCATCTGAGGTACCGGGTTCATCTCACTAGGGAGTGCCAGACAGTGGGTGCAGGACAGTGGGTGCAGCACACCGGGCACGAGCTAAAGCAGGGCGAGGCATTGCCTCACTCGGGAAGCACAATGGGTCAGGGAGATCCCTTTCCTACTCAAAGAAAGGGGTGACAGATGGCACCTGGAAAATCAGGTCACTCCCACCCTAATACTGCACTTTTCCAACTGGCTTAAAAAATGGGACACCAAGAGATTATATCCTGCACCTGGCTTGGAGGGTACTATGCCCACGGAGTCTCGCTGATTGCTAGCACAGCAGTCTGAGATCAAACTGCAAGGCAGCAGCGAGGCTGGGGGAGGGGCGCCTGCCATTGCCCAGGCTTGATTAGGTAAACAAAGCAGCTGGGAAGCTCGAAATGGGTGGAGCCTGCCACAGCTCAAGGAGGCCTGCCTGCCTCTGTAGGCTCCACCTCTGGGGGCAGGGCACAGACAAAGAAAAATACAGCAGTAACCTCTGCAGACTTAAATGTCCCAGTCTGACAGCTTTGAAGAGAGTAGTGGTTCTCCCAGCACGCAGCCGGAGATCTGAGGACTGGCAGACGGCCTGCTCAAGTGGGACCCTAACCCCCGAGCAGCCTAACTGGGAGGTACCCCCCAGTAGGGGCAGACTGACACCTCACACAGCTGAGTACCCCTCTGAGACAAAACTTCCAGAGGAATGATCAGGCAGCAGCATTTGCAGATCACCAATATCCACTGTTCTACAGCCACTGCTGTTCTGCAGCCACTGCTGCTGATACCCAGGCAAACAGGGTCTGGAGTGGACCTGTAGCAAACTCCAACAGGCCTCAGGGTCCTGTCTGTTAGAAGGAAAACTAACAAACAGAAAGGGCATCCCCACCAAAAACCCATCTGTACGTCAGCATCATCAAAGACCAAAAGTAGATAAAACCACAAAGATGGGGAAAAAACAGAGCAGAAAAACTGGAAACTCTAAAAAGCAGAGTGCCTCTCCTCCTCCAAAGGAATGCAGCTCCTCACCAGCAATGGAACAAACCTGGACGGAGAATGACTTTGACAAGCTGAGAGAAGGCTTCAGACGATCAAACTACTCCGAGCTACAGGAGGAAATTCAAACCAATGGCAAAGAAGTTAAAAACTTTGAAAAAAAAATTAGACAAATGGATACCTAGAATCACCAATGCAGAGAAGTCCTTCAAGGAGCGGATGGAGCTGAAAGCCAAGACTCGAGAACTACATGAACAATGCAGAAGACTCAGGAGCCGATGCGATCACTGGAAGAAAGGGTATCAACGATGGAAGATGAAATGAATGAAATGAAGTGAGAAGGGAAGTTTAGAGAAAAAAGAATAAAAAGAAATGAACAAAGCCTCCAAGAAATATGGGACTATGTGAAAAGACCAAATCTATGTCTGATTGGTGTACCTGAAAGTGACGGGGAGAATGGAACCAAGTTGGAAAACACTCTGCAGGATATTATCCAGGAGAACTTCCCCAATCTAGCAAGGCAGGCCAACATTCAGATTCAGGAAATACAGACAATGCCACAAAGATACTCCTTGAGAAGAGAAACTCCAAGACACATAATTGTCAGATTCATCAAAGTTGAAATGAAGGAAAAAATGTTAAGGGCAGCCAGACAGAAAAGTCGGGTTACCCACAAGGGGAAGCCCATCAGACTAACAGTGGATCTCTCAGCAGAAACTCTACAAGCCAGAAGAGAGTGGGGGCCAATATTCAACATTCTTAAAGAAAATAATTTTCAACCCAGAATTTCATATCCAGCCAAACTAAGTTTCATAAGTGAAGGAAAAATAAAATACTTTACAGACAAGCAAATGCTGAGAGATTTTGTCACCACCAGGCCTGCCCTAAAAGAGCTCCTGAAGGAAGCACTAAACATGGAAAGGAACATCCGGTACCACCCACTGCAAAAACATGCCAAATTGTATAGACCATCAAGGCTAGGCAGAAACTGCATCAACTAACGAGCAAAATAACCAGCTAACATCATAAAGACAGAATCAAATTCACAAATAACTATATTAACTTTAAATGTAAATGGGCTAAATGCTCCAATTAAAAGACACTGACTAGCAAATTGGATAAAGAGTCAAGACCCATCAGTGTGCTGTATTCACGAAACCCATCTCACATGCAGAGATACACATAGGCTCAAAATAAAGGGATGGAGGAAGATCTACCAAGCAAATGGAAAACAAAAAAGGGCAGAGGTTGCAATCCTAGTCTCTGATAAAACAGACTTTAAACCAACAAAGATCAAAAGAGACAAAGAAGACCATTACATAATAGAAAAGGGATCAATTCAACAAGAAGAGCTAACTATCCTAAATACATATGCACCCAATACAGGAGCACCCAGATTCATAAAGCAAGTCCTTAGTGACCTACAAAGAGACTTAGAATCCCACACAATAATAATGGGAGACTTTAACACCCCACTGTCAACATTAGACAGATCAATGAGACAGAAAGTTAACAAGGATATCCAGGAATTCAACTCAGCTGTGCACCAAGTGCACCTAATAGACACCTACAGAACTCTCCACCCCAAATCAACAGAATATACATTCTTTTCAGCACCACATCACACCTGTTCCAAAATTGACCACATAGTTGGAAGTAAAGCAATCCTCAGCAAATGCAAAATAAGAGACATTATAACAAACTGTCTCTGAGACCACAGTGCAATCAAACTAGAACTCAGGATTAAGAAACGCTCTCAAAACCGTTCAACTACATGTAAACTGAACAACCTGCTCCTGAATGACTACTGTGTAGATAACAAAATGAAGGCAGAAATAAAGATGTTCTTTGAAACCAATGAGAACAAAGACACAACACACCAGAATCTCTGGGACACATTTAAAGCAGTGTGTAGAGAGAAATTTATAGCACTAAATGCCCACAAGAGAAAGGAGGAAGGATCCAAAATTGACACCCTAATATCACAATTAAAAGAAGTAGAAAAGCAAGAGCAAACACATTCAAAAGCTGGCAGAAGGCAAGAAATACCTAAAATCAGAGCAGAACTGAAGCAAATAGAGACAAAAAAAAATCCCTTCAAAAAATTAATGAATCCAGGAGCTGTTTTTTTGAAAAGATCAACAAAATTGATAGACCGCTAGCAAGACTAGTAAAGAAGAAAAGAGAGAAGAATCAAATAGATGCAATAAAAAATGACAAAGGGGATATCACCACCGATCCCACAGAAATACAAACTACCATCAGAGAATACTATGAACACCTCTATGCAAATAAACTGGAAAATCTAGAAGAAATGGATAAATTCCTCGACACATACACCCTCCCAAGACTAAACCAGGAAGAAGTTGAATCTCTGAATAGACCAATAACAGGCTCTGAAATTGTGGCAATAATCAATAGCTTACCAACCAAAAAAAGTCCAGGACCAGATGGATTCACAGCCGAATTCTACCAGGGGTACAAGAAGGAGCTGGTACCATTCCTTCTGAAACTATTCCCATCAATAGAAAAACAGGGAATCCTCCCTAACTCATTTTATAAGGCCAGCATCATCCTGATACCAAAGCCGGGCAGAGACACAACCAAAAAAGAGAATTGTAGACCAATATCCTTGATGAACACTGATGCAAAAATCCTCAATAAAATACTGGCAAAACGAATCCAGCAGCACATCAAAAAGCTTATCCACCATGATCAAGTGGGCTTCATCCCTGGGATGCAAGGCTGTCAACATACGCAAATTAATAAATGTAATCCAGCATATAAACAGAACCAAAGACAAAAACCACATGATTATCTCAATAGATGCAGAAAAGGCCTTTGACAAAATTCAACACCTCTTCATGCTAAAAACTCTCAATAAATTAGGTATGACGGGACATATCTCAAAATAATAAGAGCTATCTATGACAAACCCACAGCCAGTATCATACTGAATGGGCAAAAACTGGAAGCATTCCCTTTGAAAACTGGCACAAGACAGGGATGCCCTCTCTCACCACTCCTATTCAACTAGTGTTGGAAGTTCTGGCCAGAACAATGAGGCAGGAGAAGGAAATAAAGGGCATTCATTTAGGAAAAGAGGAAGTCAAATTGTCCCTGTTTGCAGATCACATCACTGTATATCTAGAAAATCCCATTGTCTCAGCCCAAAATCTCCTTAAGCCGATAAGCAACTTCAGCAAAGTCTCAGGGTACAAAATCAATGTACAAAAATCACAAGCATTCTTATACACCAATAACAGACAAACAGAGCCAAATCATGAGTGAACTCCCATTCACAATTGCTTCAAAGAGAATAAAATACCTAGGAATCCAACTTACAAGGGATGTGAAGGACCTCTTCAAGGAGAACTACAAACCACTGCTCAATGAAATAAAAGAGGATACAAACAAATGGAAGAACATTCCATGCTCATGGGTAGGAAGAATCAATATCGTGAAAATGGCCTTAATGCCCAAGGTAATTTATAGATTCAATGCCATCCCCATCAAGCTACCAATGACTTTCTTCATAGAATTGGAAAAAACTACTTTAAAGTTCATATGGAACCAAAAAAGAGCCTGCATCACCAAGTCAATCCTAAGCCAAAAGAACAAAGCCGGAGGCATCATGCTACCTGACTTCAAACTATACTACAAGGCTACAGTAACCAAAACAGCATGGTACTGGTACCAAAACAGAGATATAGACCAATGAAACAGAACAGAGCCCCCAGAAATAATGCCGCATATCTACAACTATCTGATCTTTGACAACATTGTATCCAACAGCTGCAGAATGTACATTCTATTCATCAGCACGTGGAAAATTCTATGTAATAGGCTATATGATAGGCCAAAAAGAAGTCTCAACAAATTCTTAAAAATTGAAATTACATCAAGTACTCTCTCAGACTAGAGTGGAATAAAACTAGAAATCAACTCCAAAAGAAATCTTCAAAACCATGAAAATACATGGAAATCAAATAACCTGCTCCTGAATGATCACTGGGTAAACAATGAAATCAAGATGAAAATTAAAATATTCTGTGAACTGAATGATAATAGTGAAAGAACCTATAAATTTCTGGGATACAGCAAAAGTGATGCTAAGAGGAAAGCTGATAGCGTTAACCTACGTCAAAAAGTGTGAAAGAGCACAAATAGACAATGTTCCTAATGTCACACCTCAAGGAACTAGAGAAACAAAAACAAACCAAAACCAAACACAGCAGAAGAAAAGAAATAACCAAGATCAGAGCGGAATGAAATGTAATTGAATTAAACAAAACATTACAAAAGAAAAATGAAACAAAAAGCTGGTTCTTTTAAAAGATAAATAAAATTGATAAACCACTGGCAACATTAACCCAGAAAAGAAGAGAGAATATCCAAATAAGCTCAATTAGAAATGAAATGGGGGATATTACAACCGACACCACAGAAATACAAAAGATCATTCAAGGCTGCTATGAACTTGCGCATAAACTAGAAAACCTAGAGGAGATGAATAAATGCCTGAAAAGATACAAATCTTGTAGCTTAAATCAGGAAGAATTAGAAACCCTGAACAG
This sequence comes from Homo sapiens, assembly GCF_000001405.40. Classification (NCBI taxonomy): domain Eukaryota; kingdom Metazoa; phylum Chordata; class Mammalia; order Primates; family Hominidae; genus Homo; species Homo sapiens. Next base: position 57,147,252 of record NC_000023.11, on the reverse strand, counting down.
ACCAATAACAAGCAGCAAGATTGAAATGGCAATTTAAAAATTACCAACAAGAAAAAAAGTTCAGGATGGGACAAATTCACAGCTGAATTCTATCAGACATTGAAAGAACATAGGTACAAATCCTATTGGCACTATTCCACAAGATAAAGAGAGAATCCTTCCTAAATCATTCTGTGAAGTGAGTATCACCCTAACACCAAAACCGGGAAAAGACATAACCAAGAAAGGAAACTACAGACCAATATCCCTGACTAATATAGATACAAAAATCCTTAACAAAATGCTAGCTAACCAAGTCCAGCAGCATATCAAAAACATAATCCACCATGATCAAGTGGGCTTCATACTAGGGAATCAGGGATGGTTTAGCATAAGCAAGTCAATAAATGTGATACACCCCATAAACAGAATTAAATACAAAAATCACCTGATTGTCTCAATAGATGAAGAAAAAGCATTTGACAAAAGCCAGCAGCACTTTATGATTGAAATCCTCAGCAAAATCAGCATAGAAGAGACATACCTGAATGTAATAAAAGCCATCTATGGCAAACACACAGCCAACATTATACTGAATGGAGAAAAGTTGAAAGCATTTCCTCTGAGAACTGGAACAAGACAAGGATGCCCACTCTCACCACTTCTGTTCAACATAGTACTGGAAGTCCTAGCAAGAGCAATCAGACAAGACAAAGAAATAAATGCTGTCCATATTGGTAAAGAGGAAGTCAAACTGCCACTATTTGCTGATGATATGATCAGATACCTAGAAAACCCTAAAGACTTTCAAAAAGCTCCAAGAACTGATAAATGAATTCAGCAAAGTTTCAGGATACAAAATTAATGTACACAAATCAGTAGCTCTGCTATACACCAACAGTGACCAAGCTGAGAATCAAATCAAGAACTCAATCCCTTTCACAATTGCCACAAAGTAAATAAAATACTTACAAATATACATAACTCAGAGGGTGAAAGACCTCTACAAGGAAAACTACAAAACACTGCTGAAAAAAGTCACAGATAACACAAACAAATGGAAATACATCCCATCCTCATGGATGGGGAAAATCAATATTGTGAAAAAGACCATACTGTTAAAAGCAACCTACAAATGTAATGCAATTCTCATCAAAATGACACCATCATTCTTCACAGAACTAGAAAAAACAACCCTAAAATTCATATGGAACCAAAAAAAGAGCCTGCATAACCAAAGGAGGACTAAGCAAAAAAAGAAAAAAAAAAATTTGGAGGCATCACATTACCCAACTTCAAACTATACTATAAGGCCATAGTCACCAAAACAGCATGATACTGGTATAAAAACAGGCACATAGACCAATGGAACAGAACAGAGAACCCAGAAATAAACCTAAATGCCTACAGCCAACTGAACTTCAACAAAGCAAACAAAAACATAAAGTGGGAAAAGGACAGCCTATTCAACAAATGGTGCTGGCATAATTGGCAAGCCACATGTAGGAGAATGAAACTAGATCCTCATCTCTCACTTTATACAAAAATCAAGTCAAGGTGTATCAAGGACTTAAATCCAAGACCTGAAAGTGTAAAAATTATAGAAGACAACATTGGAGAAATCCTTCTAGACATTGGCTTAGGCAAAGACTTCATGACCAAGAACCCAAAAGCGAATGCAACTAAAACAAAAATAAATAAGTGGGACTTAATTAAACTAAAATGCTTCTGCACAACAAAAGGAACAGTCATCAGAGTAAACAGACAATGCACAGATTGGGAGAAAATCTTTACAATCTATCCATCCAACAGAGGACTAATATCCGGAATCTCCTGGGAACTCAAACAAATTAGCAAGAAAAAACAAATAACCTCATCAAAAAGCGGGGTAAGGACATAAATACACAATTCTCAAAAGAAGATATACAAATGGCCAACAAACATAAAAAATGATCAACATCACCAATGATCAGGGAAATGTTAATCAAAACCACAATGTAATACCACCTTACCCCCCCCCAAAAGAATGATCATAATCAAAAAACAAAAACTAATAGATGCTGGTATGGATGTGGTGAAAAGGGAACACTTCTACACTGCTGGTGGGAATGTAAACTAGTACAACCACTAGAAAAAACAGTGTGGAGATTCCTTAGGGAACTAAAAGTAGAACTAACATTTGATCCAGCAATCCCACTACCCACAGAAAAAGTCATTATACAAAAAAGATATCTGCACATGCATGTTTATAGCAGCACAATTCACAATTGCAAAAATGTGGAACCAGCCCAAATGTTCATCAATCAATGAGTGGATAAAGAAATTGTGGTGTGTGTGTGTGTGTGTGTGTATGCACACACATACATATACATACATATATATATATATATAGTGGAATACTACTCAGTCATAAAAAGGAATGAATTAACGGCATTTGCAGCAACCTGAATGGAATTGGAGACTATCATTCTAAGTGAAGTAACTCGGGAATAAAAAACCAAACATTGTATGTTCTCACTCATAAGTGGGAGCTAAGCTCTGAGGATATAAAGGCAGAAGAATGATACAACGGACTTTGGGAACACTTGGAAAGGATGAGAGGGAGGGCTGAGGGATAAACGACTGAAAATTGGGTTCAGTGTAAACTGCTCGGGTGATACGTGCACCAAAATCTCACAAATCACCAATAAAGAACTTACTCATGTAACCAAATACCACCTGTTCCACCAAAAACCAATGGAAATTTTAAAAATTATTAAAAAATAAAAAAGAATGAAGTGTGCTTACGAGATCCAGAAAATTGCCTCAAGTAGGGGAAAAAAAAACCCACAGAGTTACTTGCTTTACAGAGGATGTAGAGAGATCAGGGTAGAATGTTTATTCAAATAAATAATAACAAAAAGTGTTTCAAACCTTGAGAAAAAATATAAATATCCAAATACAAGAATGTTAAAGAACACCAAGAAGACTCAAACTAAGTAAGATGACTGCAAGGCATATAATAATCAAGCTCACAAAAGTCAAGGACAAATAAAGGATCCTAAAGTCGGCAAAAGAAAAAACCAAATAACATGTAAAGGACCTCTGACACATCTGTCAGCAGACTTCTTAGCAGAAACCTTGCAAGCCAGTAAAGAACAGGATGACATATTGAAAGTGCAGAAGGAAAAAACTGAAAGCTGAGAATACTGCCAGCAAAGTTATCTTTAACTTGAGAATATCCAGCAAAGTGATCCTTAAAACATGAAGTACAGATAGACTTTCACAGAGAAAAGCTGATGAAATTCATCAACAGACCTGTCTTTCAAGTAATACTGTGTTCTTCAATCTGAAAGGAAATGACACAAAAAGGCAAGAAATCATCTGGAGATCTAAAACTCACTGATAAATGTAGACACATAGATAAATTTGGAATATTATAGTACTGTACTTGTATATAAACCACTTATATCTTTACTGTGAAGACTAAAAGACAAAGCTATCAAAAATAATAACAGGCTAGGCATGGTAGTTCATGCCTATAATCCCAGCATTTTGGGAAACCAAGATGGGTCAATCACCTGAGATCAGGAGTTCAAGACCAGCCCAGGCAACATGGAGAAACCCCCTGTCTACCAAAAATACAAAGAAATAGCTTAGCATGGTGGTGCATTCCTATGGTTCTAGCTACTCAGGAGGCTTAGGTAAAAGGATCACTTGAGCCTGGGGGGCAGAGGTTGCAGTGAACCAAGATTATGTCACTGTACTCCAACTTGGGTGATAGAGTGAGATCCTATCTCAATAATAATAATAATAATACGAGCAATTTTAAGAGACAGACAATATAAAAAGATATATAGAAACAACAAAAAGTCGTAAGGGGGGATGGAGTTAAAGTGTAGCATTTTTTCAGTTTTCTCTTTTTTTCTCCACCATCGTCCGAGTTAAGTTGTCTTTAGTTTAAAGCAATTCGTTAGAATAGTCTTGCAAGTCTCCTCGTATCCATGAAGCAAAAGCCTGTAACAAATATACAAAAAATATAAAGCAAGGAATTAAGATATACTACCAGAAAAAAATCACTTATACACAAAGAAGGACAGAAATAAAGAAAAAAAGGACTTAGAAAACAAGCAGGAAGCAAATAACACAATGAAAGTTGTAAGTCCTTACCTATCCGTAATAATATTGGCAGTAAATGGAATAAATGATCTAATCAAAAGACCTAGAGTGGCTGAATGAATCAAAAAATAAGACCCAAAGTAGATTCTGTGTACAAGAAACTAATTTTACTGATAAAGACATACAACAGACCTAAAATTAAAGAATGGAAAAAAGATATTCTATGCAAATGGAAACCAAAATAGAGCAGGAATAACTATACTTATATCAGACAAAGTAGATGTCAAGCCAAAAACTGTAAAAAGAAACAAAGAAGGTCATTATATAATGATAAAGGGGTCAATACAGCAGAGGATATAATAATTGTAAATATATATGCATCCAGCACCAGTGCACAGAGATATATTTAAAAATATTAGTACAACTAAAGAGAGAGGTAGATCCCAAAACGATAACAAGTGTGGACTATAACACCCCACTTTCAACATGGTAAAGATCATCTAGACAAAAAAATTAACAAAGAAATATCAGACTTAATCTGCACCATAAACTTGGAGGACCTCTTACACACTTACAAAACATTTCACCCAAAAGGAGCAGAATACACATTCTTCTCCTCAGCACATGGAACATTCTCCAAGACAGACCATATGTTAGGCCACAGAATAAATCTCAACAAATTTTTAAAATATTAAAATTATATCAAGTATCTTTTCTAACTACAATGGAATAAAACAATAGAAATAAATAACCAGAATTTGAAAACTATACAAATACATGAATATTAAACAACATGTTCCTGAATGACCAATGGGTCAAGGAAGAAATTAAGAAGGAAATTTTTAAAGTTTCTTGAAACAAATGAAAATGAAAGCACAACATACCAAAACCTACAGAACACAGCAAAAGCAATACTAAGAGGAAAGACTGTAGCAATAAATGCCTAAGTCAAAAAAGCATAAAAACTTCAAATAAACAACCTAAAAATGCACCTTAAAGAAGTAGAAAATTAAGAACAAATCAAACCTTGAGTTAGTAGAAGGAAAGAAATAATAAAAATCAGAGCAGAAATAAAATTGAAACTGAAAGACAATGCAAAAGATCAATTAAACAAAAAGCTGGCTTTTTGAAAACATGACAAAAATCTACAAACCTTCAGCTAGACTAAGAGAAGACTCAAATAAATAAAATGACAGATGAAAAATTAGACCGGGGTGTGGGGGGCAAGGGGAGGGAGAGCATTAAGACAAATAGCTAATGCATGTGGAACTTAAAACCTAGATGATGGGTTGACAGGTGCAGCAAACCACCATGACACACATATACCTATGTAACAAACCTACACTTTCTTCAGTTGTATCCTAGAACTTAAAGTAACATTTAAAAAAAAGAAAAAGAAAAATGAGACATTATAATAACACAGAAAATAAAAAAATTGTTACAGATGATTATGAGCAGTGCCAATAAATTTAAAAACCTAGAAGAAATGGGTAAATTCCTAGACACATACAACCTACCAAGATTGAACCATAAAGAAATAGAAAACCTGAACGGACCAATAATAGGTAATGAGATAGCAATGGTAATAAAATATCTCCCATCAATGAAAAGCCCATGATCTTGTGGCTGCACTGCTGAATTCTACCAAAAATTTAAGGAAGAACTAATACAAATCCTACTCAAACCATTCCAAAAAATCAAATAGGAGGGAATGCTTCCAAACTCATTCTTGGAAGGCCAGCCTTATTCAGATGTCATAACCAAAGACACCCCAAAAAAGAACATTATACGCCAATATTACCAATAAATATACATGCAAAAATCCTCAACAAAATACTAGCAAACTGAATCCAACAACAAATTTCAAAGATCATTCACATGATCAAGTAGGATTAATCTTAGGGATGCAATGATGGTTCAACATACACAAATCAATAAACGTGATATATCACATAAATAGAATAAAGTACCAAAACCATATGGGCATTTCAATAGATGCCAAAAAAAATTCAATGAAATTTAACATCGTTTCATGAAAAAAACTCTCAACAAAATGGATATAGAAGGAGCATATCTCAAAAGAATAAAGGTCATATATGACAAACACAGCTAGCATCATATGAAATGGGAAAAAACCTGAAAGCCTTTTGTCTATGACCTGGAACAAGACAAAATGACTGCTTTTACCACACACAAAAAAATTAGTTTCATGGGGTACATGTGTGGGCTTTTTACATAAATACACTGCATAATGCTGGGGTTTGGGCTTCTACTGAACCCATCACCCAAATAGCTAACATAGTACTCGATAGGCAGTTTTTCAATCATTCCTCTCTTCCTCCCTCTTTTTGGAAATCCTAGTGTCTATTATTTACATCTTTATGCCCATATGCACCCATTTTTTGCCTCCCGTTTATAAGTGAGAACATGCAGCATTTGATTTTCTGTTTCTGCATTCATTCACGTAGGATAATAGCCTTCAGCTGCATCGCTGATGCTGAAAAGGGCATGATTTTATTTTCTGTGGCTGTGTAGTATTCCATGGTGCTTTTACCACTTTTTTTTTTTTTTTTTTTTGAGACGGGGTCTCGCTCTGTTGCCCAGGCTGGATGGAGTGCAGTGGCAGGAGCTCGGCTCACTGCAAGCTCTGCTTCCCGGGTTCACGCCATTCTCCTGCCTCAGCCTCCTGAGTAGCTGGGACTACAGGCACCTGCCACCACGCCAGGTTAATTTTTCTATTTTTTTTTTTTTTTTTTTTGGTAGAGATGGGGTTTCACTGTGTTAGCCAGCTTTCACCACTTTTATTCAACATAGTACTGGAAATTCTAACAAGAGCAATTAGGTAAGAGAAAGAAACAACACCCAAATTGGGAAGGAAGAAGTTAAATTCTCTTTATTTGCAGATAATATGATTTTATATTTAGAAAAAATCTAAAGATCCCACCAAAAACGAACTGTAACTAAGAAACTGATTTTATTTATAAAACCAACATACAAAAATCAGTAGCACAAATGCCAACTGTGTAAAAAAAGAAATCAAGAAAGCAATCCCTTTTACAATGACTACAAAATATAAAATACCTAGAAATAAACTAAACCAAAGAAATGAAAGATGTCTGCAATAAAAATTATAAAACATTGATACAAAATAAAGACAACACAAAAATAGAAAAGTATCCATGTTCATGAGTTGGACTAATTAATATTGTTAAAATGTCCATACTACTCCAAGTTATCTACATATACATAAACTCAATCTCTGTCAAAACACCAAAGACATTCTTTATGGAAACAGAAAATAAACAGTCCTAAAATTCATATGGAGCTACAGAAGGATCAGAATGGCCAAAGCAATCCTGAAGAAAAAGAACTAAGCTGGGGCATCAAATTACCTGACTTCAAATTATACTATAAACCTATGGGGACAGGCGTGGTGGCTCACACTTGTAATCCCAGCACTTTGGGAGGCCAAGGCGGGCGGATCACGAGGTCAGGAGATCGAGACCATCCTGGCTAACATGCTGAAACCCCGTCTCTACTAAAAATACAAAAAAATTAGCCCAGTGTGGTGGCGGGCACCTGTGGTTCCAGCTACTCGGGAGGCTGAGGCAGGAGAATGGCGTGAACCCAGGAGAAGGAGCTCGCAGTGAGCCAAGATTGCACCACTGCACTCCAGCTGAGCAAGACTCCGTCTCAAAAAACAAACAAACAAACAAGCAAACAAAAAACCTGTGGTAACCAAAACAGCATGGTACTGGCATATGAATAGACACCACAAAATAGAGAACTCATAAATAAATCTATGCATTTATAGTCAACTTATTTTCAAAAAAGGAGCCAAGAACACACACTATAGAAAGGACACTCTCTGTAATAAATGTTGTTGGGAAAACTGGGTATCCATACACAGAAGAATGAAACTAGACATATCTATCTCTCACCATATACAACACTCAAATCAAAATGGATTAAAGACATAAATCTAAGACCTGAAATTGTGAAGCTACTAGAAGAAAACTTTGGGAAAAAGCTTCAGGACATTGGTCTGAGCAACGATTTCTTGAGTAAGACCTCAAAGCACAGGCAAAGGAAAAATGGGCAAGTGAAATCACATCAGCTAAAAAGCTTCTGCACAGCAAAGGAAACAATCATAAAATGAAGAGACAACCTAGGTAACAAGAGAAAATATTTACAAAGTATTCAACTGACGGGATTAATAATAAAAATATGTAAGAAATTCCAACAACTCAATAGTAAAAAATCAAATAATCTGATTTAAAAATGGGCAAAAGAGCTGAGTAGACATTTCTCAAACTAAGACGCACAAATGGACAACAGATATATAAAAAGTATTCTAAATCGCTAATCATCAGGTAATTGTATATCAAAATAGCAATGAGATATCATCTTACCCCAGTTAAAATGGCTATTATCAAAAAGACAGAAAATAAAAACTGCTGGTAAGGAAGTGAAGAAAGAGGTATCCTTGTAAATTGCTCGTGGGGATATAAATTAGCATAGCCATTATGAAAAACAGCGTGGTAGTTCCTCCAAAAACTAAAACTACAAATTCCCTAAGATCCAGCAATCTCACTATTGGGTATATATCCAAAAGAAAGGAAATCAGCATATCAACGAGCTATCTGCACTCACATATTTATTTGCAGCACTGATCACAATAGACAAGATATGGAATCAACTTAACTGTCCATCAATAAATAAATGGATAAAAAATGTGATATATATATATATATAATAAAATATTATTCCACCATAGATTAAGATTAACCTAACACTTATTTAACTTTTCAGATGTTAGCCAACATATTGTTTTTATTGTACACCCATTTGGTTTGTTGTCCTACAACATGTAACTGAAAACATCTTACTTGATATAGCAATCTAATATTGTTGATTATTTTCAGAATTATAGGATACTGTGAAAAACTGTAACTCACAAAAAAACACACAAAAATTAAAAATGACTTCACTTTATGCGAAATAGATAAGGTTTGTTAAGTATTGTAATCACATTCAAAAATAACTCTTTAAGCTTAAAATAAGCCAATACTTCTTCAAAGCAAGGTCTCCAAATCTAAAATATGCCTACATAATGCTTTGGAGAAACACTTAATGTATGTATTCGTGAGTGTGTATGCATATACAGAGAATTATATCTGTGAGTTATGTGATTGGATAGAGGTGTGTATTTGGAATTAAGAATCTATGGATAGGAATTTCTGGAACTGTACACAGAATTCATAGTTTTATACATGTGCATGTGCTTGGAGATATATATATATATACATACATACACATTTGCATATGGTCGTAAAGGATTCATGTCTCCATAAATGTATACACATGGTATTTCTATGTTAATTTGTATGTTTCCAAAGAATGTGAGAAATGTCTGAAAGATGGAAAACAGATGGAGCAAGAGAGCTGAGGGGAGGGGCTAGAGAGCTTGAAGGATCCAGCCAGCAGAGACAGGAAGAGAGAAAAGGCCACCTACAGGTTCCACTGTTGTGAATTGTGGAAAGGGAAGGAGGAGCCCAGGAGGGGCCCCAAGAAAAGAAAGGCAGATCTGCTCTGTGATTAGAATGGAAGACATCACTACTAAGAGGAAACTAACACTGTAGTCTTGTGCAGAAAAAGGGCAGAGACTACAGCCACTGCATCAGGGACTGGTGGCAGCCCAACGTGGCTGAGGGGTGGCCGCCACCAACAGGGAGGTAGACGGCCAGCGAGCGAAGCGCTGGGGACACCGCTGCAGTGCTCTTTGCCTGTCTCGCCGCGCTCCTACACACGCTCCTCATCTATGGATCCTACCCTCCCCGCTCTTGCAAGCAGTCACTCAGCGAGTCGCCTGTTGACCCTCCTTCGCCACAGGCTCACAGCAGAGGCAGCATCGAGGTATCCGATTTCGGCACGTGAGGCCCGCGATCCCCGGCGGTGGACGCCAGGCAGGGCAAGGCCATTAGTGGGCGCCAGAATGGAGAGGGGGATGGGAAGGAATCCAGCAGGAGACATGGGGTGGAGTTGGGCGCCAGGCAAGGGTGGGGTGGGGGAGTGCGGTGGACGACAGGGAAAGGGGGTAGGAATAGGAGCCAGACAAGGATTTGAAGGTGAGCGCCAGGAAGCAAGGGAGGTAGGTAACAGGGAAGTGGTTAGGATAGGCAGTGGGGGTTACAGACAGCACCAGAGGCACTCAGGGCAGGAGGGTAGTGGGTGCTGGTCAAGGCCGCTTTGCAGGGGATTGGGAGTGGATGCTAGTGGCAGTAAAGGGTAAAGGGAGGGCAGTGGGCTCTGAGCTAGGAGGAGGTGGCCCAGCCACTTCTGCAGAGTTCCTAACCCCAGACAGCTCTACTGCACCACCCCAGCCCTTCCCCACAGCCCAAAGGAACTTAAGAGGGAGAGCACTGCGGGCATGCAGCCAGGATTTCCAGCATTGCTTCCAGGCTCCTAGGGGAAACTTAGGCACTAGCGCAGACTACATCCAGACATGGCTATAGGGAAAAGTTTGCCTTGTGGCACACTGGGTGTGTCTCTCTATCCTCTCTCCTCCCCCAGCAGGCATGAAGACCCCCAACGCACAGGAAGCCGAAGGGCAACAAACCAGGGCAGCTGCAGGACGGGCCACTGGGTCTGCAAACATGACAAAGAAAAAAGTCTCCCAAAAGAAGCAGAGAGGCCGACCTTCATCCCAGCCCCGCAGGAACATCGTGGGCTGCAGAATTTCTCATGGATGGAAGGAAGGAGATGAGCCCATCACGCAGTGGAAAGGAACCGTTCTGGATCAGGTGCCTATAAATCCCTCTCTTTATCTGGTGAAATATGATGGAATTGACTGTGTCTATGGACTGGAACTTCACAGAGATGAAAGGGTTTTGTCTCTTAAAATTCTTTCTGACAGGGTGGCATCATCTCACATTAGTGATGCCAACCTTGCAAATACCATAATTGGCAAAGCAGTGGAACACATGTTTGAGGGAGAGCATGGTTCTAAGGATGAATGGAGGGGGATGGTCTTAGCTCAAGCACCTATCATGAAAGCCTGGTTTTATATTACCTATGAGAAAGATCCTGTCTTGTACATGTACCAGCTTCTAGATGATTATAAGGAAGGTGACCTCCGCATCATGCCAGAATCCAGTGAGTCTCCTCCAACAGAGAGGGAGCCAGGAGGAGTTGTAGATGGCCTAATAGGTAAGCATGTGGAATATACCAAAGAAGATGGCTCCAAAAGGATCGGCATGGTCATTCACCAAGTGGAAACCAAACCCTCTGTGTATTTCATCAAGTTTGATGATGATTTCCATATCTATGTCTACGATTTGGTGAAAAAGTCCTAACTGTTAGGGTAAAATTTGGCACATGTGTGGAAACAAATGTATAATTTGTAGACATGCAAAAAATGTTGCCTTTCAGTGTACTGAAAGCTTATGGAATCCCTGATAACTAAACATCTTTGCCAGCATTAACTGTTGTTTTGCTCTAAAAAATACAAATTTGTGAATACATGACATGCTGTCTGTAAGCCCTTTGTCTTGTTGAAAAGTTCGGGTGTGTTTGGTAGATGGGGCATGGAAGGAACGAACAGCTGTCAATTTCGGCTGTGAATAAAGTTCAGCTAGAATCATAATCAGTCATTTAAAAATGGCACTGGATTTAGCTGGTCTGGTCTGGAGGGGGCAGGGGAAGGAACAAGAGATTGGCTGTCTTGGGGAGAGAGGAGGAGGTGACTGCTTAGGAAGAGGTGGAAAAGGGCCAGAAAGGGAGGGGCTCCTTGGGGGAGGGGATGACCTATGAGAAGGAAACATCCAACTCAGAAGGAAGACTAACAGAGGGAGAGTGAGATCTTGGGGCTTAGAGGAAAATAGAATAAACTGAGTAGAGAGGAACACAAAGAAGCTTAGAAGAGGGTCCAGAGTAAGGTGGAGAAGGATCAACCTGACAGGGATCTGGGAGAGGCTAAAGGATACACAAAGGAAGAGGCTATGTGGGTTAGGGTGTTGGAGGGATTAGAAGAGGGCCACTGAGGAAGGAGGAATTCAAAGAAGAAAGACTGACAGAGGGAGTGAGAATACAGGAAAAGAGTTGTGGGGTATGGGGCCCATGAGAGATCGGAAGGCCCAGGAAAATGTTGGACTTCTGGTAGTGTCCACATTGCTCTTCCTGGCTCTATGCACAAAGGAAGTGGCAACTGTCAAAGATGCCAGATGCATTGGAGGTTCACTAGAAGAGCATGTTGACAGGAATGACTCAGTCAAGTTAATCAGGAGCCAAGTTTATGCCCATAAGGCTTTTCCTGTTTCAGGGAGTTAATGACACACTTGTCCAGCAGAAACCCAATGCTCAGCCTAAACACGCTAACATGGTGCCCCACATGTGCTGGGCTGTGGGCTGCCTCCTCACATTTGTCCTGCGCTAGATAAGCAATCTTGGTAGAGGATGGGTTAGTGGGGCTCTCAGAACTTAAGAGATGTGCCATCTTGCATTTGGAAAGTACTTTATCCAGAAAAAATGAAATCTTACTGAACTCAGGTACAGCAGTCTCATCACTCCTATTCCTTCTGCTGGAATGTTTGTTTTCTATCTAGAGATGAGGGGCATCAGAGGACTGAGCCTAGTGTTTCTCTCGAGGGTATGGGGAGTACTTGCCTGTCCATGCTTCTTTTAGCAGCTGCCTGAAACCATAGGTGGCTCCGACCAACGATCCACTAAAAGAAACCTGCTGTCCCAAGAAGCCACATTCTGGTTAGACCTTCCCCACAAAGCTGGTGTCTGCAGACCCCTCACAGGCACCTGTTGGCCAGTCTTGCCTACCCCAGCTCACAGAGACCTGTGATGGAATTCTGGTCAGCTCTTTGTTTCCAGGTGAGGCAGATGCCATGGGGCAGTTGGGCTGGGGGTTTTGACTTGGTATAACTAACTCATTCAGCTGTATAATGTCACAAAAAAGGGTCAAGGCTGGTGGGGAGAGGGAGCAGCAACCCACAAAAAGTCCCTCAAAACTATGGTGTCTGATGCAAAGATAGATCTGTGTCTTTCTCTTTCTCCCCTCCTTGCCTTTCCCCAGTCTTTCTCCTATAGCCCATCTGAAAACCCGCCCACTAGTTTCTGCAACTTCACCCTTCACTAAATTATACCTCTGACACCAAAGAAAGAGTGCTGGTGACGCCCTGCTGCCCAGGTTACCGTAACTCCATGCATAGTGGGAGATGCAAGGAGCTGCCAGGAGTTGAAAGAAGGTGGTAAATAGAGTTTATTCTCTCCACCCAACATGGCCTGAGGCTGACTGCCTCAAGAATTACACAAGGCAAGCCTACTTCACCGTAGCAGGGATTAATTTTCTTGTATACATCACACAATTCAGTCCAACAAATACCAGCTGGCTGCCCAGGGACCAATCTCAGACAGCTGCCAGGTTTTTTTCATCTTTGTGTTTTCATTATTTTCTATTTTTAATTAGGTACTTTAGACATTTGAGAGATTTCACACGATGAAAATTTATGTCTCTGGTATCTCCTGAAATTGAAACAGAATGACAACAACAACAAAAACAAAAACGTGAGGATTAGGGCCCTCATTCCAAAAAGGATACATGCAGCTGGGCCTTAGGTAGGTCTCAGTCCAGTTTAGACTCCGAATACCCTCTCCAGTTGGCCACACCCCCAGCTGGCCTGCTTTACTCTAATAAAAGGCACAGTCATTCCCTGGAAGCGTTTGCACTTGTAACTGGGGCCACACCCTGGAAAAACTGCCCCTTTGACTTGCTTTGATCCCATTTGCTTTTTAATTTACTTGTTTTATCTTTACCCCACAAATACTTACTTCAGGTGGGCTCTCTGCCAGGCACTCTTCTAGGCACAGATACTGATGATGTAATCATGAATGAAAGAAGCAAACTAAAATTCTTACCCTCATGGAGGTTTCATTTTAGTGTGGGGGACAGACAGTAGCCAAAATAAATAAGCAATTATAATGTATTTTCATAGTGTCTAGTGTTAAATAGAAAAACATAAAGCAAGGAATTGGGATAGAAAATTTCAGGAGGGAAGCTGAAACTAGATAGACAAGGTATCCAGGGAAGGCCTCACTGAGAACTTGGCTTTTGAGTCTCACCTGAAGGCAATGGGAGAACTGACCCTGTAGCTGTCTGGGGAAGGAGCATTCCAGATGGAGGGACAGCATGTGCTGAGGCCCCAAGACAGGTTTAGGCCTGGCATGTTTGAGGAGCAAGGAGGATGTTATCATGACTGGAGCTGAGTGAACAAGGCAGAGAAAAGCAAAAGGTGGTTTCAGAGAGGTAATGGGGATGAGGGAGAGGCAGCTTATAGCCCTGTAGGTTTCAAAATGCAATTTGGCTTTTACACTGTATGTGATGGAAAGCCATCCACGTATTAATAATGGAGGGGAGACAAGGTTTGTCTTAGTTTTACAGGATCACTCTGACAACTTGGAGAATAGTTTTTATTCGTATATGATGAATAAAGGGAGAATAATTAGTAGGCTATTCCAATTATGTAAGTAACAGATAATGGTGGTGATTTCACCATCCTGGTGGTAGTAGACGTGGTGAAAATTAGTTGGATCTGGCTGTTTTCAGGTACACGCTGCATGTTTTCCTATTTGATAACGCTGTGCAGTGGAAGATAAATATGAGTCAAGGACTACACCACGTTTTCTGGTCTTCCTTTGAAGATTTTCTTAAGAGAAAACAATTCCCAGTGAAAACCATAGATGACAGAGTTGGGCTCTATACTCAACGCCTAGATTGGGTATAGAATATTAATGAAGTGATCTCTAGAAAATGAGAAACTGACCCAGAAATTCACTGATAAATGGTTGTTATCGGCCTCCCCGCTCTGGATAACTCTCATAGCCATTATATCGGAAACCACTGATATGTTATTTTGGCAATGGGCCAACAGGTACCCCAAAGGGAGTTTGTCACTGATTTAAAACCGTTAGTGAAAAATTTAATGTATGGCTGTTCAAAAGTTCTTAGTATTCAGACAGAGTTTAAACCTGTATTCTGTTTGGATAAAGGACAGATGTTTATACTGCAGTAGATTTGTTCAAAATTCATTACGTATATCACGTCCCATTTCCTGTTCCCCAAGCCCATGTGATATTATTGGTCCTGAGGATACATGAGTTAAAATGTAAGAGAGTTTCATATTAATGATCAGTGATGGGATCACACTCACACAATTGATCAGTCTTGGTCTGTGCACTCATCACAGTTAAAGAGATATGGTCAGAATCCTCCAACTCTTTTCCTTAGGTCACTACTGGACATAGAAGTTGACACTGTGGAATTCAAAAGTTTTTTTTTCCTCTCAGAGATTACAGTACATTCCCTAATAACTCATTTCCTATATTTATTTTTGGTAAGTAATGATTGGTTCAAGCATATCTGTAATATTTTTGCTTTCTCTTTCAGATTGAAATTGTACCACATCTCAAGATAACTTTACAGTTATGTTACAGTTAATGGCTCAGAGGACTAAGAATGAAAAGTCTTCTTTACTCTTTGCAAGTTTGTAACCATTTGAGAGAACAGCACCATAATGACACAACTGGAAGTCAAAATATCCCCTTTGTATTTAATAAAAGCTGAACTGGAGGACATGGCTAGATAGGGGGCTTCAAGGACTTCCTAATATTTCACCCAAACACAAGCATAACTGGATAACTATGGACATCTCTGGTACGGCCATAAAGCTTATCCTGTGTTTGAGAATGAATTAGAGTGCCTATTCTGTCCAAAAGAAATAGACCCGGCCGGGCGCGGTGGCTCACGCCTGTAATCCCAGCACTTTGGGAGGCCGAGGCGGGTGGATCATGAGGTCAGGAGATCGAGACCATCCTGGCTAACAAGGTGAAACCCCGTCTCTACTAAAAATACAAAAAATTAGCCGGGCGCGGTGGCGGGCGCCTGTAGTCCCAGCTACTCGGGAGGCTGAGGCAGGAGAATGGCGTGAACCCGGGAAGCGGAGCTTGCAGTGAGCCGAGATTGCGCCACTGCAGTCCGCAGTCCGGCCTGGGCGACAGAGCGAGACTCCGTCTCAAAAAAAAAAAAAAAAAGAAATAGGCCCAAGAGATAAACGGTTTTTCACATGTCCAACTCCTCTCACACTCACCAATTAGAAAAGTCTTTGAGAGATATGCAGCCAGGGGAATTAGGGTG
Organism: Homo sapiens; assembly: GCF_000001405.40. Taxonomy (NCBI): domain Eukaryota; kingdom Metazoa; phylum Chordata; class Mammalia; order Primates; family Hominidae; genus Homo; species Homo sapiens. Next base: position 57,130,976 of record NC_000023.11, on the reverse strand, counting down.
CTATTTGGCAAATGCTATACACAGTACTTCATAGAAACAAAATGGAATTTTTTAATTTTATGCAGTTAATATGTTGTACAATATACCTGAGAATAATTTGCAATGTATTGTAGTTAGAGGTTAGATATTTTCAGTGTGGCTTTAATGTCCTTTTAAAAATCAATTTTGGAGGCATCTGAGATAAACTATGAGCTGCTGAGCTCGCTTGTTTAAATAAGTAATAGCACATATTAAAGAGGGGCCTCACAAAGTGAGAGCATGATTCCACTGACTCCCCTAAAATCTTCTTGCCTCTGTCTTGAAGGAAGTAAACTATACCACTGATTGACCACAGGAGTGGCTAAGTAAAACCACTAGTTTAAAAGACACTAAACAGTGGGCACATGAAAACTCTTTAACTAAAAATCACTAAACTTTAAAATGTTGAATAAAATATGACAGACCTCCTTTTAAATGTATAGCTGAGCTTTTAATAGTGTGAGGGAAGTCCACAGGGATCAACAATTAAGAGAGAACTGCAAACAACAGTAGTAAGCACATAACCTGATGCTTTGGCAACATGGAAGGAGAGGGGTGCTGTTTCAGTAACTAAAGGATTTTAAAAAGAAGATAAGGCCTTAAGTTCAATAAATTTGACTGTTGGAAACTAAAATCTTCTCACCTGCCTTTCAACTCTCCATACAATAGCCCGAACTATCTTTTAAAAATGTAAACCAGATAATGCCGCCCTCCTGCTTAGAATGTTCCAAAGGCTTCTTATTGCAGATGATATACAAAACAATCTTCATGCCTTATTCTGCATGCGCTAGATCATGCATTCTCAAACAGGATGATATTGCCCCCAAAAGGGGGAAATATGATTGTTGGTGTGAGAGGTGGAATGATATGAAGTTTTACAATGATTTGTGTCCTCCAAAGCTCAACTGTATTTGATAAAATCTTATACTTTAGAACTTAAATCACTCTTGTTTTCTTGGATATTACAGAAGCATTGCCATTGAGCTCATGGAAGATACATGAAATGTATGCAAGACCAGCACTACAAAATCATAGCAAATAGATGACTTTGATTGTAGGACTTTTCAATCTATTGCTCATTCTTGAAGTCATATGTCAAGAAGTGGCCTTTGTGTACCTACTGGCTGCCACTGACTGACTATGTTTGATCCTCGGTGTCTTGTGTGTGACTTGGGCTTTGAAAATTAAATAAAAGTAGTTAATATTTAACTTTACAGAAGTTATTTAACCCATCATTATTTATGTCAAGTACTAAAAAGAAAAAATGATAATGTATGAATATCTAGCTGCTAGTTACAACTGATTTTGTCATATGAAGGAAAAGTGAAAAGTTAAATTCACAAAAATAACTTTGAAGAAATTAATTTAATGTTTTCCATTGTTTCACCTTTGCTAGAAAAATGTTGTGAATAATTTTTTAAATGTGATTACATTACTATTATGTATTTACATAAATTGCCAATTTGCATACATAAGTTGACTCATTATAATTTATGTAAGTACATAAATTCCATTAAAAGTCACTTAGCAAATACAGTTATACAGTTAAGTTAGATATTGCTAGCTTTCTAATTTTTAATTTAACTACTACCTTCAAATTTTATTCATACTTCATCCTGCATACAGGTTGATTATGTATAAAGTACAGATATACATGCATTTATTGACTAGATCATACAGTACATCATTGGTATTCAAATTTCATGAGGGGACAATTAGGAAAAAGAAAAAAATCCTTATAAAGTCATCTAGTGGGGAGGGGACAATAATGAAATAAGAATGAAGAAGCAGTGCTCTATCTGATCTCACTCTTTTCTGATTCAAATATGGTCTCTGTTTTCACTATATATTACAGCCATACTAACATTTTTCTATTCTCAAAGGCAAGAAGCTTGTTTCCACTTCAAAGTCTTTATGCTAGAGTTATTTCTTACTCCCAGAGCTTTTCATAACTTTTCATAACTGGTTGCTTCTCATATTCAGGTCTTAACTCAAATATCACCTGTTCAGAGATTCTCTCCTTCTACCCCATAACCTTGGTTTTTCTTGCTCTGCAGTACTTATCACTATGTGAACTTGTCTTTTAGATGGTTTCTTTATTTTCTGTCTTACTCCACTAGAATATAAACTTTGAATGCAGGAATCTTGTCTATCTAATTCATTCTAGTATTGTAGTGCTAGGAAAGGGTCTGGAACATAGGAGACACTCTATAAATACTTGTTTAGTAAGTGAATTATTGCATGACAATTTTATATTTTCAAATAACCTATTATAAATCCCCTTTGCATTTGTTGGTCCTTTTTCCTGTATTGCCAGTTTTCTTTCCTATTGTTTTATTTTTTCACAAAACTTAGACATAGGTTTTGCTATATAGTCTACTAATTTTCTGTTATTTCACTTCATCAGTCTCTGCATATTTTAGTTATTTCCTTTAAGTTTCCATGACTATCTATGATGATAATTTCTAGCTAATTTTTAAGGGAAATAGTCATTACTATACATTTGTCTTTGAATAGAGTGCTGGCTGTAACTGGCACATTTTAATATGTTGTGTCCTCATTGCTATCATTTCTCAGGTTCTCTGTTGTTAATTTTTTAAATTTTTCTTTTTGATTCAATAACTTCTTGGAAGATTGCTAAAAATTTATGAATACTGGGGGAAGGCCAGACAAAGCACATATATATTCTTAAATAAAAGAGAGTCTTCTTTATCTGGAAAGGTTCTTTTACATCAGCACGGGTAACGTTAAGAAGGAAGAATATGGCAACATTGAGAAAAGACAAAGATACCTACCTCATCAGCAAAATAGGCACCATCAACCCTCAAAATAGATGGAATGAGAAATGTCACAATTGGATTGCATTCACTTGTTATCACAGCATTGTTTGAAATAGCAAAAATAGCTGGGGGAAAATCTTGAATGTCTATCAATACCAGAACTTTTGAATACATTGTGTTTATGTATCATTTGAAATATTATACAATTATAAAGAAGATGTTTTAGAAATATATATAGATGTGTCATTGCACACAAATGTAAAGAGTATGATCCCACTTACGTTAAAAAGTGAGAAGGACTTCCAAATTCCTATATTTACGTTTATATTTATATATTGTTGTAATAACATAGAAAATGGTTTGGAAGAATACATACCAGGGATTTAACATTGGTTAAGTGTGATTGAAGGTGGAACGTGAGAACACTGGGACATCCTGAGAGGTGGCAAGGAGAAAAAGGAAATGAGATAGAGAAAGGTCTATTTCATTCATTATAGATCTTTTCATTGTCATAAAGATTGCAGTAAACCATACTAATTTTTGGTAATTTTGAAAGATGGTCTTAACTAATATTAATGCATGACATTTAAAAAATAAGTGATTAGAATGTTATTTTTTATTCTCATAAGATTGAATATCAGGATCACCTCCTTAAGACAAAGAAATCTAAAGTATATGGAAAATAGATGTGAGGTGGAGAGACTGGAGTCCGGAAGCCTACCTCTTCCTATGAGGAAAATATAAGAGGCTCATCACTTTGCTGACAGCATTTATTTAGGGAGTTATTTGCTAATCCTGGTATATTTTTTCTTATAGTGCAAATTAGAATGATGCCTTTTTACCTCATGCTTGTTTTTTAGATAGCTCCTTATTCCTTATCTGCAACTGAATACTGGATTTTTTAAGTCTGGAAGTAAGGTCCCATTTCCTGATATGGGAGCTGGTTGTATGAATGAGTGCCTGAGAATGTATTGTTTCATATAACTTAAAAGTATAACGGTATTGTCTAGGGATACTATATCATTTAAGTCTGGGAACGCTAAGCCATTTAAGATGCCTTCAACTGCAAGTAACAGAAAACCCAGAATCAAATTGCTTTAACTATAAAGAAATTTGTTACCTCATAACTTGGAGTCAGAAGTAGGACTCCAGGGATGGTATGATCAGCAGCTAAACGATAAGATCAAAGTGCACGGAGTATTCATATTCTCTCTTCTTCCATCTTCATTACATAAGTATTGCCCTCAGGATGATTACAGATATTCCAAAGGTCATATAAAGATATAGCATCATCCTAAAAAAGAAAAGGTAACATTATTTCCTGCTTCTCTTTCTTAAGAGTAAAGATTTTTTTTTCAGAAGTCTTCCAGCAGACATACTATGATGCTTAATTGACCAGGATTAGATCACATGCCCAGTGCCAAATCAATCACTTGCAGGAAGAATGGCATCACCATGACTAGCTTAGACTAACCTTTTAAAGTGAGATGAATATTCAAAAGTCAGTCAGTGGCCATGACCACCTACATGTACAAAATGTGTCACTAGGACAGTCTCCCTCTTTTTGCATAGCCTGGCTCCATTCTCTTCTTTGGGGTGCCTTCATTCTCAGTCTATTGATGATAGTAAGCTGAATACAGCAGCTTAATCCTCATATCCTTTCAGGTTCACTCTCCTCCAACGGAAAATGCCTCATGCATAGCAGTTTGAGTCTCATTGGCTCTGACTAGGTTGAATGCTTATTCCTAAACTAATCATTGTAACAGTAATTCCATACTCTGAAAAGTCAGGCTTATGTTGTTCCCAAGAGGAAAACTGTGGCACTATTACCAGAAGAATGGTGATAAGATGCTAGGCTGCAGTATCAATTGATGTCTATTACAGTTAAATATATTTTGCAGCTCAGCATCTATATAAACCTTTCTAGCCATACATACATGTCCAAAGATCTCTCTAATTTTTACTTTGGCCAACTACTGATAGAGTATGAATTGTTGTCTATTTGGAAAATATCTTTGCAAGAATAACTGCTACCTTAACTTTTTAGACAACAGATTAGTTAATGATTGTTTTTGAACTTCAAATAAATTGAATAGAATAATGTGTGCCCCTTTGTTGTCTGGCCTCTTTTTTAAACATATTTCAGAGATTCATTTATGTTTTTGCATGTAGTTGTAGCTTGAACATTCTCACTACTGCATGATATTCCAATGTATGAATATACCCCAACATATACAATATACTGCTGATGGAAATGTAGGTGTTTTGTAGTTTGAAGTCATTACAAATAGTTAAACACATTTTTTTCTTTTTCAAACCACTACTGAGGTATGATTTACATACACAAAGCTGTACCTATTTAATGTATACAACCTAATGATGAACACATGCATTTTATAATAAAAAATAGGGTTTGAGATTTCAGTAATAGGAGACTAAACAATTCAAAACAACTTTCCCTGAAATCTGAACAAATTAACTAAATCTGAACAAATATAGTAAAAAAGAAAATCCACTCTCAATGGCATCTAAAAGCTGAGAAATACGAAATAATTACCTAGCTGAGATAGGAGGAGAACAGGTCCAAGAGGCAAACAGGGCATTTGGTGGATGTTTTTCTACTGGCAAAGTTTACCCATTCTAGAGGGAACCACTGAAAGACTTTGATGCTCAGCAGAACTTGTGACTGCTTGTTAAATACATGAATACAGAATCTGGAGTTCAGAACCTTGGTAACCCCCCAACCCCTTACTTTTCATTGAAATTCCAGGGTTGAAATCTTAGGAGTAACAGTTAACCACAGCTTTAAAAAAGCCCTCACTGAGCTTCATCCCTGGGACGCAAGGCTGGTTCAACATATGCAAATCAATACACGTAATCCAGCACATAAACAGAACCGAAGACAAAAACCACATGATTATCTCAACAGATGCAGAAAAAGCCTCTGACAAAATTCAACAGCACTTCGTGCTAAAAACTCTCAATAAATTAGGTATTGATGGGACGTGTCTCAAAATAATAAGAGCTATTTATGACAAACCCACAGCCAATATCATACTGAATGGGCAAAAACTGGAAGCATTCCCGTTGAAAACTGGCACAAGACAGGGATGCCCTCTCTCACCACTTCTATTCAACATAGTGTTGGAAGTTCTGGCCAGGGCAATCAGGAAGGAGAAAGAAATGAAGTGTATTCAATTAGGAAAAGAGGAAGTCAAATTATGCCTGTTTGCAGATGACATGATTGTATATCTAGAAAACCCCATCATCTCAGCCCAAAATCTCTTTAAGCTGATAAGCAACTTCAGCCAAGTCTCAGGATACAAAATCAATGTGCAAAAATCACAAGCATTCTTATACATCAATAACAGACAAACAGGGAGCCAAATCATGAGTGAACTCTCATTCACAACTGCTTCAAAGAGAATAAAATACCTAGGAATCCAACTTACAAGGGATGTGAAGGGCCTCTTCAAGGAGAACTACAAACCACTGCACAAGGAAATAAAAGAGGATACAAACAAATGGAAGAACATTCCATGCTCATGGGTAGGAAGAATCAATATCGTGAAAATGGCCATACTGCCCAAGGTAATTTATAGATTCAATGCGTTCCCCATTAAGCTACCAATGACATTCTTCACAGAATTGGAAAAAACTGCTTTAAAGTTCATATGAAACAAAAAAAGAGCCTGCATTGCCAAGTCAAACCTAAGCCAAAAGAACAAAGCTGGAGGCATCACGCTACCTGACTTCAAACTATACTACAAGGCTACACTAACCAAAACAGCATGGTACTGGTACCAAAACAGAGATATAGACCAATGGAACAGAACAGAGCCCTCAGAAATAACACCACACATCTACAACTATCTGATCTTTGACAAACCTGACAAAAACAAGAAATGGGGAAAGGATTCCCTATTTAATAAACGGTGCTGGGAAAACTGGCTAGCCATATGTAGAAAGCTGAAACTGGATCCCTTCCTTACACCTTATACAAAAATTAATTCAAGATGGATTAAAGACTTAAACGTTAGACCTAAAACCATAAAAACCCTAGAAGAAAACCTAGGCAATATCATTCAGGACATAGGCATGGGAAAGGACTTCATGTCTAAAACACCAAAAGCAATGGCAACAAAAGCCAAAATTGACAAATGGGATCTAATTAAACTAAAGAGCTTCTGCACAGCAAAAGAAACTACCATCAGAGTGAACAGGCAACCTACAGAATGGGAGAAAGTTTTTGCAATCTACTCACCTGACAAAGGGCTAATATCCAGAATCTACAATGAACTCAAACAAATTTACAAGAAAAAAACAAACAACCCCATCAAAAAGTGGGCAAAGGATATGAACAGACACTTCTCAAAAGAAGACATTTATGCAGCCAACAGACACATGAATAAATGCTCTTCATCACTGGCCATCAGAGAAATGCAAATCAAAACCACAATGAGATACCATCTCACACCTGTTAGAATGGCGATCATTAAAAAGTAAGGAAACAACAGGTGCTGGAGAGGATGTAGAGAAATAGGAACACTTTTACACTGTTGGTGGGACTGTAAACTAGTTGAACCATTGTGGAAGTCAGCGTGGCGATTCCTCAGGGTTCTAGAATTAGAAATACCATTTGACCGAGCCATCCCATTACTGGGTATATACCCAAAGGATTATAAGTCATGCTGCTATAAAGACACATGCACACATACGTTTATTGCGGCACTATTCAAAATAGCAAAGACTTGGAACCAACCCAAATGTCCAACAATGATAGACTGGATTAAGAAAATGTGGCACATATACACCATGGAATACTATGCAGCCATAAAAAATGATGAGTCCGTGTCCTTTGTAGGGACATGGATGAAGCTGGAAACCATCATTCTCAGCAAACTATCGCAAGGACAAAAAACCAAACACCGCATGTTCTCACTCATAGGTGGGAATTGAACAATGAGAACACATGGACACAGGAAGGGGAACATCACACAATGGGGCCTCTTGTGAGGTGGGGGTAGGGGAGAGGGATAGCATTAGGAGATATACCTAATGTAAATGAGGAGTTAATGGGTGCAGCACACCAACATGGCACACGTATACACATGTAACTAACCTGCACATTGTGCACATGTACCCTAGAACTTAAAATATAATTTAAAAAAATAAAAATGAAAATAAAATAAAAAGCCCTCACTGAAACTATGACATATCTGCAAATTGCTTTCCATAAAAATTGTATAAACTTTCACTTGCATCAGCACTAGATATGAAGCTTTTTCATGATCAATGACATTAAGTAATATTTTAATGTTCTTTCATACTTTGACTGTTGAATCGAGATTATTATTACTTCTATTTTTCCTTGTAGATGTTATTTTATTAAGTGTAGTTGTTCTGTTAACATCCGACTCATCCCCTCATTCAAATACCATAAGTATCTGAATAAGAAAGATACCATTAAGCATTGTTTTGTTTACAGAGTTTTTGGTTGGTTCATTTGCTTTCTGTTCAATTTTATTTTGCTGCTTTTTACCTTTTAATAAATCAAATATTGATACTGGTACAACATTAGTATACAACCTTTCTCAAAATATTTAAATAATTATTTCAACATTCCTTAAAGAATACCCAACGTTTCTCCACTGATTTATAAAACTATAACTTTAATTATTTCTTATAAAGTTATTTTTTTGCAAAGCTTTCTATTCCGATACATAGATCTGATTACTGGTTATTGTGGAAATATTATGTCAAATGCCCAGTACTGGGAGAAAAGCCAAATTATAAATCACTTTAAAATTGAGTTTTACGGACCAAGTGCAAGATATGTAACAGGTGCTCAATAAATATTTGTTGAATGAAAAAATCGATTAGAAAACATCTAATTTCCTGGAAAAATTAATAGACATGAATTGCAGATAAAAAACAAATCCCAGTTTTGCAAAAGTTTAGGAAAAAGGAAAAAAAACTATGAGCATTAATATTTTGCTGTGAGGCCCTCAAAAATGGGAGATGGGACTGCAGTTGATGATTTTCCTCTTAATATTAATTTCCTAAAATGTAGATAGTGTTCACGTTGTACATGCAATTATCTTGCAATAAAGAAAAGGAAAAAAAAATCCCTCGAAAACAAAAACAAAAATGCCAGGAAATATCAGTCAGCAAAAATTAGGTAGAGACTGGGTCAAAATGGCAGACTTACCATAGTGAATTTCTCTGTTCCAACTCCAAATCCTTTCAAAAAGAGGAAAGACATATTTACGTGTAAAGAATAAATCCATAAGGGCATGGGACGGTGCAGGGGCAGGGGTGGGCGCGGGGGTGGGCGCGGGGCGGCAGCAAGGCGAATTCCAAGAAGATGGAAAGCAGGGCAGGCAGACTAAGAAGGTGGAGGTGGGAACCAAGTGGCCCTGAAACGGGTGAGGAAGGGGCCACAGGGTTCCGAGGACGACTGTGGCACGAACTACTCCGGATTTGGAAAGAGGCGGAGTCAGAGCCCATAGCTCCGCCGGGGCTACAGGCTGTGTGGTGGGCGTGGGAGCCTGGTGGAGAGGAGAGCCGGGTGTTTGACAGGAAGAGGAGGCCTCTCTCTGGGCAGGAAGCTGCGCTACGGAAAGAGGGAGGAGACTGCCGCGGCGACAGCAGGGACTGGTGGAATCCCGATGTGGCTGAGGGGCCGCCACCGCCAGCAGGGAGGCGGAGGGCTAGCGAGCCAAGCGGTGGGGACGCCGCTGCCTTCCTCTTTGCCTGTCTCGCCGCCCTCCTAGACACGCTCCTCATCTACGGATCCTACCCTCCCCGCTCTTGCAAGCATTCACTCGGCCGGTCGCCTGCTGACCCTCCTTCGCCACAGGCTCGTAGCGGAGGCAGCAGCGAGGTGTCCGATTTGGGCACGTGAGGCCCGCGATCCCCGGCGGTGGACGCCAGGCAGGGCAAGGCCATTAGTGGGCGCCAGAATGGAGAGGGGGATGGGAAGGAATCCAGCAGGAGACATGGGGTGGAGTTGGGCGCCAGGCAAGGGTGGGGTGGGGGAGTGCGGTGAGCAACATGAAAAGGGGGTAGGAACGGGAGCCAGACAAGGATTTGAAGGTGAGCGCCGGGAAGCAAGGGCGGTGGGTACCAGAGAAGTGGTTAGGGTAGGCAGGGGGTGTTGTGGACAGCAGCTGGGACGCTCAGGGAAGGAGGGCAGTGGGTGCCGGTCAAGGCCTCTTTGCAAGGGGATTGGAAGTGGACGCCAGTGGTAGCAAGGGGTTCCGGGAGGGCAGTGGGCTCTGAGCTAGGAGGAGGTGGCCCAGCCACTTCTGCAGAGTTCCTAACCCCAGACAGCTCTACTGCACCACCCCAGCCCTTCCCCACAGCCCAAAGGAACTTAAGAGGGAGAGCACTGCGGGCATGCAGCCAGGATTTCCAGCATTGCTTCCAGGCTCCTAGGGGAAACTTAGGCACTAGCGCAGACTACATCCAGACATGGCTATAGGGAAAAGTTTGCCTTGTGGCACACTGGGTGTGTCTCTCTATCCTCTCTCCTCCCCCAGCAGGCATGAAGACCCCCAACGCACAGGAAGCCGAAGGGCAACAAACCAGGGCAGCTGCAGGACGGGCCACTGGGTCTGCAAACATGACAAAGAAAAAAGTCTCCCAAAAGAAGCAGAGAGGCCGACCTTCATCCCAGCCCCGCAGGAACATCGTGGGCTGCAGAATTTCTCATGGATGGAAGGAAGGAGATGAGCCCATCACGCAGTGGAAAGGAACCGTTCTGGATCAGGTGCCTATAAATCCCTCTCTTTATCTGGTGAAATATGATGGAATTGACTGTGTCTATGGACTGGAACTTCACAGAGATGAAAGGGTTTTGTCTCTTAAAATTCTTTCTGACAGGGTGGCATCATCTCACATTAGTGATGCCAACCTTGCAAATACCATAATTGGCAAAGCAGTGGAACATATGTTTGAGGGAGAGCATGGTTCTAAGGATGAATGGAGGGGGATGGTCTTAGCTCAAGCACCTATCATGAAAGCCTGGTTTTATATTACCTATGAGAAAGATCCTGTCTTGTACATGTACCAGCTTCTAGATGATTATAAGGAAGGTGACCTCCGCATCATGCCAGAATCCAGTGAGTCTCCTCCAACAGAGAGGGAGCCAGGAGGAGTTGTAGATGGCCTAATAGGTAAGCATGTGGAATATACCAAAGAAGATGGCTCCAAAAGGATCGGCATGGTCATTCACCAAGTGGAAGCCAAACCCTCTGTGTATTTCATCAAGTTTGATGATGATTTCCATATCTATGTCTACGATTTGGTGAAAAAGTCCTAACTGTTAGGGTAAAATTTGGCACATGTGTGGAAACAAATGTATAATTTGTAGACATGCAAAAAATGTTGCCTTTCAGTGTATTGAAAGCTTATGGAATCCCTGATAACTAAACATCTTTGCCAGCATTAACTGTTGTTTTGCTCTAAAAAATACAAACTTGTGTGTACATGACATGCTGTGTGTAAGCCCTTTGTCTTGTTGAAAAGATCGGGTGTGTTTGGTGAATGGGGCATGAAAAGAAGGAACAGCTATCAGAGAGCTTGTGGCTTAGAGGAAAATACACAGAATAAATTGAGTAGAGAGGAACACAAAGAACCTTAGAAGAGGTCCAGAGTAAAGAGGAGAAGGATCAACCTGACAGGGTCTGTGGAGAGGATAAAGGATACTCAATGGAAGAGGCTATGTGGGTTAGAGTGTTAGAGAGGTTAGAAGAAGAGGGCCACTGAGGAAGAAGGAGTTCAAAGAAGAAAGACTGACAGAGGGATTGGGAATACAGGAAAAGAGTTGTGGGGTGTGGGGCCCATGAGAGATCGGAAGGCCCAGGAAAATGTTGGACTTCTGGTAGTGTCCACATTGCTCTTCCTGGCTCTATGCACAAAGGAAGTGGCATCTGTCAAAGATGCCAGATACATTGGAGGTTCCCTAGAAGGGCATTCTGACAAGGATGACTCAGTAAGGTTAATCAGGAGGAAAGTTTATACCCGTAAGGCTTTTCCTGTTTCAGGGAGTTCAGGACGCTCCTACCCAGCAGAACCCCAACCCTCAGCCTGAACACACTAACACGGTTCCCCACATGTGCTGGGCTGCGGGCTGCCTCCTCACATTTGTCCTGCGCTAGATAAACAATATTGGTAGAGGATGGGTTAGTGGGTCAGAACTTAAGAGATGTGCCATCTTGCATTTGGAAAGTACTTTACCCAGAAAAAAATGGAACCTTACTGAACTCAGGTACAGCAGTCTCATCACACCGGTTCCTTCTGCTGGAATGTTTGTTTTCTATCTAGAGACGAGGGGCATCAGAAGATTGAGCCTAGTGTTTCTCTCCAGGTTATGGGGAGTTCCTGACTGTCCACACTTCTTTCAGCAGCTGCCTGAAACCACAGGTGGTTCCGACAAATAATCCACTAAAAGAGGCCTGCTGTCCCAAGAATCCACATTCTGGTTAGACCTTCCCCACAAAGCTGGTGTCTGCAGACCCCTCACAGGCACCTGTTGGCCAGTCTTGCCTACCCCAGCTCACAGAGACCTGTGATGGAATTCTGGTCAGCTCTTTGTTTCCAGGTGAGGCAGATGCCATGGGGCAGTTGGGCTGGGAGTTGTGACTTGGTATAACTAACTCATTCAGCTGTATAATGTCACAAAAAAGGGTCAAGGCTGGTGGGGAGAGGGAGCAGCAACCCACAAAAAGTCCCTCAGAACTATGGTGTCTGATGCAAAGATAGATCTGTGTCTTTCTCTTCCTCCCCTCCTTGCCTTTCCCAAGTCTTTCTCCTGTAGCCCATCTGAAAACCCTCTCACTGCTTTCTGCAACCACACCGTTCACTAAATTATACCTCTGACCCCAAGAAAGAGTGCTGGTGACTCCCTGCTGCCCAGGTTACCCTAACTCCATGCATAGTGGGAGATGCAAGGAGCTTCCAGGAGTTGAAAGAAGGTGGTAAATAGAGTTTATTCTCTCCACCCAACATGGCCTGAGGCTGACTGCCTCAAGAATTACACAAGGCAAGCCTACCTCACCGTAGCAAGGATTAATTTTCTTGTGTACATCACACAATTTCGTCCAACAAAATCCAGCAAGGTGCCCAGGAACCAGTCTCAGACAGCTGCCAGGTTATTTTCATCTTTGTGTTTTTATTGTTTTCTATTTTTAATTAGGTACTTTAGACATTTGAGAGATTTCACACGATGAAAATTTATGTCTCTGGCATCTCCTGAAATTGAAACAGAATGACAACAACAACAAAAATGTGAGGATCAGGGCCCTCATTCCAAAAAGGATACATGCAGCTGGGCCTTAGGTAGGTCTCAGTCCAGTTTAGACTCCGAATACCCTCTCCAGTTGGCCACACCCCCAGCTGGCCTGCTTTACTCTAATAAAATGCACAGTCGTTCCCTGGAAGCGTTTGCACTTGTAACTGGGGCCACACCCTGGAAAAACTGCCCCTTTGACTTGCTTTGATCCCATTTGCTTTTTAATTTACTTGTTTTATCTTTACCCCACAAATACTTACTTCAGGTGGGCTCTCTGCCAGGCACTCTTCTAGGCACAGATACTGATAATGTAATAATGAACAAAAAAGCAAACTAAAATTCTTATCCTCATGGAGGTTTCATTTTAGTGTGGGGGACAGACAGTAGCCAAAATAAGTAAGCAATTATAATGTATTTTCATAGTGTCTAGTGTTAAATAGAAAAACATAAAGCAAGGAATTGGGATAGAAAATTTCAGGAGGGAAGCTGAAACTAGATAGACAAGGTATCCAGGGAAGGCCTCACTGAGAACTTGGCTTTTGAGTCTCACCTGAAGGCAATGGGAGAACTGACCCTGTAGCTGTCTGGGGAAGGAGCATTCCAGATGGAGGGACAGCACGTGCTGAGGCCCCAAGACAGGTTTAGGCCTGGCATGTTTGAGGAGCAAGGAGGATGTTATCATGTCTGGAGCTGAGTGAACAAGGCAGAGAAAAGCAGGAGGTGGTTTCAGAGATGTAATGGGGATGAGGGAGAGAGGCAGACAGCTTATAGCCCTGTAGGTTTCAAAATGCAATTTGGCTTTTACATTGAGTGTGATGCAGAGCCATCCATGTATTTATAGTGGAGGGCATACAAGATTTGTCTTAGTTTTACAGGATCACTCTGACAACTTGCAGAATAGTTTTTATTAGTATATGATGAATAAAGGGAGAATAATTAGTAGGCTATTCCAATTATGTAGATTACAGATAATGGTGGGTTTCAGTACCCTGATGGTAGTAGACATGGTGAAAATTAGTTGGGTCTGGCTGTTTTCAGGTATACCCTGCATGTTTTCCTATTTGATAATGCTGTGCAGTGGAAGATAAATATGAGTCCAGTACAACACCACATTTTCTGGTCTTCTTTTGAAGATTTTCTTAAGAGAAACAAATTCCCAGTGAAAACCATACATGACAAGTTGGTCTCTGTACTCAGTGCCTGGATTGGGTATAGAATACTGATGAAGTGATCTCTAGAGAATGAGAAACCAACCCAGAGACTCATTGATAAATTGTTGTTTGCCCCTCTGGATAACTCCCCTAGCTATTATGTAGGACTTTGTTGCCTGATATTGAGAATTGAGTCAGCCAAAAACATTGGAAGTTTAATGTTATGAGACACAGGCAGCCATTATACCACACAGAATCGAAAGTAAATGCTAAGCCTTGCTAATGGTACAGTGCAGCTCTGTCACTACTTTGTCAGGCACAGCTGCTATAAGGAGAAAAATCATTAGAAATGGGGCAAGTGATCTCTGTGCTTAATGGAGATCAAATTCCATATGCATCCATCTTAGTAGGTTGGAGAATTTTCATGAGGGAAAGAATCAAGCTTTTATAGCTCTGTTAGATATGGATGCCCAAGTAAACTCTTCTACTGAACTCCTGGAAGGAGAAAGCATCCGAAATTAGGTAACAGGGTTTGGCCAGGTTTACAGCAGGAGAAAGAAAGAAGCCAATATGACCTTGTGAACAAAACTTTTTAGGCCAATTCTGCGTACTGATGCTGCTACCTTCACATCTGAATATCACTGGGAACTGATGCTTGTATTTCCCTGTTTCATAAGTGGCAGATGAAATTTCACCATACACAGATAAGTACGAGTGGGACACATAAATTTATCTGTCACCAGGTTTCCTATCGCTCCCTGGTTGATCCAACACAAAGTATAGAATTCTAGGAAGAAAAAAGAAAATCTGTGCCCTGAGTAAATATTAATACCTATAGGAGGCGGTAGTAAGAGATCCAGGATCTTTACAGAACAGCCTTGTATGCCCAGTGCAAAATCTAACCGGAGCTGAAGGCTGATAGTGGAATATTTTCAAATAAATTCAGTTGTTTCTCCAGTGGCCCCAGCTGTTGCAGACATCTTGACTCTATCTGAATCTACTACACAGACTAATAGAACATGGTACACTGTTTTAAACATTGACAACACTTTCTTTCCCATACTAGCATCTGAGGATTAAGAGCTGTTCACATCCATGTGACAAGGCCTCTAATACATGTTTGTTGTACTCCGCCAGTGTTACCTAAACTCCAGTGCCATTTGCCAAAATTGGATAGGTTAGAATTTGGTGGAAGTTCTTCTTCATTCAGATTTCCAAAAGTTTCACTATACATGACATCCTGATGGTTGGCAGTCAGAAGCCTCAGTCTCAATAGCCCTACCTAGCTGTGGTATTATCACACATCCTCTAGGAAGAATGACTGAAAGTCTCCAAAAAAAAAATCAGGATTAATATTGAAAATCACCAGCAAAATTCAGGAGTAATGTTGTTTGCCAGTAATGTCTCTTGCTTGCCAGTAATGTTTCCTGGAAGTATGTAGGCAAATTCACAATAAAACCTCAGGCAAAGAAAAACTGTCTCTTCAGCACCCCCACCACCAAAAAGGAGTTTCAGCACCTAACTAGATTCTTTGGATATTGGAAATGCTTTGTGATTGCTTGGACATTCTGCTTGGTCCTTTATATTAGCTAACCCACAAATCAGCATCTTTTGAGTAAAGCCTGAAACGAAGTTCTGCCATGGAAACAGTCCAGTAAGTTGTGTCATGTTCTCTACCTTTGGAGCCCTACAATTTTAATGATACTTTTGAGCTATATAAGTATCTGTAACTGATGATTTTCCAATTGCTGTCTCTGGAAAAGGGAAGCAATCTTCACCTGGAGATATGTCTTGGGGTTTTGGACTCCTCTTCTTCCTCACAAGACTACCAGAAACACCACTTTTGAAAAGCAGCTATTATCTGTGATATGTTTTGGCTTTGTGTCCCCACCCGAATCTCACCTTGAATTGTAATCCCCGTAATCCCCATGTGTCAAGGGCGGGACCAGGTGGAGGTAACTGAATCCTGGGGGTGGTTCCCCCCGTGCTGTTATTGTGATAATGAGTGAGTCTCATGAGATCTGATGGTTTTATCAGCATCTGGCATTTCCCCTGCTTGCACTTCTTCTTCCTGCCACCCTGTGAAGAAGGTACCTTTCTTCCCCTTCCCCTTCCACCAGTATTGTAAGTTTCCTGAGGCTTTCCCAGCCATGTGGAACTGAGTCAATTAAACCTCTTTTCTTTATAAATTACCCAGACTTGGGTATTTCTTCATAGCAGCGTGAGAACTGACTAATACATTTTGCTACTGGGCTCATTTCAGAACTGAACACCTGAACCATGGAGGTCAGCCTTGCACCTCTCCAGCCTGACATTCCTGTTTGGGGTTGATCAATTTCAACTTAATACCTACAATGGTGAGAAGAGCTCAGCAGGCCTTGCCTGTGAAAGGTAAATTGCACATTAAAAAACTTACTTGGCCTCACCCCAGTGGCATATAGGCTTTACCTGAAAAAGTGGCTATTACCCCTTTCAAGGAAACTCTATTCCCTACTCTCCACCTGAAGTAAAGCAGCTGGTTAAATGAGGCCCTTGTCTCACAGAGGTTCAACTAAATGTGTGGGCCTGGTTCACTGACAGTTTCGATAAGCTGAAACCTGCTGGTGTCCACTGGGCTGCTGCATATGTTCAATCTTACTGCTAGCTATGCAAAACTGAAAGATATGGATGCTCTCCTCAGTGGCCAGAAGGCAAAGCCATTTTCATAAATCTGGGTTATACTCCCCTAGATGAAGTTTGTTATACTTTTACTGACTCATAGGAAATTGACAATGACCTACTTGTTTGAGTTGCCACTTGGAAAACTACAAAATTGCAGACTAAAGACACCTGTCTTTGGGCCTGCAACTAAAGAAACAAATTGTTGCTACTTCTGCTGCTCCTGCTTAATGTATCTGATTTACTCATGTAGATGATGACCACATAAGAGACCATTATCTGGTGACACTGAAATCAAGCTCCAGAATGAGCATGAACCACTAAAGTTGCTTCAATTTCTAACTGAATCCATAATTCTACTGGGTTTAGAAACACATCCACCTTCATAAACAGAATCAAAGTACAGGACTGTTTCTGTTGTGGAGGCTACCATTGCATGCCAGAATTCTGGCCTTCCAAATCTTATCTGCCAGTGAGAGTGGCCACATTGCATAAAGTTTTGCTCCTGACACCACTGTACTTGGCACCTTGATGACAATGAATTTTTTATCTCCTCTATGGGTTATTGGTTGTGCCTTACCACTGTTGACCATTTTTCAGATTAATAGTGCTGCTGTTCCAATCCAATGATCCAGCACTGACACAACATTATGGCCCCTGAAGAAACCATGTGTCATGTTTTTATTTTCCTGGACCATTTGCAGTTGGAAATGGTGCATCTTGCATCACAAAAGCCATTCAACAATGGCTTAATAGTGAAGGTATTCACGGACTGTCCATGCTCCCTACCATACAGAAGCACCAGATATTTTAAAAATAGCTTTATTAAGATGTAATTCACATAGAATATGATTCACTAATTTAAAGTATACAATTAACCATCGTCACAGTAAATTTAGAACATTTTCATTACCTCATAAAGGAATCCCTAAACTTTAGCTATCATTTCCCCAATGCTCCCATCCTTCCTGCCCTAAGCAACCACTAATTTACTTTTTGTTCCTATATATCTGCCTATTGTGAACATTTGATGTAAATGGAATCACATAATATTTGGTCCTTTGTGATGGGCTTCTTTCAATTAGCATGATGTTTTCAAAATTTATCCATATTTGTAGCATGTTCATCATTCATTTTTATGGCTGAGCATATGGATATATAAAATTCTGTTCATTCATTTATTCTTTGATAGATATTTGGGTTGTATTCACCTTTGGACAATTATGACTAATGCTGCTATAAATATTTATGTAAATGTTTTTATTTAGGTTTTTTTTTTATTTCTTTTAGGTTTATACCAAGGGAGAAATTGCTGGACCATATGGTAATTCTATGTCTGTTTGAGGAATTCCAGAGTGTTTATCAAAGTGACTGTGAAAATTTACATTCCCACATGCAGTATATGAAGAGTCCAATTTCTTTAAATGTTCAACAATTGTTATTAGACTTTTATGTTCTTACCATTTTAGTGTGTCTGATATGTTACCTTATTGTGTTTTACTTTGAATTTCCCTGATGACTAATGATGCCAAGCAAAATGTTCTGAACTTATTGGCTATTTGTATATCTTCCTTGGAGAAATATCTGTTCAGATGATTTGCCTATTTTTGTTGAATTGTAAGAATTATTTATATATATTTTATACAAGTCCCATATCAGATACATGAGAGGCAAATACTTTCTCCCTATCTATGGGTTTACCTTTCAGTTTCTTGAGAGTGTGCTTTCAAGCATAAGCAGTTCTAATTTTGATGAAGCTGTATTAATCTTTTTTTTTATTTGCGGCTCATGCTTTTGTGTTTTTTTTTTTAACTTTTATTTTAGGTTCAGAGGTATATGTGTAAAAGTTTGTAATATAGGTAAACTATATGTCATAGGGGTTTGGTGTGCAAATTATTTCATCACCCAGGTAATAAACATAGTACTGAATAGGTAATTTTTCAATTCTCTCCCTCCTCTTACCCTCCACCCTCAAGTATGCCACAGTGCCTATGGTTCCCTTCTTTGTGTCCATCTCTACTCGGTGTTTAGCTCCCACTTATAAGGGAGAACATGTAGTATTTGGTTTTCTGTTCCTACATTAGCTTGCTTAGGATAATGGCCTCCAGCTCAATCCACATTGCTACAAAGGGCATGACCTCATTCCTTTTTATGGCTATGTAGTATTGCATGGTTTATGTGTCCCCAATATTCGATTTTTCTAGGTGACCCAAAGTGTGACTTTTAATTTTTTTATATTTTTTTTATTTTCATAGGTTTTGGGGGAACAGGTAGTATTTGGTTACACGAGTAAGTTCTTTAGTGGTGCTTTGTGAGATTTTGGTGCACCCGTCACCCAAGCAGTAAACACTGAACCCAATTTGTAGTATTTTATCCTTTATGCCCCACTCCAACCCTTTCCCCCAAGTCCCCAAAGTCCATTGTATCATTCTTATGCCTTTGGATCCCCATAGCTTAGCTCCCACTTATGAATGAGAACATACAATGTTTGGTTTTCCATTCCTGAGTTACTTCACTTAGAATGATGGCCTCCAATTCCATCCAGGTTGCTGCAAATTCCATTAATTCATTCCTTTTTATGGCAGAGTAATATTCCACCATATATATACACCACAGTTTATTTATCCATTCATTGATGGGCATTTGGGCTGGTTTCATATTTTTGCAATTGCGAATTGTGCTGCTATAAACATGCACGTGCAAATAACTTTTTTGTAAAATGACTTTTTTTCCTCTCGGTAGATACCCAGTAGTGGGATTGCTGGATGGAATGTTAGTTCTACTTTAATTTTTTAAGGAATCTCCACACCATTTTCCATAGTGATTGTACTAGTTTACACTCCCACTAGCAGTGTAGAAGTGTTCCCTTTTTACCGCATCCATGCCAACATCTATTATTTTTTAATTTTTTTATAATGACCATTCTCACGGGAGTAAAGTGGCATTGCATTGTGGTTTTGATTTGCATTTCCCTGATCATTAGTGATGTTGAGCATTTTTATACGTTTGTTGGCCATTTGTATATCTTCTCTTGAGAATTGTCTATTCATGTCCTTAGCCCACTTTTTGATGGGATTATTTGTTTTTTCTTGCTAATTTGTTTGAGTTGCTTGTAGATTCTGGATATTAGTCCTTTTTGAATAGATAGATTCTGAAGATTTCCTCGCACTCTGTCTGTTGTCTGTTTATTGTGATGACTGTTCCTTTTGCTGTGCAGAACTCTTTAGTTTAATTAAGTTCCACTTACTTATCTTTGTTTTAGTTTCGTTTGCTTTTGGGTTCTTGGTCATGAAGTCTTTGACTAAGCCAATGCCTAGAAGAGTTTTTCTGATGTTATCGTTTAAAATTTTTACAGTTTCAGGTCTTGGATTTAAGTCCTTGATCCATCTTGAGATGATTTTTGTATAAGGTGAGAGATGAGGATCTAGTTTCATTCTCCTACATGTGGCTTGCCAATTATGCCAGCACCATTTGTTGAATAGGGTGTCCTTTCCCCACTTTATGTTTTTGTTTGCTTTGATGAAAATCAGTTGGCTGTAGGCATTTGGGTTTATTTCTGGGTCCTCTATTCTTTAAGATTTGTCTATGTGCCTGTTTTTATACCGGTGTCATGCTGTTTTGGTGACTATGGACTTCTAGTATAGTTTGAAGTTGGGGAATGTGATGCCTCCAGATTTGTTCTTTTTGCTTAGTCTTCCTTTGGCTATGCAGGCTCTTTTTTGGTTCCATGTGAATTTTAGGATTTTTTTTTCCTAGTTCTGTGAAGAATGATGGTGGCTTTTTTATGAGAATTGCAATGACATTTGTAGATTTCTTTTGGCAGTATTCTTTTTCACAATGTTGATTCTACCCATCCATGAGCATGGGATTTGTTTCCATTTGTTTGTGTCATCTGTGTTTTCTTTCAGTAGTGTTTTGTGGTTTTCCTTGTAGAGATCTTTCACCTCCTTGGTTATGTATATTTGTAAGTATTTTATTTATTTTGTGGCTATTGTGAAAGGGGTTGAGTTCTTGATTTGATTCTCAGCTTGGTCACTGTTGGTGCATAGCAGAGCTACTGATTTGTGTACATTAATTTTGTATCCTGAAACTTTGCTGAATTCATTTATCAGTTCCTGGAGTGTTTTGGAGAAGTCTTTATGGTTTCTATGTATACAATCATATCATCAGCAAACAGTTACAGTTTGACTACCTCTTTACCGATTTGGAGGCCCTTTATTTCTTTCTCTTGTCTGATTGCTCTGGCTAGGACTTCCAGTACTATGTTGAACATAAGTGGTGAGAGTGGGCATACTTTTCTTGTTCCATTTCTCAGAGGAAATGCTTTCAACTTTTCCCTGTTCAGTATTATGTTGGCTGTGTGTTTGCCATAGATGGCTTTTATTACATTGAGGTATGTCCTTTGTATGCCGATTTTGCTGAGAGTTTTAATCATGAAGGGATGCTGGCTTTTGTCAGATGCTTTTTCTGCATCTATTGAGATAATCATGTGATTTTTGTTTTTAATTCTGTTTATGGGGTGTATCGCATTTATTGACTTGTGTATGTTTAACCATCCCTGCATCCCCTGTATGAAACTTACTTTATCATGATGGATTATGTTTTTAATATGCTGTTGGATTCCATTAGCTAGTGTTTTGTTAAGGATTTTTGTATCTATGTTTATCAGGGATATTTGTAACCCGCACGGACCTTGGGGACTGAACAAAGAGGGCAAACGCTGGAATGAAAAAGACAAAAGTACGTTTGGAAGAAGGGGTCAGGGGGCACCTTGCCTCTAGTGGACCAGGGCCCTGAGCTTTTTCAGCCCTCCGAATTTATTAAGTAAGAGAGATAACGAGAAGGTGGGGGGGGTGATTGTCAGGTAATTGTCACTCAGCCGTTTGGTTCACAGCAGGCTTGTGAGACTGCATCCTTCGAACAATAGGTGCTAGATTTCCCAGTATATAACTTCAAGGAGCCCAGCACCAGGGAGTGATGGCCCTGAGCAAACTTTTTGGTGGCAGGCGCAGTGTGAGTTTGCCTACATCCTGTATTCATGATAAACAGTTTGCTGTTTGATCATATAGCCTTCAGTGGAATGCTGAGTTGATCACATCCCATGGGCCTTTGGCTCCCTACATATCCCCCTTTGTGTTTACAAATTAATAGAAAGAATGTAAGTCCAGGCTTGGCAGCACCCATTTTCTGATTGGCGGTCCATCCGATTTTACAGACTATGAACAGAAGACAGAGACAAAACAACATTATTCCAAGAACTACATATAAGATGTTAATGTGGTGCCTTACATAGATCCAAGGATTGAGGCTCTCCAAGCCTTGCTGGAATTCAGTCCAGTCTTCTAAAGAAGGCTGAAATTCCTGAGTTCGCCTATTTAAATCAAGAATTTTGTTTTGTAACTCACCAATATCAAAGGTGATGATGGATGTGAAAGCTCCCTACAAATGGGCTTTCACAGGGTCCCATGGATACTCACTTTTTTTATATTCTAAGTTTGTTACACAAATACGAGTGTGGTTAAAATGACAATGCAATTGCTGCTGCAACTGCAAGATTTGTACTTGTTCTCCTAACCATAGAAACATGGATTTCAACATTGGCCCTTCAGTTTGTAACTCAGTGTAGCCACGCTTGGTTGGCTGTGCACATCCAGTTCTCCATGTACTGAGCTGTTTGAATAGAATGATGCAAAGCTACAGAGGACATCACAACAGAAGTCATTAGTGTGACCAAGGAAACAATAGCAAAAATTATCATGCCTAAGGCTCTACGGACACAATGAGTAAGCTGAGTTAGAAGAAGTTTCAACAAAATGCAAGGCAAGGGTGGCAACCCAAGGCTCAGACAGATTAATAGGAATCCATAGCCCAGGGATGCAACCTAAAATCAAAGTAGAGATATTATGTGTTTGCAATGTGCTATGATTAATGCAGTGATACAAATGGCAAGATTTACAGGTCAATTGGATACTGTTTACCTGGAGCTGGTCCTTCTTAGCTGACAAAAAGTCATAAGGATTAAAAACACAAACTGTAAATTGAGTGGTGATATTCTTTACAAATGTAACATTAAGACTGCATTGCTTACTATTGCTATTATTGGATAGTATCCCAATTGAGATGCTGTCATTCATAAATGGGAGTGCTGCCTTCCAATTCATCTCTTGAATTGGTCTTTTCCTCCCTAGATAATGCCACTGAGGAAGAGGCAGGCTAAAGCCTGCTCCATGCCAAGCAATCTGGGCAGCAGACTGGGATTGAATCCTGGTGTTATATAAAGAAGAAGTATTAAAAGCTCGCCACCAATGCCAGCGAAGTTTGTGCCACGATTTCTGATTTTCGTCCTTTCCATCTAATTGACCTTTAGGTCCCCAATCCACAATGTCTCCCGTTAACATAGATTGTTTTCTAGCCAGTGGGCCAAGACACTGGGTCCATGGAAGGGGGTAGGAAATATTGAAGGGAATCCATTCCATATAGTCAGCACAATTAGGGCGATTGGGCCTGGAATGGTTGGTTAGCACACCAGTTACATTAATAGAACCAAGACTTAATAAGTACATGAGTTTTCCATAGTGACTCAACCATGTTTGAGCTTGAATTGTAAGACAGCTATGGCTGAGTGACATCTTTGTGGTGGTACACAAAGGAATTCCTTCCAGTGGAGTGGTAAAATTAATGACAGTATTCTGAGAGTCTAATTGTTCTATGTCAGGGGGAGTTAGGGGTCCTGGAGCCCACTCTCCCCAGTCGTGATAAATCCCAGGAGGAGTGTCACTCCAAAGTATAGGTCATACTGCTGGGGAATTTGGAACATATGCCCAATATGTTTTTGCCTTTGCACAGGGAAAAAATACCGCAGAGGACATTAAGGCTAACATGGTCACAAACATGGAATCGGGTTTTTGTCTGGCCTTGATGCTCCAGTAGTTTCTCAGCTTCCTGCATGGTTTTCTTGAGTTGTCCCCAGGTTATGGGGGTTGATGTCGTCATGACGCTGGTCAACCTCTCCGTCTTTGTACTCAGGCTCAGCTGGCTCATGGCTCATACCAGAGGGACCGGGCCCATGGTTGGCCACCCTGGGTTCCTCCAGTCTCCCATTCCACGGCTGCATCCACCTTGAGGACACCCACACGGTTTGTCAATCTCCTGTAAAAACACAAGCATACCCTCGTCCCCACATCAGTAAATCCACCAGACCTTTCCATTGTCCCTCTTCTGCGGATTTCCATAACACTTTCAGATAAATTTTTGTCTTTGCCTCTAACACTTGTCAATGCCTTTCTGCTGGAGTCTTACCATCTGTACCAGGAATCAAAAAATTTAAAGTAAATAAGTCTAAATGTAGTTTTGATTGAGGTGGTAGTTGTCCTCTTATACCCCCTTTTTGTCTTTTCAACATGTGTTGTAATGTTTGATTGTAATGCCTTGTCCTCTAGGATTATAAGGAATTCCTGTTTTATGGGTTATTGTCCAAAGCTGTAAGAAATTTTGAAAAGCATGACTAGTATAAGTGGGTCCATTGTCAGTTCTTAATTGTTTACGTATCTCCATATGAGCAAATGATGACAGACAATGTTGCCATACATGACCAGCTGTCTCATCTGTTTGGCATGTATCATGCAGCATATGAGAATAAGTGCCTATAGTCACACGAACATAAACAAATTATGCAGTTTTGGGTCTAGTGGACTTTTAATTGTAGCAGTTTCTATGTGACTGGTTACATTTACAACATAAGCTGAATCACTGACAATGTTGATAGGATCTGAAACTGTAAGCTATAAAACCTGAATGATTGCAATTAGCTCTGAGCATTGAGCTGAAACCCCAGAGGTCATTATTGCTTCTGGACTTTTTTGGAATAACAAATACCAGTGAATTCCAGGGGCTAACTGACTTTTCTATATGTACTGAATCCAAAGGTTCTTTTACCAACAGATGAAGTTGATCTAGCTTCTCCTGTGTTAGGGGCCATTGATCCACCCACACAGGTTTGTCACTAAGCCATTCTAATGGTAAGGCAGTAGGCAGAGGAGAAATATAAATGACCCCCATCAGAAATCCTGACATCTTAGCCCTTTGCTATCTGTTTTTCCAGTTACTAATATCAGGTTAGATTTCCTTGTAGGACTTTCCCTAAACCTTTCCCACCCTGATATCCCATGTTCTTCAACATTTTAAATCTGGGTTATCAAAGTTTTCATTTGTGAGTCTCATATCCTATGCTGTAAGTAAGTCTTGACCTCATAAATTGATAGCTATATTTGCAACATAAAGCTGAAAAGTACACAATTGTCCATCTGGACCAAGACAAGATAAAATCTCAGCACTCTTAGCTTCTCCTACTCCCACTAGGGAAGTAGAAGTTAATTGCAAGGGCCAGGATGGGGGCCAGTTGTCTTTAGATATTACTGACACATCAGCTCCCATATCCGTAAGCCCATAAAATTCCCTTCCTTTAATTTGTACTACACAGGTGGGTCTATTAGAGTCTATGGGATGGGATAGATAAATTTGTCATGTAGCTGTGCTCCCGAGCCATTTATTTTCTCATTTCTTCTTTTGCAGAGAAGGGTGTAATTTACAGGGAATAAGCAATAATTGAGCAATATAGTCTCCTGGTTCAAAAACCCAAAGATCTTGTGACATTAAAACTACTTGAATTTCCCCTTCATAATCAGAGTCAACAACTCCTGGGATTACAATAATGCCCTGTAAGTTAAGATGGCTTTTGCCTAAAATTAGTCCCATGTATCCTGTTAGTAAATGTCCCCAAATACCAGTGGGAACTTTGATGGGTTTATCTCCCCCAACTAACATGATTCTTTCTCTGGCGGGTAGATCTAATCCTGCACTTCCTGGTGTTCCTGGGGTGAGGCAATCAATGTGTTTCCTGAAACAGGGTTGTGGTCTGAACTGGGAATGCCCTCATTGTTTGAGGGGCCTGGGTCAAGGCCCCCATCTCGCTTCCCAACAGGGGGTGCCATTCTGATGAAATTTTGAGCAGCACTGATTAGCCCAGTGATTTCCTTTGTTACAACAAGGACAAAGTTCTGACATTTTTTCCACTGGGGGTGGGGGGTAACTGCATTTTAAGGTGCTTTCTGTCCTGAGATCTTGTGGCATTCCTTTTTAAAATGTCCAGTTTTTCCACAACTGTAACATTTTCACATTTTAGGGTTTGACCCTTGGCTCGTTTTAGATTTGTCAACTGCTAAATTAGCCATTGCTTGTGCTAACATTGCAGATCAATGAAGCTCAGTTCCTACATCCTGACAAGCTCTGAGAAAATTTCCCAAGATTTTTGTACACCTCACAGGTGCCAGTGCACATTTACAATCCGCTAGAGTTAAGGTTAGCATTTCTGCAGCCATGGTATGAGGAATCTGACACTTCACTCCCTCTTGTACTTGTGCAAGAAATTGTGCATAGGGTTCCTGTGACCCTTGCATGATATTTAAAAAGGATTGTACTGGGACTCCCTCTTCAGGAATTGCAGCCCAGGTGCATTTAGCAGCCTGTGCACACTGCTGATAAGCAGCGTCTGGGAGTGCCATTTGACGTTCCAGGTCTGAATAAGGGTCATTACCCAGTAGCTTATCCTCTGTAATGTCTCCGTGTCCAGCAACACAGTTCTGTCTAGCCTGATCTGCACACATTTCTTGTTAATTTAAATTCCCTGTCAGATATGCACTAGCAGACAAGCAAGTTCATGTCAAGTGTTTTACATCAAAGGGTAAAAGATAGATAGCACCAAATGCAGATTCTAGCAATCCTAAAGTAAATGGGCTCCGTACGCCATTATTTACTACACTTGCTTTTAATTTCTTCAACAACTTAAACTCTAGTGGAGTGTGTTCATGAATAAGCTGCTGTGGATTACTTCGATCAGGCCTTACAGAAATAGGAAAAGTGCAAGGTCCTAAGGGCTCTTCAGCTATGGCAGCAGAGGGTAAAATTCTTTGTATTTTTCATTTCTATTTCTGCTACTGAAG
Source organism: Homo sapiens (assembly GCF_000001405.40). Lineage (NCBI taxonomy): Eukaryota > Metazoa > Chordata > Mammalia > Primates > Hominidae > Homo > Homo sapiens. The sequence continues at coordinate 57,104,074 of NC_000023.11, read as the reverse complement.
GAGGTGGTACAGATGTTTCTGCAATTGGAGGAGGTGGTATAGGCCAATTTTTATCCTCCCTCTCCTGTTTTTTATTTTCAATTAGTGCTGTGGGTGGGACAACAGATTCTTTCAGATTTTTAGACTCAGCCTCCTGTCCTGCAGAATAATAAGGAGATAATGGTAGAAGTACAGTACAAATTAAACTCCAAGTGGAAAACACAGAAAAATCAACTTTAAGACCTTTTTGATGAGCCTGTTTTAATCCATCTCCTGCTCTGTCCCAATTTTCCACATCAAAAGTGCCTGCCTATGGAAACCATGGGTTATGCATAATAACATTTTGTGGCTTCTGCAGGTGGTTAGTAAGTGTCTGTGAATTAACCTGACCTCCAGACTGTCTCAACAGAACTTTAAGCAACTGCACATGTTTTTCTTCAACAGACAAATTCTGGCCCATGTTACCCTGATTCAGAAAACTTCCTGTTCCCAGTACCCAGTACCTCTTTAGGGCACTGATCAGTACCTCTTTAGGGCACTAACCTTATATCCACTGCTGGCAGACTCGTTCCAGGGTCCCCGTTCGGCTTGTGAATTTCAGTTCCTCTGCTTCAGCAGACCTTCTTTGTTCACGTCCTCGAAGTCCCTGTGTTTGTTCACCACTTGTAACCTGCACGGACATTGAGGGACTGAACAAATGGGGCAAACATGAGAATAAAAGGCAAAGACAAAAGAATATGTTTGGAAGAAGGGGTCAGGGGGCACCTTGTCTCTAGTGGACAAGGGTCCTGAGCTTTTTCAGCCCTCCAAATTTATTAGGTAAGAGAGATAACAAGAAAGGGAGCGATGATTGTTGGGTAATTGTCACTCGGCCATTTGGTTCACAGCAGGCTTGTGAGACTGCATCCTTTGAGCAATAGGCACTAGATTTCCCAGTAGATAACTTCAAGGAGCCCGGCACCAGGGAGTGACAGCCGTCAGCAAACCTTTTGGCATCAGGCGCAGTGTGAGTTTGCCCACATCCTGCATTCATGATAAACAGTTTGCTGTTTGATCACATAGCCTCCAGTGGAATGCTGAGTTGGTCACATCCCACGGGCCTTCAGCTCCCTACAGATATTGGTCTGTAGTTTCTTTTTTTGGTTATGTCCTCTCCTTGGTGATACTCTCTTCATAGAATGATTTAGGGAGGATTCTCTTTTCCTCTATCTTGTGGAATAGTGTCAATAGGATTGGTACCTACTTTTTTTTTATGTCTGATAGAATTAAACAGTGAATCAATCTTGTCCTAAATTTTTTTATTGTTAGTAATTTTTTTATGATTATTTCAATCTTGCTGCTTGTTATTGGTCTGTTCAGGGTTTCTAATTCTTTCTGTTTTAAGCTAGCAGGGTTGTATCTTTCCAGGAATTTATCCATCTCCTCTAGGTTTTCTAGTTTATGTGCATGTTTGTAGTAGCCTTGAATAATCTTTTGTATTTCTGTGCTGTCGGTTGTAATATCTCCTGTTTCATTTCTAATTGAGCTTTTTTGGATATTCTCTCTCTTTTTGGTTAATTTTGCTAATGGTTTATCAATTTTATTTGTCTTTTAAAAGAACCAGCCTTTTGTTTTATTTATGTTTTATATTTTTATATTTTATTTTATTTTATTTTGCTATAACCTTTGCTATTTCTTTTCTTCTGCTGGGTTTGGGGTTTGGTTTGCTCTTCTCTAGTTTCTTGGGGTGTGACCTTAGATTATCTGTATGTGCTCTTTCAGATTTACTGAAGTAGGTATTTAAGGTTCTCAACTTTCCTCTTAACACTGACTTTGCTGTATCACAGATGTTTAGATAGGACATGTCACTATTATTGTTCAATTCACAGAATATTTTAATTTCCATCTTGATTTCATTGATTACCCAGTGAACATTCAGGAACAGGTTATTTAATTTGTATGTGTTTTATGGTTTTGAAGGTTCCTTTTGGAGTTGATTTCCACTTTTATTCCACTGTGGTCTGAGGAAGTAGTTGATGTAATTTCAATTTTCTTAAATTCATTAAGACTTGTTTTGTGGCCTATCATATGGTCTATCTTGGAGAAAGTTTTATGCACTGATGAATAAAATGTATATCCTGTGGTTGTTGGGTAGAATGGCTGTACATATCTGTTAAATCTATTTTTTCTAGGGTATAGTTTAAGTCCATTGTTTCTTTTTTGACTTTCTGTCTTGATGAACTGTCTATTGCTGTCAGTGAAGTATTGAAGTTTCCCCACTATTATCACATTGCTGTTTTTCTCATTTATTACATCTAGAAGTAATTGTTTTATGAATTTGGGAACTCCAGTGTTATACACATTTATATTTAGAATTGTAACATTTTCCTGTTGGATAAGGCCTTTTATTATTATATAATGTCCCTCTTTGTCTTTTCAAACTGCTGTTGCTTTAAAGATTTTGTCTGACGTAAGAATAGCTACTCCTACTCAATTTTGGTGTCCATTTGCATGAAATATCTTTTTCCATGCTTTACCTTAAGTTTATGTGAGTCCTTATGTGTTAGGTGAGTCTCTTAGAGGCAGCAGATACTTGGCTGGTAAATTCTTACCTACTCTGCAATTCTATATCTTTTACATGGGGCATTTAGGTCACTTACATTCAACGTTAGTATTGAGATGTGAGATACTATTCCATTCATCATGCTATTTGTTGCCTAAGTATCCTGGTTTTTATTTACTGTGTTTTTATTTTATAGGTACTGTGAGATTTATGCTTTAAAGAGATTCTATTTGATGTGTTTCCAGGATTTGTATCAAGATTTCGAGCTGCTTTAGCAGTTATTCTAGAGCTGGTTTGATAGTGTCAACTTCTCTCAGTATTTGTTTATCTGGCAAAGACTGTATCTTTACTTCACTTATGAAGCTTAGTTTTGCTGGATACAAAATTTTTGGTTAACAATTGTTTTGTTTAATGAGACTGAAGATACAGCCCAAATTCTTTCTAGCTTGTAGGGTTTCTGCTGAGAAATATGCTGTTTATCTGATAGATTTTCCTTTACACGTTTCCTGCTGCTTTTGCCACACAATTCTTAAGATTCTTTCATTCATCTTGTCTTCAGATAACTTGATGACAATGTGCCTAGGTGATGATCTTGTTTTAATGAAATCCCCAGGTGTTCTTTGGGCTTCTTGTATTTGGATATCTAGATCTCTACCAATGCCAGAAAAGTTTTCCTCGATTATTTCCCCAAATATGTTCTTCAAGCTTTTAGATATATCTTCTTCCTCATGAATGCCAATTATTCTTAAGTTTGGCTATTCAATATAATCTTAAACTTATTTGAGGCTTTATTCATTTTTTTAAATTATACTTTTAGTTCTGAGGTACATGTGCAGAACATGCAGTTCTGTTACATGGGTATACCTGTGCCATGGTGGTTTGATGCACCCATCAATGCATCATCTACATTAGGCATTTCTCCTAATGCTATCCCTCCCCTAGCCCCCCACCCCTGACAGGCCCAAGTGTGTGATGTTCCCCTACCTTTGTCCATGTGTTCACATTTGTCAACTCCCACTTATGAGTGAGAACATGCAGTGTTTGGTTTTCTGTTCCTGTCATAGTTTGCTGAGAATGATCGTTTCCAGCTTCATCCACGTCCCTGCAAAGAACAGGAACTCATCCCTTTTTATGGCTGCATAGTATTTCATGGTGTATATGTGCCACATTTACTTTATCCAGTCTATTATTGATGAACATTTGGGTTGGTTCCAAGTCTTTGCTATTGTAATTAGTGCCACAATAAACATACGTGGGCATGTGTCTTTATAGTAGAATGATTTATAATCCTTTGGGTATATATCCAGTAATGGGATTGCTGGATCAAATGGTATTTCTAGTTCTAGATCCTTGAGGAATTGCCACACTGTCTTCCACAATGGTTGAACTAATTGACACTCCCACCAACCATTTAAAAGCATTCCTATTTCTCCACATCCTCTCCAGCATCTATTGTTTCCTGACTTTTTAATGTTCACCATTCTAACTGGTGTGAGATGGTATGTCATTGTGGTTTGATTTGCATATCAATAATGACCAGTGATGATGAGCATTTTTTTCATATGTTTGTTGGCTACATAAATGTCTTCTTTTGAGAAGTGTCTGTTGATATCTTTTGCCCACTTTTTGTGGAGTCATTTGTTTTTTTCTTGTAAATTTGTTTAAGTTCTTTGTAGATTCTCGATATTAGCCATTTGTCAGACTGATAGCGCAAAAATTTTCTCCCATTCTTTAGGTTGCCTGTTCACTCTGATGATACTTTATTTTGCTGTATAGAAGCTCTTTAGTTTAGTTAGATCCCATTTGTCAATTTTGGCTTTGGTTGCCATTGCTTTTGGCATTTCAGTCATGAAGTCTTTGCCCATGCCTATGTCCTGAATGGTATTGCTAAGGATTTCTTCTAGGATTTTTATGGTTTTAGGTCTTACGTTTAAGTCTTTAATCCATCTTGAGTTGATTTTTATATAAGGTGTAAGGAAGGGGTCCAGTTTCAGTTTTCTGCATATGGCAAGCCAGTTTTCCCAACACTATTAAATAGGGAATGTTTTCCACATTGCTTGTTTGTGTCAGGTGTGTCAAATATCAGATTGTTGTATATGTGTGGTGTTAATTCTCAAGCCTCTGTTCTGTTCCATTGGTCTATATATCTGTTTTGGTTCAAGTACCATGCTGTTTTGATTACTGTAGCCTTGTAGTATAGTTTGAAGCAGGCAGCGCGATGCCTCCAGCTTTGTTCTTTTTGCTAAGGATTGTTTTGCCTATGTGGGTTCTTTTTTGGTTTCATATGAAGTTTGAAGTAGTTTTTTCAAATTCTTTGAAGAAAGTCAGTGGTAGCTTGATGGGGATAGCATTGAATCTACAAACTACCTTGGGCAGTATGGCCATTTTCACCATATTGATTTTTTTCTGTCCATGAGCATGGGATTTTTTCCATTTGTTTGTGTTCTCTCTTATTTCCTTGAGTAGTTGTTTGTAGTTCTCCTTGAAGAGGTCATTCACATCTCTTGTAAGTTGTATTCCTAGGTATTTTATTCTCTTAGTAGCAATTGTGAATGGAAGTTCCCTCATGATTTGACTCTCTGTTTGTCTGTTATTGGTGTATAGGAATGCTTGTGATTTTTGCACATTGTTTTTGTATCCTGAGACTTTGCTGAAATTGCTTAACAGCTTAAGGAGATTTTGGGCTGAGATGATGGGGTTTTGTAAATATACAATCATGTCATCTGCAAACAGAGACAATTTGACTTCCTCTCTTTCTATTTGAATATCATTTATTTCTTCCTCTTGCCTGACTACCCTGCTCAGAACTTCCAGTACTATGTAGAATAGGAGTGGTGAGAGAGGACATCCTTGTCTTGTGCCGGTTTTTAAATGGAATGCTTCCAGTTTTTGCCTATTTAGTATGATATTGGCTGTGTCATAAATAGCTCTTATTATTTAGAGATATATTCCATCGATACCTAGTTTATTCAGAGTTTTTAGCATGAAGGGGTGTTGTATTTTGTTGAAGGCCTTTTCTGCATCTATTGAGATAATCATGTGGTTTTTGTCTTTGGTTCCGTTGATGTGATGGATTACATTTATTGATTTGCATATGTTGAACCAGCCTTGCATCCCAGGGATGAAGCTGACTTGATCATGGTGGATAAGCTTTTTGACGTGCTGCTGGATTCGGTTGCCAGTATTTCATTGAGGATATTTGCATCAATGTTCATCAAGGATATTGACCTGAAATTTTCTTTGTTGCTGTGTCTCTGCCAGGTATTGGTATGATATTGTTGGGCTCATAAAATGAGTTAGGGAGGATTACCTATTTATTGTTTGGAATAGTTTCAGAAGGAATGGTACCAGCTCCTCTTTGTACCTCTGGTAGAATTCAGCTGTGAATCTGGTCCTGGACGTTTTTTGGTTTGTAGGCTATTAATTACTGCCTCAATTTCAGAACTTGTTATTGGTCTATTCAGGGATTAAACTTCTTACTGGTTTAGACTTCTTGTGTGTATATGTCTAGGAATTTCTCCATTTCTTCTATATTTTCTAGTTTATTTGTGTAGAGATGTTTATAGTATTCTCTCATGGTAGTTTGTATTTTTGTGGGATCAGTGGCGATATTCCCTGTATCATTTTTATTGCATCTCTTTGATTCTTCTCTCTTTTCTTTTTTATTAATCTAGCTCATGGTCTATCTATTTTGTTGATCATTTCAAAAAACCAGCTCCTGGATTTATTGATTTTTTTTGAAGGGTTTTTCATGTCTCTATCTCCTTCAGTTCTGCTCTGATCTTAATTATTTCTTGTCTTCTGCTGGCTTTTGTATTTGTTTGCTATTGCTTTTCTCGTTTTTTTTAATTTTGATGTTAGGGTGTCAATTTTAGATCTTTCCTGCTTTCTCTTGTGGGCATTTAGTGCTATAAATTTTCCTTTATACACTGCCTTCAATGTATCCCAGAGATTCTGGTACATTGTATCTTCATCCTCATTGGTTTCAAAGAACATCTTTATTTCTTCCTTCATTTATTTACTTACCCAGTAGTCATTCAGGAGCAGGTTGTTTGGTTTCCATGTAGTTGTGTGGTTTTGAGTGAGTTTCTTAATCCTGACTTCTAATTTGTGATTGCACTGTGGTCTGCGAGACTGTTATGATTTCCATTCTGTTGCATTTGCTGAGGAATGCTTTACTTCCAATTATGTGGTCAATTTTAGAATAAGTGTAATGTGGTGCTGAGAAGAATGTATATTCTGTCTATTTCCGGTGGAGAGTTCTGTAGATGTCTATTAGGTCCATTTGGCCCAGAGCTGAGTTCAAGTTCTTAATTTTCTGTCTCATTGATCTGTCTAATATTGACAGTGAGGTCATTGATCTGTCTAATATTGACAGTGAGGTGTTGAAGTCTACCACTGTTATTGTGTGGGAGTCTAAGCCTCTTTGTAGGTCTCTATGAACTTGCTTTATGAATCTGGGTGCTCCTGTATTGGGGGTGTATATATTTAGGATAGTTAGCTCTTCTTGCTGCATTGATCCCTTTACCATTATGTAATGGCCTTCTTTGTCTCTTTTGATCTTTGTTGGTTTAAAGTCTGTTTTATCAGAGACCAGGATTGCAACTCCAGCTATTTTTTGCTTTCCATTTGCTTGGTAGATCTTCCTCCATCCCTTTATTTTGAGCCTATGTGTGTCTTTGCATGTGAGATGGGTCTCCTGAATACAGCACACTGATGGGTCTTAAGTCTTTATCCAATTTGCCAGTGTGTGTCTCTTAATTGGGGCATTTAGCCCGTTTACATTTAAGGTTAATATTGTTAAGTGTGAATTTGATCGTATCATTATGATGCTAGCTGGTTGTTTTGCCCATTAGTTGATGCAGTTTTTTCATAGGGTCGATTTTTTTAATAATTTGGTATGCTTTTGCAGTGGATGCTATCAGTTGTTCCTTTCCATGTTTAGTGCTTCCTTCAGGAGCTCTTGTAAGGCAGGCCTGGTGGTGACAAAATCTCTCAGCATTTGCTTGTCTGTAAAGGATTTTATTTTTCCTTTGCTTATGAAGCTTAGTTTGGCTGGATATGAAATTCTGGGTTGAAAATTATTTTCTTTAAGAATGTTGAATATTGGCCCCAATCTCTTAGAGATCGACTGTTAGTCTTATGGGCTTCCCTTTGTCGGTAACCCGACTTTTCTCTCTGGCTGCCCTTAACATTTTTTCCTTCATTTCAACTTTGGTGAATCTGACAATTATATGTCTTGGGGTTGCTCTTTTTGAGGAGTATCTTTGTGGTATTCTCTGTATTTTCTGAATTTGAACGTTGGCCTGTCTTATTAGGTTGGAGAAGATCTCCTGGATAATATCCTGAAGAGTGTTTTCCAACTTGGTTCCATTCTCCCCATCACTTTCAGGTACAACAATCAAATGTAGATTTCGTCTTTTTACATAGTCCCATATTTCTTGGATGCTTTGTTCATTCCTTTCTATTCTTTTTTCTCTAATCTTGTCTTGTTGCCCTATTTCTTTAAGTTGTTTTTCAATCACTGATATCCATTCTTCTGCTTCATCAATTCAGCTATTGATACTTGTGTATACTTCATGAAGTTCTTGTGCTGTGTTTTTCAGCTCCATCAGGTCATTTAAGTTTTTCTCTAAACTGGTTATTCTAGTTAGCAATTCATCTAACCTTTTTTCAAGGTTTTTAGCTTCCTTCCATTGGGTTAGAACATTCTCCTTCAGCTCAGAGGAGTTTGTTATTACCCACCTTCTGAATCTTACTTCTGTCAATTCGTCAAACTCATTCTCCATCCAGTTTTGTTCCTTTGCTGGCAAGGAGTTTTCATCCTTTGGAGGAGGAGAGGCATTCTGGTTTTTGGAATTTTAAGCCTTTTTTCCCTGGGTTCTCCCAATCTTTGTGGATTTATCTACCTTTAGTCTTTGATGTTGGTGACCTTTGGATGGGGTCTTTGAGTGGACGTGCTATTCCTTTCTGTGTGTTAGTTTTCCTTCTAACAGTCTTGCCCCTCTGCTGCAGGTCTGCTGGAGTTTGCTGGAGGTCCACTCCCGACCCTGTTTTCCTGGGTATCACCAACAGAAGTGCAGAACAGCAAAGATTGCTGCCCGTTCTTTCTTCTTGAAGCTTCATCCCAGAGGGTCACCTGCTAGATGCCAGCCAGATCTCTTCTGTATGACATATCTGTTGGCCTCTACTGGGAGGTGTCTCCGAGTCAGGATACATGGGGGTCAGGGACCAACTTGAGGAGGCAGTCTGACCCTTAGCAGAGCTCGAACACTGTGCTGTAAGGTCCCCTACTCTCTTCAGAGCCATCAACTAGAGACGTGTAAGTCCTCTGAAGCTGTTCCCACAGCCGCCCCTTCCCCCAGATGTTCTGTCCCAGGGAAATGGTGGTTTTATCTTTAAGTCCCTGGCTGGGGCTGCTGCCTTTTTTTCAGAGATGCCCTGCCCAGAGAGAAGAAATCTGGCAGTCTGGCCACAGCATTCTTGCTGAGCTGCAGTGGGCTCCACCCAGTTTGAACTTCCCTGCGGCTTTGTTTATACTTTGAGCATAAAACCCCCTACTCAATCTCAGCAATGGCAGACACTCCTCCCCCAACCAAGCTCGAGCATCCCAGGTCGATCTCAGCCTGCTGCTGTGCTGGCACTGAGAATTTCTAACCAGTGGATCTTAATTTGCTGGGATCCATGGGGTTGGGACCTGCTGAGCCTGACCACTTGGCTCCCTGGCTTCAGCACCCCTTTCCAGGGGAGTGAATGCTTCTGTCTCACTGGCATTCCAGGTGCCACTAGGATATGGAAAAAAAAAAAAAAAACCTCCTACAGCTCCTTTGATGTCTGCCCAATAGCTGCCCTGTTTTGCACGTGAAACGCAGGGCCCTGATGGGGTAAGGACCCCAGGGAATCTTCTGGTCTGTGGGTTGTGAAGACCGGGGGACCAGCACAATACCTGGGCTGGAGTGCACGGTTCCTCAGGCTTAGTCCCTCCTGGCTTCCCTTAGGTAGGGGAGAAAATTCCTGACCCCTGGCTCTTCCCAGGTGAGGTGATGCCCCACCCTGCTTCGGCTCGCCCTCCATGGGCTGCACCCACTGTCTAACCAGTCCCAATTAGATGAACCAGGTACCTCAGTTGGAAATGCAGAAATCACCCACCTTCTGCTTCGATCTCACTGGGAGATGCAGACTGGAGCTCTTCCTATTGGGCTTCTTGTCAGCAATCTCCAGCTTTGTTCATTTTTAGAAATTATTTTCTTTGTCTTTGTTGGGTTGAGTTAATTCAAAAACCTTGTTGTTGAGTTTGGAGTTCTTTCATCTGCTTGTTCGATTCTATTACTGAGACTTTCCAGTACATTTTGCATTTCCCTAAGTGTGTCCTTTATTTCCTGAAGTTGTCATTATATATTTTTTTATTATACTTTAAGTTTTAGGGTACATGTGCCCATTGTGCAGGTTAGTTACATATGTATACATGTGCCATGCTGGTGCACTGCACCCACTAACTCGTCATCTAGCATTAGGTATATCTCCCAATGCTATCCCTCCCCCCTCCCCCCACCCCAATCAAAACCACAATGAGATACCATCTCACACCAGTTAGAATGGCAATCATTAAAATGTCAGGAAACAACAGGTGCTGGAGAGGATGTGGAGAAATAGGAACACTTTTACACTGTTGGTGGGACTGTAAACTAGTTCAACCATTGTGGAAGTCAGTGTGGCGATTCCTCAGGGATCTAGAACTAGAAATACCATTTGACCCAGCCATCCCATTACTGGGTATATACCCAAAGGACTATAAATCATGCTGCTATAAAGACACATGCACATATATGTTTATTGCGGCATTATTCACAATAGCAAAGACTTGGAACCAATTCAAATGTCATTATATTTTTTATGCTATATATTTCACTGAAGATTTCTCCACCTATATCTTGTGTCTTTTTTTCATTTCCTTAATTTGGACTCACTTTCTCTGGTGCCTCTTTGATTATCTTTCTGAATTCCTTTTCAGGCAATTCAGCGATTTCTTCTTCGTTAGGAGCTATTGCTAGTAAGCTAATGTGATTTTTGGAGGGTGTTAGAGAAGTTTGTTTTGTCATATGACCCGAATTGTTTTTCTGGTTTCTTATCATTTAGGTAGGCTATGTTAGAGGGAAGATTTGGGGCTGAATGCTGCTGTTCAGGTTCTTTGTCCCTTGGGTTGCTCCCTTGATGTGGTAATCTCCCCTTTTCCTAAGGATGTGGTTTCCTGAGAGATGAACTATAGTGATTGTTATTTCTCTTCTGGATCTAGCCACCAAGCTTGGCTATCAGGCTCTGGGCTGGTACTGGGGTGTGTCTGCACATAGTCCTTTGATGTGAACTGCCTTCAGGTCTATCAGCCATGGATACTAGCGCCTGCTCCTGTGGAGGTGGCCGGGGAGTTAAATGAACTCTGTGAGGGTCCTTAGTTGTAATTGTTTAATGCACTAGTTTTGTGCTGCTTGGCCTCCTGAGAGAAGGTGGTGCTTTCAAGAGTGCATCAGCTGTGGTATTATACAGAGGATCAGGCAGTGGCCAGGACCCTAGAGCTCCCAAGAGAATGTGACCCTTGTTTTCAGTTACCAGGGTGAGTAGGGAAGATCCATCAGGTGGGGACAAGGTTAGGCATGTCTAAGTTCAGACCCTCCTTGGGCGGTGCTTGCTGTGGCTGCTGTGGGGGATGGGGGTGTGGTTCCCAAGTAAATGGAGTTGTTTCCAGAAGGATTATGGCTGCCTCTGCTGTGTCATGCAGGTTGCCAGAGAAGTTGGGGAAATCTGGCTGCCACGGGCCTCAGCCAGCTCCCATGCAACCCAAAGGCTGGTCTTGCTCCCGTCATGCTCCTCCCCTCTACTGACAGAACCGAGTTTGTTTTCAGGCAATGGGCAAGCAGGGCTGAAGACTTGCCCCAGGCTATAAGCCTCCCAGCTGCAATAGTAAGCAGGACTTTTGTACCTCCCCACCTGTCAAGTCTGCACACAAGATTCACACCCTCCCCCAAGTTCTGGCCAGGAAATCTCACATTCAGTGGGAATTGTTACAAAGTTCAGGTGGATATTTTCTTTCTGTGTTATTTTCCCAGTTCCTCTGGCAACCCTCCCCAAGGATCCCAGTGAGTCAAATCAGAAATGGCTTCCCTGGGCACCCAGAGAGCCAACAGGTCTTTCCTCACTGCTTCCTCTACCTCTGTATTTCACTCTGCTCTCTCAATTAACTCAACTTTAGGTAAAGTCCAATCCTCTCATGATCTAGATCTTCAGGTTCCCCAGTGAAGGTGTGTGTTCCAGGGCAGATGATTCACCTTTCCCACTTTCACAGTTTGGACACTCACAGTATTTGGTCTGTTTCCCAGGTTCTGAAGGAGCAATCTGCTTCCCTCAAAGGGACTGTGGATTCTCTTGGCTTTTCTGGTATATTCCTGCAGAGTTCTTGGAGGAAAAGTTCATCATCCAAGTCTCCACATGCTGCTCTCTCTGTTCAATTGGGAGCTACAATTTAGTCCTGCCTCCTATACACCATTTTTCCTCTGCTTCAAAATCCCCAGGTCTCTTTATCCAGTCTACCATTGATGGACATTTAGAATAATTATGTCTTTGCTAGTGTGAAAAATACTGGAATGAACATATGCATACAGGTGTCTTCATGGGTGGAACAATTTATATTCCATTGGGTATATACCCAATAATGGGATTGCTGAGTAAAATAGTAATTCTGATTCAAGATCTTTGAGAAATTACCACACGGCTTTCCAAAATGGCTGAACTAATTTGCATTCACACCAGCAGTGTATAAACATTCCCTTCTCCACCACCTTGCCAGCAGCTGTTATTTTTTGACTCTTCATATAATAGTCTTTGGGCTGGCGTGAGATGGTATCTCCTTGTGGTTTTAATTTGCATTTCTCTAATTATTAGTGAGGTTTAGCATTTTTTCATATGCGTGTTGGCTGCATGTATGTCATCTTTGGAAAAGTGTCCATGTCCTTTGCCCTCTTTTTAATGGGTTAGGTCTTTATTTTTGGTAATTAATTTGTTTAAGTACCTTATAGATGCTGGAAGTAGACCTTTGTCACATTCATAGTTTGCAAATATTTTCTCTTGTTCAGCTATGTTGTATTTTTTTCTCATGAGTTTCAAATAATTCCTTGATTTCTGCCTTTATTTTATTGTTTAAGCAAAAATTATTGAGGAGCAGGTTGTTTAACTTCCACGTAATTCTGTGACTTTATGTAATCATCTTAGTATTGATTTTGATGTATATTGTGTCGTGATCTGAAAATGTGGTTTATATAATTTCAGTATTGTTTTAATTTGCTGAGAATTGTTTTATGGACAATTGTGTTCAATTTTAGATTATATGCCATGTGCAAATAAGAATGTATATTCTGGGAAGTGGTTCCAAGATGGCCGAATAGGAACAGCTCCAGTCTACAGCTCCCAGTGTGAGCAACACAGAAGATGGGTGACTTCTGCATTTCCAACTGAGGTATCAGGTTCATCTCACTGGGGTTCATCGGACAGTGGGGGTAGGACAGTGGGTGCAGACCACTGAGCATGAGCTAAAGCAGGGCAAGGCATTGACTCACCCAGGAAGTGCAAGGGGTCAGGGAATTCCCTTCCCTAGCCAAGGGAAGGGGTGACAGATGGCACCTGGAAAATCGGGTCACTCCCACCGTACTACTGCACTTTTCCAATGGTCTTAGCAAATGGAACACCAAGAGATTATATCCCGTGCCTGGCTTGGAGGGTCCCATGCCCAAGGGGCCTCGCTCATTGCTAGCACAGCAGTCTGAGATCAAACTGCAAGGCAGCAGCGAGGCTGGGAGAGGGCCAACCACCATGGCTGAGGCTTCAGTAGGTAAACAAAGTGGTCAGGAAGCTCGCACTGGGTGGAGCCCACCACAGCTCAAAGAGGCCTGCCTGCCTCTGTAGACTCCACCTCTGGGGGCAGGGCATAGCCGAACAAAAGGCAGCAGAAACCTCTGCAGACTTAAATGTTCCTGTCTGACAGCTTTGAAGAGAGTAGTGGTTCTCCCAGCACAGAGTCTGAGACCGGAGAACAAACAGACTGCCTCCTCAAGTGGGTCCCTGATCCCCGAGTAGCCTAACTGGGAGGCACCCCCCAGTAGGGGCAGACTGACACCTCACACGGCCGGGTACCCCTCTGAGACCAAGCTTCCAGAGGAATGATCAGGCAGCAACATTTGCCGTTCAGCAATATTTGCTGTTTCGCAGCCTCTGCTGCTGATACCCAGGCAAACAGGGTCTGGAGTGGACCTCCAGCAAACTCCAACAGGACGTGCAGCTGAGAATCCTGATTGTTAGAAGGAAACCTAACAAACAGAAAGGACATCCACACCAAAACCCCATCTGTATGTCACCATCATCAAAGAACAAAGGTATATAAAACCACAAATATGGGGAGAAAATAGAGCAGAAAAGCTGAAATCTAAAAATGAGAGCACCTATCCCCCTCCAAAGGAACACAGCTCCTGGCCAGCAATGGAACAAAGCTGGACAGAGAATGACTTTCATGAATTCAGAGAAGGAGGCTTCAGACTATCAAAGTTCTCCAAGATAAAGGAGGAAGTTCGAAGCAATCGCACAGAAGCTAAAAACCTTGAAAAAAGATTAGACTAATGGCTAACCAGAATAACCAGTGTAGGGAAGTCCTTAAATGACCTGTTGGAGCTGAAAACCATGGCATGAGAACTATGTGATGAATGCACAAGCTTCAGTAGCCAATTCAATCAACTGCAAGAAAGGGTATCAGTGATTGAAGATCAAATGAATGAAATGAAGTGAGAAGAGAAGTATACAGAAAAAAAAAAGTTAAAAAAATGAACAAAACCTCCAAGAAATATGGGACTATGTGAAAAGACCAAATCTACATCTGATTGGTGTACCTGAAAGTGACAGGGAGAATGGAACCAAGTTGGAAAACACTCTGCAGGATATTATCCAGGAGAACTTCCCCAACCTAGCAAGGCAGGCCAACATTCAAATTCAGGAAATACAGAGAATGCCACAAAGATACTCCTCGAGAAGAGCAACTCGAAGACACATAATTGTCAGATTCACCAAAGTTGGAATGAAGGAAAAAATGTTAAGGGCAGCCAGAGAGAAAGGTCAGGTTACCCACAAAGGGAAGCCCATCAGACTAACAGCTGATCTCTCAGCAGAAACTCTACAAGCCAGAAGAGAGTGGGGGCCAATATTCAACATTCTTAAAGAAAAGAATTTTCAACCCAGAATTTCATATCCAGCCAAACTAAGCTTCATAAGTGAAGGAGAAATAAAATCCTTTACAGACAAGCAAATGCTGAGAGATTTTGTCACCACCAGGCCTGCCCTACAAGACTTCCTGAAGGAAGCACTAAACATGGAAAGGAAAAACTGGTACCAGCCACTGCAAAAACATGCCAAATTGTAGAGACCATTGATGCTAGTAAGAAACTGAATCAACTAACGAGCAAAATAACCAGCTAACATCATAATGACAGGATCAAATTCACACATAACAATATTAACCTTAAGTGTAAATGGGCCAAATGCTCCAATTAAAAGACACAGACTGGCAAATTGGATAAAGAGTCAAGACCTGTCAGTGTGCTGTATTGAGGAGACCAATCTCACATGCAGAGACACACGTAGGCTCAAAATAGAGGGATGGAGGAAGATCTACCAAGCAAATGGAAAACAAAATAAAGGCAGGGGTTGCAAACCTAGTCTCTGATAAAACAGACTTTAAACCAACAAAGATCAAAAGAGACAAAGAAGGCCATTACATAATACAAAAGTGATCAATTCAACAAGAAGAGCTAACTATCCTAAATATATATGCACCCAATACAGGAGCACCCAGATTCATAACGCAAGTACTTGGAGACCTACAAAGAGACTTAGACTCCCACACAATAATAATGGGAGGCTTTAACACCACACTGTCAACATTAGATAGATCAATGAGACAGAAAGTTAACAAGGATATCCAGGAATTGAACTCAGCTCTGCACCAAGAGGACCTAATGGACATCTACAGAGCTCTCCACCCCAAATCAACAGAATATACATTCTTCTCAGCACCACGTCACACTTATTCCAAAATTGACCACATAGTTGGAAGTAAAAGAACAGAAATTACAACAAACTGTCTCTCAGACCACAGTGCCATCAAACTAGAACTCAGGATTAAGAAACTCACTAAAAACTGCTCAACTACATGGAAACTGAACAACCTGCTCCTGAATGACTACTCGGTACATAATGAAATAAAGGCAGAAATAAAGATGTTCTTTGAAACCAATAAGAACAAAGACACAACATACCAGAATCTCTGGGACACATTCAAAGCAGCGTGTAGAGGGAAATATGTAGCACTAAATGCCCACAAGAGAAAGCAGGAAAGATCTAAAATCGATGCCCTAACATCACAATTAAAAGAACTAGAGAAGCAAGACCAAACACATTCAAAAGCTAGCAGAAGGCAAGAAATAACTAAGATCAGAACAGAATTGACGGAGATAGAGACACAAAAAGACCCTTCAAAAAATCAGTGAATCCAGGAGCTGGTTTTTTGAAAAGATCAACAAAATTGATAGACCGCTAGCAAGACTAATAAGAAAAAAGAGAAGAATGAAATAGATGCAATTAAAAAATGATAAAGGGGATATCACCACCAATCCCACAGAAATACAAACTACCATCAGAGAATACTATAAACACCTCTATGCAAATAGACTAGAAAATCTAGAAAAAATGGATAAATTCCTGGACACATATACCCTCCCAAGACTAAACCAGGAAGTAGTTGAATCCCTGAATAGACCAGTAACAGGCTCTGAAATTGAGGCAATAATTAATAGCCTACCAACCAAAAAAAGTCCAGGACCAGATGGATTCACAGCCGAATTCTACCAGAGGTACAAGGAGGAGCTGGTACCATTCTTTCTATTTTATTATCTGTTCTATTATCTGTTCTATTCTGTTATATCCATTATCTATATAGATATATCTATATCTATTATCTATATCTATATCTATTATCTGTTCTATTCTGTTATCTGTTCTGTTGGTCTATGTGTCTGTTTTTCTGCCAGTACTATGCTGTTTTGGTTACTGTAGCCCTGTACTATGATTTGAAGTCAGGTAGCATGATGCCTCCTGCTTCATTCTTCTTGCCTACGATTTCCTTGGTTATTCAGGCTCTTTGTTGGTTTCATATGAATATTTAAATAGTATTTTCTAGCTCTGGGAAGACTGTCAATGGTAGTTTAACAGGAATAGCACTGAATCTATAAATCTCTTTGGGCACTACGGCCATTTTAATGATATTGATTCTGCTTATCCATGAGCATGAAATGTTTTTCCATTTATTTTTGTCATCTCTAATTTCTTTGAGTAGTGTTTTGTAGTTCTCCTTGTAGAGATCTTTCACCTCCCTGGTTAGCTGTATTCCTAGGTATTTTCTTTTTGTGGCAATTGTTACTGAGTGGGATTGCTTTCTAATTTGAATCTTGGCTTGACTGTTGCTGGTATATAGTAATGATAGTGGTTTTTGCATATTGGTTTCATATCTTGAGACTTTTCTGAAGTTGTTTATCAGCTTAAGGGACTGATAAAGTTGGCCTGAGACTATGGGCTTTTCTGGATATATGATTAAGTCATCTGCAAACTGGTATATTTTGAATTCACCTCTTCCTTTTCGAATGCCTTTACTTTCTCTCACCTGCCTGATTTCCCTGGCAAGGACTTTCCATACTCTATTAAATAGAAGTAGTGAGACACGGCATTTTTGTCTTGACTGATTTCAATGGGAATGTTTCAGTATGATGTTGGTTATGGTTTAGTCTTAGATGGTTCTACTATTTTGATGTATGTTCTTTCACCAACCAGTTCATCAAAAATTTTTAACATGAAGAGGTGTTGAATTTTACCAAAAGCCTTTTCTGCATCTATTGAAATAATCACATGTGGTTATTGTTTTCAGCTTCTTGTTTTTATGATGAATCACATTTATTGATTTGCACGTGTTGAACCAACCTTGCATCCCAGTGATAAAGCCCGCTTAATCTTGGTGGATAAGCTTTCTGATGTGCTGCTGGATTCGGTTTGCCAGTTTTTTGTTGAGGAGTTTTACATAAATTTTCATCAAGGATATTGGTCTGAAGTTTTCTTTTTTTGTTGTGTCTCTGCCAGATTTTGGTATCAGGATAATGCTGGCTTCATAGAATACTAGGGAGGAGCTCCTCAATTTTGTTGGAATAGTTTCAGCAGAAATGATACCAGCATTTCATTGAAAATCTGGTAGAATTAAGCTGTTAATCCATCTGGTCCTGGGCATTTTGTTAGTTGGTAGGCTGTTTATTACTCAGTTTCAGAGCTCATTATTGGTCTGTTCAGGGATTCAGGTTTTTCCTGGTTCAGTCTTTGGAGGGTGTATGTGTCCAGGAATGTATTCATTTCTTGTAGATTTTCAAGTGGTAATATCCCCCTGCTTCTTTCTGATTGTATTTATTTGAATCTTCTCTCCTTTCTTATTTATTAGTTTAGCTGGTTATCTATCTATTTTATTAATTTTTTCTAAAAACAAGCTCCTCAGTTCATTGATCTTTTAATGGGTTTTTCGTGTCTCAATCTCCTTTAGTTCAGCTCTGATTTTGATTGATTTTTGTCTTCTGCTAGCTTGGGAATTTGTTTGCCCTTGGTTCTCTAGTTTTTTTAGTTGTGATGTTGGATTGTTAAATTGAGATCCTTCCAACCTTTTTCTGTGGACATTTAGTGCTATAAATTTTCTCTAAACACTGCCTTAGCTGTGTCCCAGAGATTCTGGTATGTTGTGTCTTTGTTCTCATTAATTTCAAAGAACTTCTTAATTCCTGCCTTAATTTCAGTATTTACCCAAATGTCATTCAGGAACAGGTTATTCAATTTCCGTGTAATTTATTTTATGGTTTTGAGTGAATTTCTTAGTCTTGATTTATAATTTGATGGCATTGTGGTCCAAAAGATTGTTTGTTATGATTTCAGTTCTTCTGCATTATCTGAGGAGCATTTTACTTTTGATTATGTGATCAGTTTCAGAGTATGTGCCATGTGGCAGTGAGAAGAATGTATATTTTGTTGTTATGGGTGGAGAGTTATGTAAAATTCTATCAGATCCATTTAATCCAGTGCTGAGTTCAGGTCCTAAATGTCTTTTAATTTTCTGTCTTGATGATTTGTCTAATATTATCATCAGTAGGGTGTTAAAGTCTGTCACTATTATTGTGTGGGAGTCTAAGTCTCTTTGAAGGTCTGTAAGAACTTGCCTTATAAATCTGGGTGCTTTGATGTTGGGTGCATATATAGTCAGAATAGTTAGATTTTCTTGTTGAGTCGAACCTTTTACCATTACGTAAAGCCCTTCTTTATCCTTCTTGATCATTGTGTTTTAAAGTTTGTTTGTTTTTTTTCCTTCTGAAACTACAATGGCAGCTCCTGCTTCTTTCTGTTTTCCATTTGCTCCATAGATTTTTATCCATCCCTTTATTTTGAGCCTATGGTTGTCATTGGATGTGAGATGGGCCTCTTAAAGAGAGTATACCAATGAGTCTTGGTTCTTTATCCAGCTTACCAGTTGGTGTCTTTTAATTGGGGGCATATAGCCCATTTACATTAAAAGTTATTATTGATACATATGGATTTGTTCCTGTTATAATGATGTTAGCTGATTATTTTTGCAAACTCGTTTATGTGGTTGCTTTATAGTGTCACTGGTCTGTGTACTTTAGTGTGTTTTTGTAGTGACTGGCAACAGTCTTTTTTTTTCATATTTAGTACTTCCCTTAGGAGCTCTTGTAAGGCAGGTCTGGTGGTAATGAATTCCCTCAACATTTGCTTATCCAAAAGGGATCTTATTTCTCCTTTGCTTATGAAGTTTACTTTGGTGAGATATGAAATTGTGGGTTGGAATTTCTTTTCTTTCAAAATGTTGAATGTTGGCTACCAATCTCTTCTGGCTTATAGGGTTTCTGCTGAGAAGTCTGCTGTTAGTTTGATTAGCTTCCTTTTGTAGGTGACCTGACCTTTCTCTCTATCTGCCTTTAACATTTCTTCTTTCATTTCTACCTTGAAGAATCTGATGTGTCTTGGGGATGATCGTTTTGTAAAGTATCTTACTGGAGTTCTTGACATTTTCTGAATTTGAATATTGGCTTCTATAGCTAGGTTGGGGAAGTTCTCATGGATGATATCCTGAAATATGTTTCCAAGTTGGTTTCTTTCTCCCCATCTCCTTCGGGACACGAATGAGTTGTAATTTGTTCTCTTTACATAATCCCATATTTCTCAGAGATTTTGTTCATTTATTTTTATTCTTTATTCTCTATTCCTGTCTGCCTGTCTTATTTCAGAAACCCAGTCTACAAGCTCTGAGATTCCTTCCTTCACTTGTCTACTCTGCTATTAATACTTGCGATTGCATCATGAAATTCTTGTAGTGTGTTTTTCAGCTCTATCAGGTTGGTTATGTTTTTTTTTTTTCTATACTGGCTATTTTGTCTGTCAGCTCCTGCATTGTTGTATCATGATTTTTTAACTTCCTTGGATTGGGCTTCTTCATTCCTATCTAAAATCTGAATTCTGTTTTTATCATTTCAGCCATCTCAGCCCAGTTCAGAACTTGCTTGAGAGGCTATGTGGTCCTTTGGAGGAAAGAAGGCACTCTGTCTTTTTGAGTTTTCAGGATACTTGCACTGACTCTTTCTTATCTTTGTGGGCTTACCTAACTTCAGACTGCTGACACTTGAATGTTTTTTTTTTCTTCTATTTGATGTCCTTGAGTGTTTGACTGTGGTATAAGTTGAATTCAGCCAACTGACTTTGTTTCTGAAAGATTTTAGGAGCCCAGTGCTCAGTTCCCAATTTCTGGGCTGCATGCTCTAACTCTGTAGCACTTATATTGGGCCCCAACTTTGCTCTCTGCCATCTCGAGGTTAGGAATCCACTGTGCTGAGGGGCCTATGTGCTCCTGGACTGCTCCTCACTAAATTCCAGTGAGTGGTGTCAGCCAAAGCATTTTGTAGTGTTGTGACAGTGGAATCCATCCTCGTTCGCTCATGCCAGCAGCAGTCCTGGAGGCAGCTGCTCCAGAGCACTAGTGGGTGCCAGGGTGCTTGCCTCCCTGTGGGCGTTCATCACCTTGGCAGAGGCAATGCATCTGGGGGTGCTGGCGCCTCTGCTGGTCACTGTGTGCACAGTCATGCTGAAGGTGGCCGTTGACTCGGTGGCGGAGCACTGGCAGTTATAGGCCTAAGTGCATTATCTGTACCCCACAAGCAGCAGTGGTTGCTCAGGGCAGGGGAGGATCTGTTGTTCTCTGCACAATGTTAGCACAGGGGCAGGGCACTGGTGGGGACAGCGCTGGCTGGCTCTTTGCCCACCAAGGCTCCATCTGCAATGGTGCTCTGTGGGTCAGGGGAGGCAAACTGCACTCCAACGTGCTGGCAGGGCAAGGAAAGCAAAATCCGCCTGTGCAAACACGTGCCAGAAAAACGATGTGGGGAGTTGCCATAGGCCTGGAGGTGGCTGCAGTATAAGGAGGGAGCATGCAAGCAGGCGCGTGACCATTGTGGCTGCCCAACTGGAGCTCCATGCCAGGTAGGCACAGTCCACCAGTTTAGAAACTGTGGTGTGCACCCCTAACACACCTAAGGCTGTCCTGCAAGCAGGTGCAGCCAGGCCAGGCCCTGGGAGAGGCTAGTACACCAAGATGTGCTCAGGTTGGACTGGCCTTGTTTGATGGGCAAGACCACCCTGCAGAGTTCAGGTTTGACAGTTCCCCTAGGGCTAAATTATCCTATGGAAGCAAGTAGAGCTTAGAGGGATGGCTGTCCCTGACCGTGCTTTACTAGAGATGCTCCTGCACCAAGCCCTCTGGGCTCCACATCAGCTGGCTTACTGCTTCTACCACTTCTCTAAGCAGTTCTCCCTGCCAACTCGAGTGCCCATGGTCGAGGGGTCTCCTCCTGCCAGAGTTCTAGAGGCCCATGGTGAGAGTGCGTTGCTCTTTGCCAGTTAAGTTCACCCATTTCCCTGGAACCATTGGTGGACCAGGAATGAGTCCTGGTGGTGGTAGCCCCATGCAAGGTTCCCAGCTTTCTCCTTCCCAGCTTCTGTAACTTCCCTCTGTCCAACCTCAGTGCCTTCCATCCGAAGATCTGTTAGGAACACACTAGTTTTCTTGGTTTTTCAGAGGGGTCTGGTCCACCTGACTGCATCTAGTTGGCTATCTTGCCCTTAAACTTCTCCTATCAACTTTTATTCTAGGTCCAGAGGGTACATGTGTAGGTTTGTTACATGACTAAATTGCATGTCATTGGGGTTTGATATGAAAATGATTTCTTCACCCAGGTAGTGAGCATAGTATCCAATATATTGTTTTTTTAATTCTCACCCTCCTCCCACCCTTCACCCTCTAAAATGCCCCGGTGTCTATTGTTCCCTTCTTTGTGTCCATGTGTATTTAATATTTAGCTCCCAGTTATAAGTGAGAACACTAGTATTTTGTTTTATGTTCCTCCATTAATTTGCTTAGGATAATGGCCTCCAGCTGCATTGACGTTGCTACATAGGAAATAATTTTGTTCTTTTTTCCTGGCTGCATCATATTTTATGATGTATGTGTACCATATTTTTTAATCCAGTTCATCCTTGATAGGCATCTAGGATGATTCCATGTTTTTATTCTGAATAGTGCTATGATGAACATACAAATACATATGTCTTTATGGTAGAATTATTTGTACACTGGGAATAGGATTTGTATATATGGTAGAATTATTTGTATACTCAGTAATAGGATTACTAGAATAGTAGTATCGTTTTAAGTTGTTAGAGAAATTACCAAACTGCTTTCCACACTGGCTGAACTAATTTACATTCCCACCAGCAGTGTATAAACATTTTCTTTTCTTTTATCATTATTTTTTTAAGACACAGTCTCGATCTGTTGCCCAGGCTGGAGTACAGTGGCAAGATCTCAGCTTACTGCAACCTCTGCCTCCCAGGCTCAAGCAATCTTTCCACCCCTGCCTCCAGAGTAGCTTGGAATACAGGTGTCTGCCACCATGCCTGTCTAATTTTTGTATTTTTTGTAGAGATGAAATTTCACCATCTTTCCCAAACTGGTCTCAAATGCCTTGGTTCAAATGATTTGCCCACTTCAGCCTCCCAAAGTGCTTGGATTACAGGCATTAGACACCAGGCTCAGCCACGCATTCATTGTTCTCCACAACCTTGTCAGCATCTGTAATTTATTTTACTTTATAATAGTAGTCAATCTGACCAGTTAAGATGGTATCTCATTGTGATTTGATTTGCATTTCTCTAACAATTGGTGATGTTGAGCATTTTTTCATATACTTGTTGGCCACATGTATGTCTTCTTTTAAGAAGTGTCTGTTCATATCTTTTGCCCATGTTTAATGGGGTGGTTTGTTTTTTGCTTATTGACTTATGTTTCTTATAGATTCTGGATATTAGTCCTTTGTCAGATACATAGTTCATAAATATTCTCTCATTTTGTTGATTGTCTGTTTACTCTGTTGATAGTTTATTTTACTGTGCAGAAGCTCTTTAGTTTAATAAAGTCTCAGTTGTCCATTTTTGGTTTTGCTGCAATTGCTTTTGAATTCTTTGTCATAAAATCTTAAGCGAGGCCAATGTACAGAATAGTGTTTTCTGGGTTTTCTTCTAGAGTTTTTATAGTTTTAAGTTTTACATTTATGTCTTTAATCCACCTTGAGTTGAATTTTATATGTGTTGAAAGAAAATGATCCATCCTGAATCTTTTGCATATGCCTAGTTACCTATCTTACCATAATTTGTTAAATAGGGGGTCCTTTACCTATTGCTTATTTTGTCAATTTTGTTGAAGATTAAGTGGTTGTAGGTGTACAGCTTTATTTCTGGGTTCTCTAACCAGTTTGATTGGTCTTTTTTATTTTTATTTTTTGTCTTTGTATCAATACCATTCTATTTTGGTAACTGTAATCTTGAATTTTAGTTTTATGTCAGACAGTGTGATGCCTTCAGCTTTGTTCTTTTCCTTAGAAATACTTTGGCAATTTAGGCTATTTTTTTATTTCATATAAATTTTGGAATAGTTTTCTTTCTAATTCTACATTAAACATCATTGTAGTTTGATGGGAATAACATTAAATCTTTAAATTGCTTGGGCAGTATGACCGCTTATCAATATTGATACTTGGTGTCTATGTTTTCCATTTATTTGTATCATCCCTGATTTATTTCTGGAGTTTCATGATTCTCATTGTAGAAATCTTTTACCTCCCTGGTTAGCTCTATTTCTAGGTATTTTATTATTTTGGCCATTATAAATAGGACTGCATTCTTGATTTAGCTCTCAGCTAGGACATTGTTGGTGTATAGGAATGCTACAGACTTTTGTACATTAATTTTTATGCTGAAAGTTTGACTAGTATTGAAGTTGTTTATCATATCTAGAGGCTATTGGAAATAGACTATAAAGTTTTCTAGGTATAGCATCAAATCATCTCCTAAGAGAGAGAGTTTGACTCTCTCTGTTACTGTTTGGATGCATTTTATTTATTTCTCTTGCCTAATTGCTCTGGCTAGGACTTCCAGAAATATGCCAAACTGCAGCGGTGAAGGTGGGTGTCTTTATCTTGTTTCAGTTATCAAGTGGAATGCTTTCAGCTTTTGCCATTCACTATGATGTTGGCTGTGGGTTTGTCATAGATGGCTTTTATTGTGTTGTGGTATTTTCTTTTGATGACAAGTTTTTTTTAGGGTTTTTAAGAAAAGAGAATGTTGAATTCTATCAAAAGTGTTTTCTTCTTTGTTAAAAGATACTTTATGTTCAGAGACTGTCAACGTATTTCTTTTTGCCAATTAATATATCAATCAACTTGAAGTCCTATTAATAGACTAAAAGTACAATGTCTATTCTTTAAAAAATAAAATTTTGCTAAATTTCTTTTATAAGGTAACAATCTTAAAGAATACCTTAGCCAAAAAACCACCAGAAATACTTTTGTAAAAAACTCTCTTTTTTTATATACTTTTTTATTATACTTTAAGTTCTAGGGTACATGTGCACAACGTGCAGATTCGTTACATATGTATACATGTGCCATGCTGGTGTGCTGCACCCATTAACTCATCATTTACATTCGGTATATCTCCTAATGCTATCCCTCCCCCCTGTCCCACCCCACAACAGGTCCCAGTGTGTGATGTTCCCCTTCCTGTGTCCATGTGTTCTCAGTATTCAATTCCCACCTATGAATGAGAACATGTGGTATTTGGTTTTTTGTCTTTGCAATAGTTTGCTGAGAACGGTGGTTTCCAGCTTCATCCATGTTCCTACAAAGGACATGAACTCATCAGTTTTTATGGCTGCATAGTATTCCATGGTGTATATGTGCCACATTTTCTTAATCCAGTCTATCATTGTTGGACATTTGGGTTGGTTCCAAGTCTTTGCTATTGTGAATAGTGCCACAATAAACATACATGCACATGTGTCTTTATAGCAGCATGATTTATAATCCTTTGGGTATATACCCAGTAATGGGATGGCTGAGTCAAATGATATTTCTAGTTCTAGATCCTTGAGGAATCGCCACACTGTCTTCCACAATGGTTGAACTAGTTTCCAGTCCCACCAACAGTGTAAAAGTGTTCCTGTTTCTCCACATCCTCTCCAGCACCTGTTGTTTCCTGACTTTTTAATGATTGCCATTCTAACTGGTGTGAGATGGTATCTCACTGTGGTTTTGATTTGCATTTCTCTGATGGCCAGTGATGAAGAGCATTTTTTCATGTGTCTGTTGGCTGCATAAATGTCTTCTTTTGAGAAGTGTCTGTTCATATCCTTCACCTACTTTTTGATGGGGTTGTTTCTGCACAGCAAAAGAAACTACCATCAGAGTGAACAGGCAACCTACAGAATGGGAGAAAATTTTTGCAATCTACTCATCTGACAAAGGGCTAATATCCAGAATCTACAAAGAAATCAAACAAATTTACAAGAAAAAAACAAACAACCCCATAATATATATATACTATTATATATATTTATATATATATTTATATATATTTATTTATTTATATTTATATATATTTATTTATATATATATTTATAAATAAATTGGGGACAGAAAATCCTCTTCAATAAATGGTGCTGGGAGAACTGGCAAGTCAGAAAAATGAAACCAGTTCCTCATCTCTCACCTCATACAAAAATCAACTCAAGATGGATCAAAGACTTAAATCTGACACCTGAAGCCATAAAAATAAAAAAATTTAAAAAAACTCTTCTGGACATTGATTTAGGCAAATAATTCATGACAAAGATCCCAAAAGCAAATGCAGCAAAAACAAAAATAAATAAATGGGACCTAATTAAACTAAGAAGCTTCTGCACACCAAAAGAAATAATCAACAGAGTAAACAGACAACCCACAGAGTGGGAGAAAATATTTGCAAACTTTGCATCTGGCAAAGGACTGGTATTCAGAATCTACACGGAACTCAAATCAGCAATAAAAAATAATAAAAATAAATTAGAAATTGAAAATCCCATAAAAAGTTGAGCAAAGGACACGAATAGACGTTTCTCAATAGAAGATATTCAAACAGCCAACAAACATGATAAAAATGCTCAATATCACTAATCTTTAGGGAAATGAAAATTAAAACCGCAATGAGATACCATCTTACTCCTGCAAGAATGGCCATAATTAAAAAGTCATAAAACGATCGATGTTGGCATGGATGTGGTGAAAAGGAAACACTTTTACACTACTGGTGGGAATGTAAATTAGTACAACAACTACCATGGAACACAGTATGGAGAGTCATTAAAGAACTAATGTAGAACTACAACTTGATCCAGCAATGTCACTACTGGATATTTACCCAAATGAAAAGGAAATCATGATGTGAAAAAGACACATACATATGCATGTTTATAGCAGCACAATTCACAACTGCAAAAATACGGAACCAATGTAAGTGCCCATCAACCAATCAGTGGATAAAGAAAATGTGCTATATGTACACCATGGAATACTATATTCAGCCGTAAAAAGAACAAAATAATGTCTTTTGCCACAACTTGGATGAAGCTGGAGGCCATTATTCTTAAGTAACTCAAGAATAGAAAACCAAATATTGTATGTACTCACTTATAAGTGGGAGCTATGAGGACACAAAAGCATAAAAGCTATGAGGACATAAAGGCATAAAAATGATAAAATGTAATTTGAGGACTCAGTTGGGGGAAATTGGAAGAAGGATGAGGGATAAAAGACTACATATTGGGTACAGTGTACACTGCTTGGGTGATGGGTACACTAAAATCTCAGCAATCACCACCGGAGAACTTATCTATGTAACCAAGAAGCACCTGTACCCCCACCCCAAAACTATTGAAATAAAAAAATTGGAGCCCCAAAATACAATCTATTAAAAACCTTTAATTGCACTTCATCACAATTTAACACTTGCTCTGTGAAAAACACTGTTAAGAAACTGAAAGGACAGGTCACAGAGAGAAAATATTTGCAAATCACATACATAAAAACTCAAAACTCAACAATAAGAAACACAAATCCAGTTTTTTTAAAGGCAAATATTTGAAAGAGACGTTTTACTAAAGAAAATATACAGATGAGAAATAAGCTTATAAAGGGATCCTCAACATCATTAATCATTAGAGAAATATAAATTAAGACCAACATGAGATACTACTGTAAACCTGTGAGCATGGCTAAAATAAGAAATTCTTGGACGGGCTCATGCCTGTAATCCCAACACTTTGGGAGGCCAAGGCTAGCATATCACCTGAGGTCGGGAGTTCAAGACCAGCCTGACCAACATGAAGGAACCCCATCTGTACTAAAAATACAAAATTAGCTGGACTTGGTGTTGCATGCCTGTAATCCCAGCTACTCGGGAGGCTGAGACAGGAGAATTGCTTGAACCCAGGAGTCAGAGGTTGCAGTGAGCCAAGATCGTGCCATTGCACTCCAGCCTGGGCAACAAGAGTGAAACTCCATCTCAAAAAAAGAAAAAAAAAAGAAAGAAAGAAAAGAAAAAAAGAAATTCTCAATATTCCAAATACTGACGAGAATGAAGAGCAAATAGAACTTTCAGGTATTGCTGGTAGAAATGTAAAATGATAAAGCAATTTTGAAAAACAGTTTGTCAGTTTCTTATAAATATAAATATGTACTCAACATAGAACCCACCAATCCCACTCATATGTATTTACCCAAGTAAATTGAAAACATGTTCACAAAAAACCTTGCACTCAAATGTCAATTTTATTCCTAACTGTCACTAACTAAAATCAACTCAAATATCCACCAACATGTAAACAAAAAAACAAACTGGAGGCCGGGCACAGTGACTCATGCCTGTAATCCCAGCACTTTGGGAAGCCAAGGCGGGTGGATCACGAGGTCAAGAGATGGAGACAATCCTGGCCAACATGGTGAAATGACCTCTCTACTAAAAATACAAAAATTAGCTGGACATGGTGGTGCGCACCTGTAGTCCCAGCTACTCGGGAGGCCGGGGTGGGAGAATCACTTGAATCCGGGAGGTGGAGGTTGCAGTGAGCTGATATCACACCACTGCACTCTAACCTGGTGACATAGTGAGACTATGTCTCAAAAAACAAACAAACAAACTGGAATTCTACTCAGAAATAAACAGAAATAAATTATTGGTTCACATGACATCATGAATGAATCTTAAATATATTTTGCTAAGTGAAAGAAGCCAGACCCTTCGTAGTACATAATGTATGATCCATTTACAATGAAATTCTGGAAAAAAAGTAAAACTATACGGAAAGAAAACAGATGAATGGTTGCCAGTGGTTGGGGATAGGAGGAGGTGTTGATTACAAAGGAGCAATACAAAGGAATTTTCAGAGTGATGTAACTCTTCTGTATGGTACTATTTTTGGACATACGACTTCATGCATTTGTCAAATCCATAGAATTGTACACCAAAAAGAGTAAATTATGCCATATGCAAACTAAAAAAATAAATCAGAGTATCAGGAGACCAAAGATACAGACATAGGAATCTAACTATATTACAAATGAATGCTATAAGCACACCGAAAGGGATGAGGAAGAAAAGTAACTTTGTAACTAAATGAATTTAGAAACAAGTATCTGAATACTGTGAGGCTAGAGACAGAAAGAACTATACACTAACACTATTCAAGTTGGTTAATTTGTTTCTCACACTGGTATGAGTTAGCAAGTCTGAAACCAAATTACATATCCAAGGCTTTAACAAGTAAATATATTGTTCCCATTATAGACCCAGGTTTCTCACTGCTGGAGAAAGAAGTGAAAAATAAGCAAATGAATAATAATAGGATGAACACTATGGTCAAAAGGACACAGGAACCAGCCAGGTGCAGTGGCTCATGCCTGTAATCCCAGCACTTTGGGAGGCCAAGCCGGGCAGATCACAAGGTCAGGAGTTCAAGACCAGCCTGGCAAATATAGTGAAACCCCGTCTCTACTAAAAATACAAAAATTAGCTGGGTGGTGTGGTGCGCACCTGTAATCTCAATTACTGGGGAGGCTAAGGCAGGAGAATGGCTTCAACCCAGGAGGCAGAGGTTGCAGTGAGCCGAGATCGTGCCACTGCACTCCAGTCTGGGTGACAGAGCAAGACTTCATCTCAAAAAAAAAAAGAAAAAAAAGGACGCAGGGACCAACCTGAACATGATCCCAATGATCAACAATGGGGACAATTGAGAAATAAAATAAATATAAGTTATCAGATTAAAACCAAGAGAATTAAGTAAACATCCATGAGTACATACTGATATTAACGGATGTTTGAACAAGTAAGTGGAAGGTAAAGAAAGGAAAACAACCCAAAGAACTGTAAAGGATCCAATATTTACTAAAATTACTAAAAATTTGGCAAAGATTATTATACTTACTAGTATTTGTTTTTCTCCTCCTTTCCTTGAGCATTTAGCTAAATTGAATTTCTTAGATCCCCTCTCATTGGGTTGGGACTTTTGTGCCTTATTTTTGGCCAGATGGAATTTTGGCAGAAATGACAGGTGTCATGTATAGGCCTATCTCATAAAATGACTAGAGCTATACTGCCCAATATAGTAGTCACTAGATACATATGGCTATTGATCACTTAAAAGATGGTTGTTATAAATTGAGATGTGCTTTAAGTGTAAAACACAAGATTTTGAAGATCTTGTATTTAAAAATAACTTTAAATACATCATTAATAATCTGATATTGATTGAATGTTTAAATTATAGTAGTTTGGGCATATTGAGTTAAATACAATATATTATTAAAATTAATATTACCTGTTTCTTTTTGCCTTTTTAAAATGTGACAATTGATACATTTTAAATTATATATATATTACTCATCTTAATGTTTCTATTGGACATCGCTGCTCTAGAAAACTTCCTCTCTGTCTCTCTTTCTCTCTCTCACTCTTGCTGTCTTCAATTTTTGGCCAGCTGGATAGACAGGATCTGGCAGAGGACTATGAAGTCACAGAAAATGGTCAATCTTTGACTACATGGAAGACAGATACTGTCTTTCCTGAATTACCAATTATAGAAAAGCTGCCTAATGACCAGGAACACCTACATTTAACTGTTTTATGTGTGAGAAATAATTTTTTTGTATGTCAAGCCACTAAGATGTGTATGGTGTTTGTAACAGAAGTAATTATACACTGACTAATACAAATAGTATGGGGAAGAGTTGAGCAAGATAAAGATGATCAGAATGTTAAGGTCCCTAAGATAGCCCAATTTGTGAAGATAAGGAGCAGAGACCTGAAGATAGTGAAAAAATAAATTTTAATATAGAAGTAATACAGGTCCAAAGGCTCTGAGGTGAGAGACATTTCGCTTGCTCAAGGAACAGCAATGATGTCAGTGTAAAAGAAGCACAGTCAGCTGTTAGGATGAACCAAACACTTAGAATTGCTGATATTTGACCATTTTGACCTATGAATACAGAAATTTTATATGGTTCAATGTTATGAGTGAGAGTAGTAGAAGATGGAATTTTAAAAGATAAGAGGGTAAAGTCAGGTGGGGTTGATCATACACTATCTTGTAGGCTATTCTTGAGTATTTTATTTCCCTCTGAGTGAAATGGGAAGCCACTGTAGTTTTTGCGTGGTATTTAAGTACAGACAATAAAGGAACAAGAGCAAAAGCAGTCTAGTAAAGAGGCCATTGCAATAAACGAGCTATGGAATAAAGATAGTTCAAATCAGGGTGGTAGCAGTAGAAGTTATGAAAAATGGCCAGACTTTAGATACATTTTGAAGGTAGAGCCAACATAATTTAGTGACAAATTAGATATGAATTGTGAGAAAGAATGATATCACATTTATAGCCTTAGCAAACAGAAAGATGAAGCTGCCATTTACTGAGATGAGGAAGTAGGTGTGCAGTGGAACAAGTCTTAGGGGCAATATTGGCATCTCAATTTGAATATATTGAGTCTGTTAGATATCCACATGGAAGATGTCAAGTAGGTAGCTGGATTTACAAGCCTGGAGTAAAAAGTGAGGTCAGGCTAGACATACGTTTGAGGCCTTTCAACTTACAAATGACATTTAAAGCTATAAGCCTATATGAAGTGGCCAAGGGAGACAGTGTAGATAGAAAAGCAGTCTACAGACCGAGCCCTGGGGCATTAAGAGATTGAAGAAATAAAGAGGAACCAATAAAAAAAAAAAGACTAAAAAGTGACCAGTGAGTTACCAAGAAAACCTAGAGAGTTTTTCATGGAAAACAGAACGATCAAGGACTGATGATATATAAAGATGGAGATTAATAAATGATCACTGAAGATCACTGATGATCTTATTGAATGATCATTGGAGATCACTGATAACCTGAACAGTAGCAATTTTCATGGAGTTTGGGGGGAGCAGGCAGGGAAATCAGACTGGAGTAGGTTTTTGAAACAATGTGATGAATGTAATTGAAGATAATGTAATAGGCAAGTATTTGAAGAATTTCTGTTGCAAAGGGAAGTAGAAAAAAATAGAGTGGTACAGCCAATTAACACAGCAATTTGGCAGCATTTAAGAAATTTGAAGTGCTTGTACTTACAAGAAATTATTTCTTCTTCTAGGATGTACTTACAGAAACTCTGGTACAAGTATACAGAGACATTCATTGCAGCACTGTTTGTGAAAATGAAATATTGTAATAAACCAAAATAGTAATCAACAACAAAATGGATGTTTAAATGTATTGTTCCATGGATGCCAAAAATGTCACATGTGTACTCTGAAATAGACTATTTTTGGCAACAGATTTAAAAGGTGACAAGGAGTGTTGGAGATAAAATATAAAGAAAATTTTAAAAATAAAACATCGAATAAAAAAGGCAAACTGCAGAAAATTTAAATGTAATAAAATTTATGTTGAAAATAAAGTTCAGGTAAGTAAGATTATGACAAATCTAGAGTTCTATTTCAGGCTTGCTGACAATGTAACTATTAAAATAAAAACAAAATATTTTCTTGAATATCTTTAAGAGTGTATTTATCTAGTTAGAAAAAGAAATTCTAAATCATAAAGACCCAGAGCCACCTCCCAGAAATCTCAGGTGTGGGCCATGGAAGAGAAGTAATCTTTTTTTCTCACAGTATGAAGGAATTATTCTTCATAATGTACATTTAAAAATACATATGAGATATAAAATACATAGTTTCCACTTGTAACTATAAATATCATTCTTTTTTTGTACCCTAAAAATCTGTGAACTCCTATAAATTATTATTGGTATTTACAGAAATACAAAGATTTGTAGGATACAAAAAAAATGAGTGATGGCGTTAGCATTAGAGAGGTGGGAGGGAACAGGATCAATGCTAGAGGATAAGAGAATTACATTTTATTGGTAATATTTTATTTCTACTTTTAAAAGCCCAAATACAAATGAGTAATGTTAATTCCAAATGAAGAGTATTTGGTACTTCTAATATTGCTACCTACTACACTCTGTAATTTTCAAAATATCATCTAAAAATGGTTTTACAAAGAATTTTTAACAACTAAATTTGCAAAAATAATGCAAGCTTTTTAAGAGCTTAGAAAAAAGGCAAAGGAGAGGTAATAAGTGCTATTATTTTGCTTGGAGCCCAGGGGAATGGAAACAGGGCTTGCAGTTGATTATTTTCTGCTTCAAGTCTATTTTCTGAATTTTACACAGTGTCCACATTGTGCATGCAATTCTTCTGCAATCAGGGAAACGAAAAAAATAAGAAAAAGAAACAAAAAATCTCCTCAAGAAGTAAAGTTCAGGAATGACCTGTCAGGAAAAATTACAAAGATTAGGTCAAATGGCAGACTGAGCACTAAGCACTAGCGCATTTCTCTTGTCCTACCAAAAATCCTCTCCAATGACAAGAAAGGCAGGTTTTTGTATATAAAGAATAACTCCGTAAGGGCACTGGGAAAAGGAAATCTTGAAAGATGGAAAGCAGATGAGGCAGGGCCGCTGAGGGGTTGAAGGTGGAGGTAGGGGTGAGGAGTCTGGGACGGCGGGTCGGGGGACATAAAATGAAAACGTTGAACCTAGCAGGAGAGGGAGAGGGGGCTTTGGACCTGGTACCTGTGGATTTGGGAGAAGGTGCGGTTGGGCGTGGGGGGCAGGAGCCCAGGAGCATCTCTAGGGCCCAGGGCGGTGGTCCAGGATTCACTGGGGTGGGGGTGCTGCGCGGCGTTTGGCAGGAAGCAGAGGCCTCCCTCCTACCAGGAAGCTAAGCTAGGAAAAGAGCGAGGAGATTGCAACAGCAGCAACGGCTCCTGGAAGTCCAGTGTAGCAGAAGGGCCGCCACCGACAGGAAGGCAGAGGGCTAACAAGCCTAGTGCTGGGGATGCTGCTGCCTTCCCTTTCGCCTGCCTCACAACCCTTCTAGACGTTTTCCACGCCTACAGATCCTACCCTCCTAGCTTTTGCAAGCGCTCACTCTGTTAGTGGCCTGCTGATCCTCCTTCGCCACAGGCTCCTAGCAGAGGCAACAGTGAGGGGTCTGATTTGGGCGCGGGAGGTGGCACTGCCACCTCTCCGGCAGTGCGGGAGGTGGGCGGCGCGGGAGGTGGGCCCTGGGCTGCGGAACCGGAGGATGGGGGTTGGTGGGGGCCAGGCGTGAAAATTCGGGTGGGTGCTGGCGTAAGAAATGCAGGAGACTGGGAAGGGTGATTTGAGGGCTGGGGGCATGAGGACCTGAAGAGCACCAGGATGGTATACAAAGGTGGCCAGAAAGGGAAATAGGTTTGTGGTTGGAGCCCAGAAGGAAAATGGAGTTTACCAGGAAGAGACAGGAAAGAGAGGTGAGCACCAGGCGGGAGGCGAGGGATGGGAATGTACGGGGGATGAATACCACAGAGCCATGGGGAGGGGACATGGAGACTGCATGTACAGAAATGGAAAAATGAGGTGGGAGCTAAAAAATGGAGAATGTTGGGAGATGTGATAGGATGGCGACAGAGGGTCAGGGAATAGGCAAAGTAGCCCACTTCCTTTTGCTGTGCTCTCAACTACCACGGCCACCACACCTACCTGTTCTCTATCTCTCTTGTGCAGCTAAACAAGCCTGGAAGGAAGACATTGTAGGCAGGCATCCAAGAGTGTCTTGATATCTAACATTGCTACTGGACACACATGAACAACATGGGTGGCAATGTACCTGGTGCACAGGGACTTCATGATAGAAGAAAAAAACTCATACATTTAATGTTTTTCCCTGGCCTCTCTCCTTCCCCTCCAAATATGAAGACTCTCCTTCACAAAAAGGCAGCTGCAAAGCTGCCAACCAGGGAAGCCATAGGTCACCACACTGGAACTACAAACATGAGGAAGAAAAAGACATCTCCAATGAAGCCAAGAGGAAGGTCTTCCTCTCAGTCCTGCAGACACATGGTAGGCTGCAGAATTTCACATGGATAGAAGAAGGGAGATGAGCCCATCACCCAGTGTAAAGGGACCGTTCTGAATCAGGTGCCTATATATCCCTTTCTTTATCTGGTAAAATATTATGGAATTGACTGTGTTTATGGACTAGAACTTCACAGAGATGAAAGAATTTTAAAGCTTAAAATCCTTCCTCATAAGGTGCCATTCTCACAAGTCAGGGATTTCTGCCTTGCAAATACCATAATTGGCAAAGCAGTGAAACACATGTTTGAGGGAGAGCATGGTTCTATGGATAAATGGAGGGGGATGGTCCTAGCCCAAGCACCTATCATGAAAGCCTGGTTTTATATTACTTATAAGAAAGATCCTGTCTTGCACATGTACTAGCTACTCGATGATTATAAGGCAGGTGACCTCTGCATCATGCCAGAATCAAGTGTGTCTCATCCAGTGAAGAGGGAACCAGAAGGATTTATAGATAGCCTGATAGATAAACATGTGGAATATACCAAAGAAGACGACTCCAAAAGGACAGACAAGGTCATCCACCAAGTTAAAGCCAAACCTGTGTATTTCATCGTTTGATGATGACTTCCATATCTATGTCTACGATTTGGTGAAAATATCTTGTTAGAGTAAAATTTGCTACATTTGTGGAGACAAATGTGTAATACGCAGGCAAACAAAAAAAGTACAACTTTTCAGGGTGTTGAAAGCTCAAGGGTCCTGATATCACAATATTTGCCTGCATAACTGTTGTTTTATGCTGAAAAATACAAATTTATATGACATGTATAAGCAGTTTGTCTTGTTGAAAAGATTGGGTGTGTTTTGTGGATGGGGCATGAAAGGAAGGAACAGCTGTCAATTCCAATTGTGAACAAAGTTCAGCTAGAATCACAATCAGCCATCTAAAATTGCAAGAGACTTAGCTGGTCTGGTGTGGAGCGGAGAAGGAAAGTAAGTCAAGATTGGCTGTGGGGAGAAGGAGAGGACGAGGTGACTTCTTAGGAAGAGGTGGTGAAGGGCCAGAAGTTAGAGGTTACCTGAGGGAGGAGGTGACCTATGTGGAGGAAACATCCAACTGGGAAGGGAGTGAAGAATAACAGAGGAAGAGTGAGCTCTTGGGGATTAGAGGAAAATAGACAGCATAAATGGAATAGAGTAGGAAGCTCTCTACTCAAAGAAGCTTAGAAGAGGTCCTGAGTAAGGGGTGAAAGATCAAGTTGGAAGGACTCTGGTGAGAGACTAAAGGATACACAAATGGAGGGTCTATGAGAGGCAGGAGTCAGGGTGAAGAATACTAAGGAAGAAGGAATTCAAAGAAGAAAGACTGACAAAGGGAGTGAGAATACAGAAGAAGAGGTGTGGACAGTGGGGCCCATCAGAGGTGAGAAGACCCAGAGAAAAGTTGGATTTCTGGCAGTATGCACATTGTTCCCTTAGTTCTATGCACAAAGGAAGTGGCAACTGTCAAGGAAGCCATTTGCATGAGAAGTTCCCTGGAAAGACATTTGGACAAGGATGACTCCATAGAGTTAGGCAGCAACCAAGTTTACACCTATAAGGCTTTCCTTCTTCCCTGGAGTTCATGACGCACCTGCCTAGCAGAACACCAACCCGCAGCCTAAACACACTAACATGGTTCTCCACAAGTGCTGGGCTGTGGGCTGCCTCCTCACATTTGCCCTGTGCTGGATAAACAACACTTGTAGATCATGGATTAGTGGGGCTCTCAGAACTTAAGAGATGTTCCATCTTGCATTTGGAAAGAATTTGATCCAGAAAAACTAAACCTTACTGAACTCAGTTACAGCAGTCCTATCACACTTTTTCCTTCTGTTGGAATGTTTCTTGTCTTCCTAGAGAGGAGGGGCATCAGATAATTGAGCCTAATGTTTTTCTTCAGCGCATGGGGAGTACTTGACTAACCATGCTCCTTTTGGCAGCTACCTGAAACTACAGGTGACTCCATCCAGTGCTCCACAAAAGGTGGCCTACTTCCCCAAGAAGCCCCAATTCTGGCTAGGCACCCACAAGACTGGTGTCTGTGGACTCCTCACAGGTACCTTCCCACTAATTTTGCCCATCCCCAACTTATGGAGAGCTGTGATCAGAGTCTGAGCAGCTCTTTGTTTCCAGGTAAGGCAGATGCCATGGAGAAGTTGGGCTGGGAGATATGACTTTGTATAACTAAGTCCTTCAGCTGTATAGTGGAGGGGTTGAGTTTAGTTGGGAGAGGGAGCAGCAACTCCCTGCTGTCCAGGCTTCCCTAACTCCCTGCATACTGGGGGAAGCGAGGAGCTTTCAAGAGTTGAAAGAAGGTGGTAAATTCAGTTTATTCTCTCTACCCAACATGACCTGAGGCTGACTGCCTCAAGAAATACAAGGCAAGCTCACTCCCTATAGCAGGAATTAATTTTCTTTTATGAGTCCAGCAAACACCAGCAGGCTGCCCAGAGGCCAATTTCAGTCAGCTGCCGAGTTTGGTTTGATCTTTATTTTTTCATTGTTATCTACTTTAAATTAGGTACTCTAAAGCACCTAATCTGGGAGGTTTCACACAATGAAATTCCATGTTTCTGGCCTCTCTTGAAAATGAAACGAAACAAAAAAACATGAGGATTAGGGCCCACATTCCAACAGAGATACAAGCAGCTGGGTCTGAGATAGGGCTCAGTCCAGTTTAGACTCAGAATGCCCTCTCCAATTGGCCATACCCCCAGCTGGCCTGCTTCACTCTAATAAAATGCACAGTTGTCCCCTGGAAGCATTTGTGCTTGTAACTGGGGCTAGACCCTGGGAAAACTGCCCCTTTTGGCTTGCTTTGACCCCCATTCACTTTTAAGTTTAGTTCTTTTATCTTTATCCCACTTTGGTGTGGGAGACAGAGAGTAGCCAAAATATGTAAGTAAATGTAAAGTATTTTCATAGTGACAAGTGCTAAGAAGGAAAAAATAAAGCAAAGAAGTAGAATATGAAATTCCAGGGAGGAGGCTGAAATTAGATAGATAAGGTACCAGGGAAGGGCTCACTGAGAACTTGGCTTTTGAGTAAAGACCTGAAGGCAATGGAAGAGCTGACCCTGTAGCTGTCTGGGAAAGGAATATTCCAGGTGGAGAGACAGCAAGTACTGTGGCCCCAAGGCAAAAGGAGGCCTGACATGTTTGAGAAGCAGGGAGGATGGCAGCATGGCTGGAGCTGAGTGAGCAAGGCAGAGAATAGCAGAAGGTGATTTCAAAGAGGTAGTGGGGATGAGGGAGAGGAAGACGCCTTAGAGCCCTGCAGGTTCTAGAATGCAATTTGGCTTTTACGCTGAATGTTATGGAAAGCCATTCATATACTGATAGCAGAGGAGCAATATGATTTGTCATATAGTTTAACAGGATCACCCTAGGAACTTTGTAGAATAGTCTGTATTGGGTCCAGAGATGGAAAAGGGGAGATTAAATATGCTAATGAACTGATGAGTGACCTAGACACAGATTTACACATAGGAAACGAATTATAATAGAAATGAGATTTCAGATGACTAACGAAAAAAAAACTTTTTTTTAAATAAATAGTACTGTGTTAACTGGCTGTTTGTTTAAAAAGAAAATTTTACAACACTACGTGCAAAATAAATTCCAAGTGAACAAAAAATTTAATACCTAAACTTGGAAAGTAACATGTATAAAATCTTTAAAATACAATGGAAGATAGTATTTATATTTTGAACTCTGTAAATGAGGAAGATTACAAAGGCACAGAATGCACAGGTACTTACTAAAGGAAATTTTAATACGGTTGATTAAATTATAATATGCCATCTCCTACTTGCAAAAATTACCCTATACAAAGTAGGGAAAAATAAGACGTGGCTATAAAATTGGATGACTAAAATTAACAAAATAAGCCATAATATATTCTAAGAAAAAGCAAATGACCCATGGAAATTGGGCAAAAGAATGCAACCAGTTGATTTATAAAATAGGAGACCACATTTTCAATAAAAATAAATTTTCTTAATTTGATCCTTATTACTTTTCTGTCTTTTCCATAACATGTCATCTTTTAATATACTGTGTAATTTACTTAGTTAATAACTTTGTTATACTTACACTTGCCAGAATATAATCTCTGTAAGTGTATGATTTCTCCATCTTTATGTTCTTCAATGTATCGCAAGTACTTAAATGTGTACCTGGCACATAGATGTTCAATGAGTATTTCTTGACTTTATGATTCTCACCAGTAATCAGAAACATGGAAACTAAAATGACATATGCTTTCATACACATTAGATCATCATGTGCATATCAGATCAAACATGTAGGAAATTTGAAAACGTGTTGACCAGTTAAACAAATAGGAGATTCTATACAATGTTGGTGGGAATTTAAGTTGGAGCAAGATTTGCTATCATCTAGTTAGTTTGAAGATGGCATATCACCAGCAACTTTATACAGTCATGTGTCACTTAACACTGAGGCTACTTCCTGGGCAATGCATTGTTAGGAAATTTCATAATGGTGTGGGCATGATAGAGTGCCCTTAGAAAAACCCAGGTGGTATACCTTACTACATGACTGGGCTATATGGTATAGCCTATTGCTCCTAGACTATAAACCTGTATAGCATGTTACTGTGCTGAATACTGCAGGCAGTTGGAATGCAATGGTAAGTTCTTGTGTATCTAAACAAATCTAAACCCAGAAAAGGTACAGTAAAAATACAATATAAAAGATAAAAAATGTTACACCTGTATAGGGCACTTGCCATGAATGGCACTTACAGGACTGAAAGTTGCTCTAGGTGATTCAGTGAGTGAGTGGTAAGTGAATGTGAAGACTTGGGGCATTACTGTATATTACTGTAGACTTTATAAACATTGTACACTTAGGCTATGCTAAATTCATTAAAAATAAAGTATGCTACAATTTTTATTTTATAATTTTGGTACAATGTCAGTGGCTGATAGAGATTTTTCACCTCCATTATAATCTTATGGGAATATCACTATCTATATGGTTTGTCATTGACCAAGACATCGTTTTGTGGTGCATGAGTTGGAAGAAAAGTTCCATATGTGCTTTTCATGCAAGTAAATCACTTTCTACCCTTTGTTTTAGGCTATCTTTTAAAAGATGCTTGAATAGCAGACAGCTTTGGAAGAAAGAGATAGTGTCTCTCTCTGAAGTAAAAACATGTTTGCATAGAGCCTTTGGAAAACAGTGCTTCCCTCTGAAGCAAAGGGAAAGAATGCTTACTCTAGTATGATAAACAGAATGTCTTTTTCAAGAGTAAAGGGAAAGCACAGCTACTGCACATTATAAATGATTGATTTTCCTCGGTTTTACTCCTGTAATGCATAGTACTATGTATGCTGGAGTCAAATGGTCATTTTGTATAGCACTGTGGGAAGTGGGGCTTAGGAATCTAAGGTAAAAATGCTTATATTCAGGCTGTTACTATTGCTACGAATAATAATCCTTTGTCTCTGACCCAAGAGTCTCATGTCTTCTACCAGAACCCTCAAAAACCTGTGACAGATTACCTTGTTAGCTTACAAGTAAGGTAAAAAAAATCGCATAATCTTCACAGTTTTTTGTAATTATAGCAATAAGCCTGAGATGGTAATGAACATGGCTTTCTGTAAGAGAAATAATGAGGACCTTACCAGCCAATTAATTGAATTTAATGGTAATTTATGAGAATTGGTGATAAATGTACAGACCACTATGTATAATCAACTATGCAATAAATGGACCCCCCATTAATGGGGAATAATTGGGGAAGTGGGTTACAGGATGAGGGCTGAGGACTTTCTGTCCCCAGTGAGGATCAAAGGCCATTATATACCTGTGCGAATAGGGTGGGGAATTTTGGCAAAAGGAGAAAATTAACTTTTTTGGACCTTCTGAATATGGTTGCCCAAGTCACTAGTCTACCTGGACCTATGGAAGGAAATGGCATCCAGAATCAGTTAATGGGGTTTGTACTGGGTTTACAATAAGGAAGGGAAGCTAATATGACCTTGTGAGTGAAACCTTTTGGGCCAGTTTTGTACACTCTTGATGTTACCTCTACATCTGAATATATACTAGGAACTGACGCTTGTATTTTTCTGCCACAAAGTGCCAAATGTGGTGCAGCCACATGTAGAAAAGTGTTAATAGGACACAAAAATTGCTCTCCCACAAGCCTCTCTGTCTCCTCCAGGGAAGAAAAAAAGAAAATCACAGCCTTGATTAATGACTTAAAGGAAGCACAGTTAGTAAGCGATACAAGATCTCTATATAGAACCACCATGTACAAAAGTCTAAGGTGAACTGAAGACTTATAGAAGATTATTGTCAAATAAATTTTGGTGTTTCTCCTGTAGTTCTAACTCTTACAGATATCATGACTAACTGGATTCATTACACAGACTGATGGCACATGATACACTGTTTTGAACATTGCCAACTTCTTTCCCATCAACTAGCAATGGAGAATCAAAATTTGTTCAAATTTATGTGATGAAACCTCCAATATATGTTTATAGTACTCTAGGGTTAACTAAACACCACTGCCATTTGCCAGAATTGGATAGTTTAGAATTTAGTGAAGTGTTTCTACACTCGGCTTTTCAAAACTTTCACTACATGGTATAATGATGGTTAGCAATCAGAACCCTCAATCTCAGTAGTGTTGTCTGTGGTATTATCACACATCTCCCAGAAGGAGTGACTGAAAATCTCCAACAAAATTTAGCAGGCTGCTTGCCAAATACTCAATCCTCAGGTAAATAAAGAAAAATTGTTTTCACTTCAGCATCTCTAACCAAAAAGGAAGCCTAACCCCTAACTGGAGCCTTTGGGTACTGAAAACAGTTTCTGATTTCTTGGGCATTCTGCTTTGTCCTTTATATTAGATACCCACAAGTCAATATATTTTTAGTTTGATCCAAAAGAACAGTCCGTGATAAAAACTGTTAAGAAAGCTGTGTAATGTGCTCTACCTTTGGGGCCCACAATCATAATGACACTATTTTTAGTATAATTATTTTATTTAAATTGACAAATAATAATTTTATATATTTATGGAGTACAATATGGTTTTTTCATATATGTTTACATTGTGGAATAATTAAATCAAGCTAATTAACAAATCCATTACATCACACACTTATTATAAAAACATTAAAAATCTACACTTTAGGAATTTTGAAATATATAATACATAACCCTTTTGATCTATAAGTCTCTATGGCTGATGACTCTATAATAGGATGCTTAGGGAAAAAGGCAGAACACTAACATTAATAAAAGTTTTAAAAACATTCAACACGATACAATCTTTTGTAGATATAAACTTATATTAAAAGCATAATAAGTGCATAGAAATGAAAAATTATCACATTCTGGAAAATGGTTACCTCTAGAGAAAGGCAAAGCAGAGAGGCATTGGAGAAAGATACAAAGGGCACTTCACGTGTAATAGTTTAAATTATGTCATCTTCCTTTTTAAAACTAAAAAATAACAAAATTTCACATATTTAGGATTTGGCAATGTTAAGTAGAGGGTGTATATATTCATCATATTATTCTCTATAATTTTCTATGTGTTTGAAACACTTCATAGTAATTTTTAAATTACTGTTTTATATTCCTGACTAAATTATTCATCTTTGGATTACTTTAGCAATGCCTAGCTTTCTCCCAAGAAAGCTCACTAATTAATTGTGAGACTAAGGTATCATTTTGGTGACCTTCTCAAAACAATGAAGCATAATTAAAGTCATTTCCACTCTGAAAATTTTTACCTACTTTTAAATGAAGCCATATAGCAAAAGAAAAATAACAAAAAAGAAAGAAAAACATTTTCTACACCTTATATTTTATAACAGCATTGGAAAATGACATCAAATAGATTAAATATTAATAATTTGCCTATGATACAACTAGTCAATGTGAGGGAGGATGTCTATATTTTTGTGTGTAAATTGAATCTAGCGCTATTTGACAGGAAATCACTTGGTTTTCTTTTCCAGAGATTGCTAATTGCTTATGCAATAGCCATTTTAACATTCCTTAACAAACCTGATTTTGTTTCTATTTGTATCTATTCAGTTTAAAGAGTCTATTATCCATCAATAGACTAGATTGATGGGTAGATCTCTAGCTAAAGGTGGCTAGAGATAACCTTATAACAGAGTTTGGACCAAAAGTATGTAAATAGAAGTAGGATGTAAATAGAAATCATTGAGTAGTAATACCAGAAAAGCTGGCATGTGCTCTTATGCCTTCTCAAATGCTATGTCTCAAATTCAAGGCCTCTATGACCTTGGAATTGAAATTCTGGATCTGCCAAATCAATGCTAGGAACTCTCTACTTTCACACTTCTTATTATGGAAGAAAATCAGCAATGGTTGGACCTAACTTGCACTGACTTGAGATAGAGTTGATTATGCCCATCGTTTCCTATCTCTGCGTTTAGTCACTTCATATTAGTAGCTTGAAATCAGCCATAATGGTAGTAATAACATCACAGAAATCAGCAAATGCCACAAATTAAAACTTCACTCAATCATTCCTTCCACCCCCAAGAGCTAGTTATAAAACATTACCAACATATCACTGAATACAATGCTTTAAAACTTTGTTTCTTTGGGAAGTTTCTGAGATACACAGCTGAAAGCTGAGAAGATTCAGAAGAGAAGAATTTGAACTTTAATTTATTGATGCTTTAATCTCCATAAGGGGAGAAAAATTACACTATGGCATTTTTACTTCTTGGTAGAAAATAGCTAATTAAAGGAGTTTCAAATTATTCATATTTATGGTGTTTTCTATTGTATCTGGCTTTGGGTTACCCATTACTTCCTATCAAAATAATAATAAAGTAGAAATCTTATCCAGAAATCAGGACTTAAAGTCAGTAACTTGGAAAAATCAATTAAAGCAGTAAATCATTTTTAAACACAATTTAAATATTTTACTTTTATTCAAGACATATACACGTATATTATTCTACAAATCATTTTCATGTAACACCAAGGGCTTTCTTGAATGTTAGTCTCCTGATGGAATTTATCCTTGTCTGTCTTACTTGATGAAACAAAACCAATATTTATTAACCATGGTTTCCAGATACTTTTATAGTGGGGCAGGGCTGTCAGTGACTGTGCCGCTACCACATAAATGCAGAAAAGAAAACTTTTTTAGCAAAAGGACTTAAAATCAGTTGTACAGCAAACAGTGCACAATTCTTCCAGGATTCTTTTTCCTCAAACTTTTTTATTTATCTTATTCTCACTTAGTTTAATAGCATATTTTCACCTGGCATAGTGGCTCACGCCTGTAATCCCAGCACTTTGTGACGCTGAGGCAGGTGGATCACCTGAGGTCAGCAGTTCGAGACCAGCTTGGCCAACATGGTGAAACCCTGTCTCTACTAAAAATACAAAAATTAGCCAGGCGTGGTGGGCACCTGTAGTCCCAGCTACTTGGGAGGCTGAAGCATAAGAATCGCTTGAACCCAGGAGGCAGAGATTGCAGTGAGACGAGATGGCACCACTGCACTCAGCCAGGGTGATGGAGTGAGACTCAATCTCAAAAAAAAAAAAAAAAATATTTTTTTTATTTTCAGTTGTATTTCCCTGATTAGTGGAGATACTACACGCATTTTGATTCCCAAAACTAGTCACTGCCATAATCTCAACTCTAAGCAACATCACGTCCTGCACTTCTTTATAATGTTGAAGATTTCTATCATTTATTGAATGTTTCCAAAGAAACTTCTAGGGCTTACTTACAAGTACAGGGAGGACACTTGCCTGAAAAAGAGCAGTAATTACAAAAAAGGTAAGGGCCATAAATAGAATGAGAGTGAGATCAGTGTAATAATCTTATTCCTTGTTAAGCCATAAACCAGCCACACTTGAAGTCAGACATGCACCTTATATTTTCACATGTAGAAGCTAATAAACTACCATTTTTCTTACAGAAATTTTAGTTGAAACTTCTATGACTTACAACTAAAAGATACTTAGCTTTAAAGGTATGTGCATATCCCATATTATGACATATATTCTTAAGTTAATCATTTTCAAGTTATCTGTTGCTACTGAATTTTTTATATTTTTTCATTAATGTAATAGCTATTTAAGAGAGTTTTAATGGGCTGGCAAGATGGCCAGTCTGTAGCTCCAGCGAGATCAATGCAGAAGGTGGGTGAATTCTGCATTTCCAACTGAGGTACCCGGCTCATGTAATTGGGTCTGGTTAGACAGTAGGTGCAGCCCACAGAGGATGAGCAGAAGCAGGGTGGGGCATCACCTCACCCAGGAAATGCAAAGGGTTGGGGAACTCTCTCCCCTAGCCAAGGGAAGCCATGAGGAACTGTACCAAGAGGGATGATGCTATCTGGCTCAGATACTACGCTTTTCCCACAGTTGTTGCAACCCATAGACAAGGAGATTCC
Organism: Homo sapiens; assembly: GCF_000001405.40. NCBI lineage: Eukaryota > Metazoa > Chordata > Mammalia > Primates > Hominidae > Homo > Homo sapiens. Next base: position 57,059,091 of record NC_000023.11, on the reverse strand, counting down.
TTCAGACGGCTACACCATGAGGCCCCTGGGTTTCAAGCTTGAAACTGGGTGGCCATTTGGGCAGACCCTGAGCTACCTTCAGAAGTGTTTTTTTCTTTTTTTTTTTTTTTGTACCCCAGTGTCGGCTGCAACACCAGGAATGGTGGTGGGTGACAGAACCATTCACTCCACTGAAAAGAGAGCTGAAGCCAGGGAGCCAAGTGGTCTAGCTCAGCGAATCCCACCCCCACGGAGCCCAGCAAGCTAAGATCCACTGGCTTGAAATTCTAGCTGCCAGCACAGCAGCCTGAAGTCAACCTGGGATTCTTGAGCTTGGTGGGGAGAGGGGCACCAGCCATTACTGAGGCTTGAGTAGGCGGTTTTCCCCTCACAGTGTAAACAATGGTGCCAGGAAGTCCAGACTGGGTGGAGACCACCACAGTACCTCAAAGCCACCTTAGGCAGACTCCCTCTCTAAATTCCTCCTCTCTGGGCAAGCCATCTCTGAAAGGAATGCAGCAGCCCCAGTCAGGGTTGTTTTTGTTTTTGTTTTTGTTTTTGTTTGAGATGGTTTCACTCTTGTTGCCCAGGCTGGAGCACAATAGTGCAATCTCAGCTCATCTCAACCTCTGCCTCCCAGATTCAAGTGATTCTCCTTCCCCAGCCTCCCAAGTAGCTGGGATTACAGGCATGCACCACAACATTTGGCTATGTTTTTTTGTTTTTTTTTTTTTAGTAGACACGGAGTTTCTCCATGTTGGTCATGCTGGTCTCGAACTCCCAACCTCATGCGATCCACCAGACTCAACCTTCCAAAGAGCTGGGATTACAGGCGTGAGCCACCACAACCAGCCCTCAGTGAGGCGTTTATAGATAAAACTCCCATCTTCCTGGGACAGAGCACCTGGGGGAAGGGGCAGCTGTGGGCACAGCTTAAGCAGACTTAAATATTCTGGCCTGCCTGCTCTGAAGACAGCAGCAGATCTCCCAGCACAGCACTTGAGCTCTGATAAGGGACAGACTGCCTCCTCAAGTGGGTTCCTGACCCCTGTGCCTCCTGACTGGGAAGGCAGCAATCTTTGCTGTTATGTAGTCTCTGCTGGTGATACTCAGGCAAACAGGGTCTGGGGTGAATCTCCAGCAAACTCCAGCAGATCTCCAGAAGAGGGGCCTGACTATTAGAAGGAAAACTTACAAACAAAAAGCAATAATATCAACATCAACAAAAAAGATGCCCACACAAAAACCCAATCCAAAAGTCACCAACATCAAAGATTAAACGTAGGTAAATCCACAAAGATGAGTAAAAACCCGTGAAAAAATGCTGAAAACTCCAAAAACCAGAATGTCTCTTTTCCTCCAAAAAATCACGACTTCTCACCATCAAGGGAACAAAACTGGACAAAGAATGAGTTTAAAGAATTGACATAAGTAGGCTTCAGAAGGTGGGTAAAAACAAACTCCTCTGAGCTAAAGGAGCATATTCTAACTCAATGCAAGGAAACTAAGAACCTTGATAAAAACTTACAGGAACTGCTAACTAGAATAACCAGTTTAGAGAAGGACCTAAATGATCTGATGGAGCTGAAAAATACAGCAAGAGAACTTTGTGAAGCATACAGAAGTATCAATAGCTGAATCAATCAAGTGGAAGAAAGGATATCAGAGATTGAAAATCAACTTAATGAAATAAAGTGTGAAGAAAGATTAGAGAAAAAAGAATAAAAAGAAACAAACAAAGCCTCCAAGAAATATGGGACTATGTGAAAAGACCAGGCCAGGCACAGTGGCTCATGCCTGTAATCCCAGCACTTTGGGAGGCCGAGGTGGGCGGATCACGAGGTCAGGAGACTGAGACCATCCTGGCTAACATGGTGAAACCCTGTCTCCACTAAATATACAAAAAAAAAAATTAGCCAGGCATGGTGGCAGGTGCCTGTAGTCCCAGCTGCTTGGGAGGCTGAGGCAGGAGAATGGCGTGAACCCAGGAGGCAGATCTTGCAGTGAGCCGAGATTGCACCTTCACACTCCAGCCTGGACAACAGAGCAAGACTCCACCTCAAAGAAAACACACACACACACACACACACACACACACACACACACACACCAAACCTACATTTGACTGGTGTACCTGAAAGTGATGGGGAGAATGAAACCAAGTTGGAAAGCACTCTTCAGGATATTATCCAGGAGAACTTCCCTAACCTGGCAAAACAGGCCAACATTCAAATTCAGGAAATACAGAGAACACCACTAAGATACACTTCAAGAAGGGCAGCCTGAAGACACATAATCATCAGATTCACCAAACTTGAAATCAAGGAGAAAATGTTGAGGACAGCCAAAGAGAAAGATTGGCTTCTTTAAGTGTGAATGGGCTAACTGCACCAATTAAAAGACACAGACTGAAAAACTGGTTAAAGAGTCAAGACCAATTGATGTGTTGTATTCAGGAGACCCATTTCACATGCAAAGACACATATAGGCTCAAAATAAAGGGGTGGAGGAATATTCACCAAGCAAATGGAAAGCAAAAAGAAGCAGAGATTGCAATCCTAGTCTCTGATGAAACAGACTTTAAACCAACAAAGATCAAATAAGGCAAAGAAAGACATTACACAATAGTAAAAGAATCGATGCAACAAGAAGAGCTGACTATCCTAAGCATATATGCACAAAATACAGAAGCACCCAGATTCATAAAGCAAGTTTTTAGAGACCTACAAAGAGACATGGACTCTCACACAATAATAGTGGGAGACTTTAACACCCTACTGTCAAAATTATACAGATAATGAGACAGAAAATTAACAAGGATATTCAGGACTTTAACTCAGCTCTGGACCGAGCAAACCTAATAGACATCTACAGAAATCTCCACCCAAAATCAACAGAATATACATTCTTCTCAGCACCACATTGCACTTATTCTAAAATCGACCACATAATTGGAAGTAAAACACTCCTCAACAAATGAAAAATAATGGAAATCATAACAAACAGTCTCTCAGAAAACAGTGCAATCAAATTACAACTCGGGATTAAGAAACTCACTCAAAAACCACACAAATACATGGAAACTGCCTGCTCCTGAATGACTACTGGGTAAATAATGAAATAAAGGGAGAAATAAATGAGTTTTTTGAAACCAATGAGAACAAAGACACAACGTACCAGAACTTCTGGGACACAGCTAAAGCAGTGTATAGAGAGAAATTTATAGCACTAAATGCCCACAAGAGAAAGTGAGAAAGATCTAAAATCGACACCCTAACATCACAATTAAGAGAAGTACAGAAGCAAGAGCAAGCAAATTCAAAAGCTAGCAGAAGAGAAGAAATAACTAACATCAGAGCAGAACTGAAGGAGATAGAGACACAAAAAACTCTCCAAAAAATCAATGAATCCAGGAGATGGTTTGTTGAAAAGATTAACAAAATAGATAGACCGTGAGCCAGACTAATAAAGAAGAAAAGAGAGAAGAATCAAATAGACACAATAAAAAATAATGAAGGGGATATTAACACTGATCCCACAGAAATACAAACTACCATCAAAAAATACTTTAAACACCTCTGTACAAATAAAGTAAAAAATCTAAAAGAAATGGATAAATTCCTGAACACAGAAATTATCCCAAGACTAAAAAAGAAATCAAATCCCTGAATAGACCAATAACAAGTTCTGAAATGAAGGCAATAATTAACAGCCTACCAACCAAAAAAACCCCAGGACCAGACGGATTCACAACCGAATTCTACCAGAGGTACAAAGAGGAGCTGATACCATTCTTTATGAAAATATTCCAAATAATAGGAAAAGAGAATCAGCCCTAGCTCATTTTATGAGGCCAGTGGCATCATGATACCAAAATCTGGCAGAGACACAACAAAAAAAGAAAATTTCAGGCCAATATCCCTGATGAACATGGATGCAAAAATCCTCAGTAAAATACTGGCAAACCAAATCCAGCAGCACATCAAAATGCTTACCCACCACGCTCAAGATGGCTTCATCCCTGGGATGCAAGGTTAGTTCAACATACGCAAGTCAATAAATATAATCCATCACATAAACAAAACCAATGACAAAAACCACATGATTATCTCAATACGTGCAGAAAAGGCCTTTGATAAGATTCAACACCTCTTCATGCTAAAAAAAATTCAACAAACTAGGTATGAATGGAACATATTTCAAAATAATAAGAGCTATTTATGACAACTCACAGCCCATATCATACTGAATGGGCAAAAGCTGGAAACATTCCCATAGAAAACTGGCACAAGACAAAGATGCATTCTCTCACCACTCCTATTCAACATAGTATTGAAAATTCTGGCCAGGGCAATCAGGCAAGAGAAAGAAATAAAGGGTATTCAAGTAGGAAGAGATAAAGTCAAATTTTCTCTGTTTACAGATGACATAATAGTATATTTAGGAAATCCCATAATCTCCCTAATCTTCATCCCATCATCTTCTTAAGCTGATAAACAACTTCAGCAAAGTCTCAGGAGACAAAATCAATGTGCAAAAATTACAAGCATTTCTATACACCAACAAGAGACAGAGAACGAAATCGTGAGTGAACTCCCATTCACAGTTGCTACAAAGAGAATAAAATACCTAGGAATCCAACTTACAAGGGATGTGAAGGACCTCTTCAGGGAAAATTACAAACTACTGCTCCAGAAAATAAGAGAGGACACAAACCATGGAAAAACATTCCATGCTCATGCACAGGAAGAATCAATATCATGAAAATGGACATACTGCCCAAAGTAATTTAGAGATTCAATGCTATTCCAATCAAGCCACCATTTACTTTCTTCACAGAATTAGAAAACATTATTTTAAATTTTATATGAAACCAAAAAGAGCACGTATAGCCAAGACAATCCTAGGCAAAAGGAACAAAGCTGGAGGCATCACACTACCTCACTTCAAACTATACTACAGAACTATAGTAACCAAAACAGCATGGTATTGATACCAAAACAGATATATACCCCAATGGAACAGAACAGAGGCCTCAGAAATAACACCACACATCTAAAACAATCTGATCATTGACAAACCTGGCAAAAACAAGCAATGAGGAAATGATTCCTTTGTTAATAAATGGTATTTGGAAAACTGTCTAGCCATAAGCAGAAAACTGAAACTGCACCCCTTCCTTACGCCTTATGAAAAAATTAACTCAAGATAAATTAAAAACTTGAATGTAAGACTTCAAACCCTACAAGAAAACATGAGCAATACCATTCAGGACATAGGCATGGGCAGAGATTTCATGACTAAAACACCAAAAGCAATTGCAACAACAGCCAAAATTGACAAATAGGATCTAATTAAACTAAAGAGCTTCTGCACAGCAAAATAAACTATTATCAGATTGAACGGGAAACCTACAGGATGGGAGAAAACTTTTGCAATCTATACATTTGAAAAAGGGCTAATATCCAGAATCTACAAGAAACTTGAGCAAATTGACAAGAAAAAACAACCCCTTCAAAAAGTGGGTGCAAAGTATAAACAGACACTTCTCAAAAGAAGACATTTATACTGCCAAAAAACATATGAAAAAAAGCTCATCATTACTGGTCATTACAGAAATGCAAATCAAAACCACAATGAGATACCATCTCACGCCAGTTAGAATGGAGATAATTTATTATTATTAGTTTTTGTAAATTATACATTAAGTTCTGGGGTACAAGTGCAGAACGTGCATATTTGTTACATAGCTATACACATGCAATGGTGCTTAGCTGCAACCATCCACGTGTCATCTACATTAGGTATTTCTCCTAATGCAATCTCTCCCCTAGCCCCTCACCCCCGACAGGCCCCAGTGTGTGATGTTCCCCTCTCTGTGTCCATGTGTTCTCATTGTTCAACTCCCACTTATGAGTGAAAACGTGCAGTGTTTGGTTTTCCGTGGTGTGTTAGTTTGCTAAAAAGCTTGGCTTTCAGCTGCATTCATGTCCCTGCAAAGAACACAAACTCATCCTTTTATATGGCTGCATAGTGTTCCATGATGTATATGTGCCACATTTTCTTTATCCACTCTATCATTGATTGACTTTTGGGTTGGTTCCAACTCTTTGCTATTGTCAACAGTGCTACAATAAATATATGTGTGCATGTTTCTTTATAGTAGAATGATTTATAATCCTTTGGGTATATACCCAGTCATGGGACTGCTGGGTAAAATGGTACTTCTAGCTCTAGATCCCTGAGGAATAGCCACACTGACTTCCACAATGATTGAACCAGTTTACAGTACACAAACAGTGTAAAAGTGTTCCTATTTCTCCACATACTCTCCAGCACCTGTTGTTTCTTGACTTTTTAAGCTACTTCAGCGATTCTGGAAGTGAGTGTGGCAATTCTTCAGGGATCTGGAACTAGAAATACCATTCGACCCAGCCATGCCATTACTGGGTATATACCCAAAGGATTATAAATCATGCTGCTATAAAGACACATGCACACGTATGTTTATTGTGGCACTATTCACAATAGCAAAGACTTGGAACCAACCCAAATGTCCAACAATGATAGATTGGATTAAGAAAATGTGCCACATATACACCATGGAGTACTATGCAGCCGTAAAAAATGATGAGTTCATGTCCTTTGTAGGGAAATGGATGAAATTGGAAGTCATCATTCTCAGTAAACTACCACAAGGTCAAAAAACCAAACACTGCATGTTCTCACTCATAGGTGGGAATTGAGCAATGAGAACACTTGGACACAGGAAGGGGAACATCACACTGTGGGGACTGTTGTGGCATGGGGGGAAGGGGACAGATAGTATTAGGACATATACCTAATGCTACATGACGAGTTAATGGGTGCAGCACCCCAACATGGCACATGTATACATATGTAACAAACGTGCACATCGTGCATGTGTACCCTAAAACTTAAAGTATAATAATAATAAAATTTAAAAAAAAAAAAAGAAAAAAAAAAGAAAACCAGCTCCTGGATTCATTGATTTTTTGGAGGAATTTTTGTGTCTCTATTTCCTTCAGTTCTGCTCTGATTTTAGTTATTTCTTGCCTTCTGCTAGCTTTTGAATGTGTTTGCCCTTGCTTCTCTAGTTCTTTTAATTGTGATGTTAGGGTGTCAATTTTAGATCTTTCCTGCTTTCTCTTGTGGACATTTAGTGCTATAAATTTCCCTCCACACACTGCTTTGAATGTGTCCTGGAGATTCTGGTATGTTGTGCCTTTGTTCTCGTTGGTTTCAAAGAACATCTTTATTTCTGCCTTCATTTCCTTATGTACCCAGTAGTCATTCAGGAGCAGGTTGTTCAGTTTCCATGTAGTTGAGTGGTTTTGAGTGAGTTTCTTAATCCTGAGTTCTAGTTTGATTGCACTGTGGTCTGAGAGACAGTTTCTTGTAATTTCTGTTCTTTTACATTTGCTGAAGAGTGCTTTACTTCCAACTATGTGGTCAATTTTGGAATAGGTGTGGTGTAGTCCTGAAAAGAATGTATATTCTGTTGATTTGGGGTGGAGAGTTCTGTAGATGTCTATTAGGTCCGCTTGGTGCAGAGCTGAGTTCACTTCCTGGATATCCTTGTTAACTTTCTGTCTCATTGATCTGTCTAATGTTGACAGTGGGGTGTTAAACTCTCCAATTTTTATTGTGTGGGAGTCTAAGTCTCTTTGTAGGTCACTAAGGATTTGCTTTATGAATCTGGGTGCTCCTGTATTGGGTGCATATATATTTAGGATAGTTAGTTCGTCTTGTTGAATTGGTCCATTTACCATTATGTAATGGCCTTCTTTGTCTCTTTTGATCTTTGTTGGTTTAAAGTCTGTTTTATCAGAGACTAGGATTGCAACCCCTGCCTTTGTTTGTTTTCCACTTGCTTGGTAGATCTTCCTCCTTCCCTTTATTTTGAGCCTATGTGTGTCTCTGCACGTGAGATGGGTTTCCTGAATACAGCACACTGATGGGTCTTGACTCTTTACCCAATTTGCCAATCTGTGTGTTTTAATTGGAGCATTTAGCCGATTTACATTTAAGGTTAGTATTGTTATGTGTGAATCTGATCCTGTCGTTATGATTTTAGCTGGTTATTTTGCTCATTAGTTGTTGCAGTTTCTTCCTAGCCTTGATGATCTTTACCATTTGGCATGTTTTTGCAGTGGCTGGTTCTGGTTGTTCCTTTCCATGTTTAGTGCTTCCTTCAGGAGCTCTTTTAGGGCAGGCCTGGTGGTGACAAAATCCCTCAGCATTTGCTTGTCTGTAAAGGATTTTATTTCTCCTTCACTTATGAAGTTTAGTTTGGCTGGATATGAAATTCTGGGTTGAATATTCTTTTCTTTAGGAATGTTGAATATTGGCCCCCACTCTGTTCTGGCTTGTAGAGTTTCTGCTGAGAGATCAGCTGTTAGTCTGATGGGCTTCCCTTTGTCAGTAACCCAACCTTTCTCTCTGGCTGCCCTTAACATTTTTTCCTTCATTTCATCTTTGGTGAATCTGACAATTATATGTCTTGCAGTTGCTCTTCTCGAGGAGTATCTTTGTGGTGTTCTCTGTGTTTCCTGAATTTGAATGTTGGCCTGCCTTGCTAGATTGGGGAAGTTCTCCTGGATAATATCCTGCAGAGTGTTTTCCAGCTTGGTTCCATTCTCCCCATCACTTTCAGGTACACAAATCCGATGTAGATTTGGTCTTTTCACATAATCCTATATTTCTTGGAGGCTTTCTTCTTGTTTTTTATTCTTTTTTCTCTTAACTTCTCTTCTCACTTCATTTCATTCATTTGATCTTCTTCCATCACTGATACCCTTTCTTCCAGTTGATCCAATCAGCTACTGAGGCTTGTGCATGCGTCATGTAGTTCTCGTGCCTTGGTTTTCAGCTCCTTCAGCTCCTTTAAGGACTTCCCTGCATTGGTTATTCTAGTTAGCCATTCGTCTAATTTTTCTTCAAGGTTTTTAACTTCTTTGCCATCGGTTCGAACTTCCTCTTTTAGCTCAGAGTAGTTTGATTGCCTGAAGCCTTCTTCTCTCAACTCGTCAAAGTCATTCACTGTCCAGCTTTCTTCCATTGCTTGTTAGGGAGGAGCTGTGTTCCTTTGGAGGAGGAGAGGCACTCTGATTTTTAGAGTTTCCAGTTTTTCTGCTCTGTTTTTTTCTCCATCTTTGTGGTTTTATCTACCTTTGGTCTTTGATGATGGTGACGTACAGATGGGGTTTTGGTGTGGATGTCCTTTCTGTTTGTTAGTTTTCCTTCTAACAGTCAGTACCCTCAGCTGCAGGTCTGTTGCAGTTTGCTGGAGGTCCACTCCAGACCCTGTTTGCCTGAGTATCAACACCGGATGCTGCAGAATGGCGGATATTGGTGAACAGCAAATGCTGCTGCCTGCCTCTGGAAGTTTTGTCTCAGAGGAGTACCCGGCTGTGTGAGTTGTCAGTCTGCCCCCATTGGGGGATGCCTCCCAGTTAGGCTACTTGGGGGTCAGAGACCCACTTGAGGAGGCAGTCTGTCCGTTCTCAGATCTCCAGCTGCATGCTGGGAGAGCCACTATTCTCTTCAAAGCTGTCGGACAGGGACATTTAAGTCTGCAGAGGTTTCTGCTGCCTTTTGTTTGGTTATGCCCTGCCCTCAGAGGTGGAGTCTACAGAGGCAGGCAGGCCTCCTTGAGTTGCGGTGGGCTCCACCCAGTTCGAACTTCCCAGCCACTTTGTTTACCTACTCAAGCCTCGGCAATGGCGGGTGCCCCTTCCCCAGCCTTGCTGCTGCCTTGCAGTTTTATCTCAGACTGCTGTGCTAGCAATGAGTGAGGCTCCGTGGACCTAGGACCCTCCAAGCCAGGCATGCAATAAAATCTCCTTGTGTGCCATTTGATAAGACTGTTAGAAAAGTGCAGTATTAGGGTGGGAGTGACCCGATTTTCCAGGTGCTGTCTGTCACCCCTTTCTTTGACTAGGAAAGGGAATTCCCTGACCCCTTGCACTTCCTGGGTGAGGCAATGCCTCACCCTGCTTTGGTTCACACTCAGTGTGCTGCACCCACTGTCCTGCACCAACTGTCTGACACTCCCCAGGGAGATGAACCCAGTACCTCATTTGGAAATGCAGAAATCACCCATCTTCTGCGTCGTTCACACTGGGAGCTGTAGACTGGAGCTGTTCCTATAAGGCCATCTTGGCTCCACCACCGAATGTTCGCCATTCTAACTGGGATGAGATGTTATCTCATTGTGGTTTGATTGGCATTTCTTTAATGACCAGTGATGATTAGCTTTTTTTCATATGTTTGTTGGCTGAATAAGTGTCTTCTTTTGAGAAGTTTCTGTTCATATCCTCTGCCCACTTTTTGGTTTGTTTTTTTTTTTCCTTGTCAATATGTTTAAGTTCTTTGTAGATTCTGTGTATTAGCCCTTTGTCAGATGAATAGATTGCAAAAATATTCTCCTATTCTGTAGGTTGCCTGTTCACCCTGATGACAGTGTATCTTGCTTTGCAGAAGGTCTTCAGTTTAATTAGATTCCATTTGTCAATTTTGGTTTCTGTTGCCATTGTTTTTTTATTTTGTCATGAAGTCTTTGCCCATGCCTATGTCCTGAATGGTATTGCCTATGTTTTCTTCTAGTGTTTTTACAACTTTAGGTCTTAGATTTAAGTCTTTGATACATGTTGAATTAATTTTTGTATAAGGTATAAGGAAGTGATCCAGTTTCAGTTTTCTTCATATGGCTAGCCAGTTTTTCCAAAAACATTTATGAAATAGGGAATTCTTTCCCCATTGCTTGTTTGGGTCAGGTTTGTCAAAGATCTGATGGTTGTAGATGTGTGGCATAATTTCTGAAGCCTCTCTTCTGTTCCATTGGTCTATATATCTGTTTGGTATCAGTACCATGTTGTTTTTGTTACTGTAGCCTTGTAGTATAGTTTGGAGTCAGGTAGCATGTTGCCTTCAGCTTTGTTCTTCTTGCTTAGGATTGTCTTGGATATGTGGGCTCTTTTTTGGTTCCACATGAAATTTAAGTAGATTTTTTTCTAATTTTGTGAAAAAAAGTCTATGGTAGGTTAGTGGGAATAGCACTGAATCTATAAATTACTTTGGGCAATATGGCCATTTTCATGATATTGATTCTTCTTATCCATGAGCATGGAATGTTTTTCCATTTGTTTTTGTCCTCTCTAATTTCCTCGAGCAGTGGTTTGTATTTCTCCTTGAAGAGGACCTTCACATCCCTTGTAAATTGTATTCCTAGGTATTTTATCCTCTTAGTAGCAATTCTGAATGAGAGTTCACTCATGATTTGGCTCTCTGTTATTGGTGTATAAGAATGCTTGTGATTTTTGCACATTGATTTTTTTATCCTGATACTTTGTTGAAGTTGCTTATAAGCTTAAGGAGATTTTGGGCTGAGACCATGGGGTTTTCTAAATATTCAATCATGTCATCTGCAAACAGAGACAATTTGACTTTCTCTTTTCCTAATTGAATACCCTTTATTTCTTTATCTTGTCTGATTGCCCCAGCTAGAACTTCCTATACTATGTTGAATAGGAGTGGTGAGAGAGGGCATCCTTGTCTTGTGCCGGTTTTCAAAGGGAATGTTTCCAGTATTTGCCCATTTAGTATGATATTGGCTGTGGGTTTGTCTTAAATAGCTCTTATTATTTTGAGATAGCTTCCATCAATACCTAGTTTATTGAGAGTTTTTAGCATGAAGGGATGTTAAATTTTGTCTAAGGTTTTTTCTGCATGTATTGAGATAATCATGTGGGTTTTGTCATTGTTTCTGCTTATGTGATGGATTACATTTATTCATTTGCATATGTTGAACCAGCCTTGCAAACCTGGGATGAAGCCGACTGGATCGTGGTGGATAAGCTTTCTGATATGCTGCTGGATTTGGTTTGCAAGTATTTTATTGAGGATTTTTGCATCAATGTTCATCAGGGATATTGGCCTGAAATATTTTTTTTGTTGTTGTTTCTCTGTCAGGTTTTGATATTAGGATGATGCTGGCCTCATAAAATGAGTTAGGGAGGATTCCCTCGTTTTCTATTGTTTGGAATAGTTTCAGAAGGAATGGTACCAGCTCCTTTTTGTACCTATGGTAGAATTTGGTTGTGCATCTGTCTGGTCCTGGACTTCTTTTGTTTTGTATGCTATTCATTGCCGCATCAATTTCAGAACTTGCTATTGGTCTATTAAGGGATTCGACTTCTTTCTGGTTTAGTCTTGGGAGGGTATGTGAGTCCAGGAACTTATCGATTTCTTCTAGATTTTCTAGTTTATTTGTGTAGAGGTGTTTATAGTATTGTCTGATGGTAGTTTTTATTTCTGTGGGATCAGTGGTGATATTCCCTGTATCATTTTTTGTGGCATCTGTTTGATTCTTCTTTCCTTCTTTATTAGTCTGGCTAGCAGTCTATATTGTTGATCTTTTCAAAAAACCAGCTCCTGGATTCATTGATTTTTTGACGGGTTGTTCGTGTCTCTATCTCCTTCAATTCTGCTGTGATCTTAGTTATTTCTTGTGTCCTGCTAGCATTAAAATTTGTCTGCTCCTGCTTCTCTTGTTCTTTTAAATGTGATGTTAGCAAGTTCATTTTAGATCTTTCCTGCTTTCTCTTGTGGGCATTTTGTGCTATAAATTTCCCTATACTCACTGTTTTAAACCTGTCCCAGAGATTCTGGTACATTGTGTCTTTTTTCTCCTTGGTTTCAAAGAACATCTTTATCTCTGCATTCATTTCGTTATTTACAAAGTAGTTATTTAGGAGCAGGTTGTTCTGTTTCCGTGTAGTTTTGCAGTTTTGAGTGAGTTTCCTAATTCTGAGTTTTAATTTGATTGCCCTGTGGTCTGTGTTCTCTATATTTTCTGTATTTGAATGTTGGCCTGCCTTGCTATGTTGGGGAATTTATTGATTTGGGCCCACTAAGCAGGGATTTTGCATTTAATGTTGCAGCTTAGGAAGTTTAAAAAAGGTTTCAATAGTTTATTTGCTTGGTTAGCTGAAATATGGATCCAAAGATGGCTCACTGTGAATGAGCTGGAAATGCCTGATCTCCCTTGGTTTACTGTGGAGGAATGGATCCAAAGGCTTAGGGAGATTTGGATGCTAGTGTGTATTAGTCACTTTAGACTCACTTGTCCCAGCTGGGAAGGTCCAGAAGACATACCCTTTACCAATACTTTGTGAAATAGATTTGTGAGGGCAGTACCTGCATCCTTGAAGAGCTCTGTGATTGCTCTTCTCTTTATGCCAGATCTTACATTGGGAACCAATCACTCAACTACAAAATTTAAGTGCAATGGGAATAATTGGATCCCGAGGTGGCAAGGGACAAGTGGCATCACTCAACCATTAAAGGCTAAGTAGGCATAGTTACATAATGGACAGCAGAAGCAAAATGGCAATCAGAATAGTCTGACTTGTGTAGAGCTCTGGCACTGGCTAATTAATCACAATGTTCCTAGAAGTGAAATTAATAGGAAGCCTACTGCATTCTTTCTTAATTTGTGTGAGCAGAAAACTTCCAGGTCGAGTGTAAAAAAAACTAATTTGAATTATAAATATAGAGAATCACAGCCTCTCAACTCCAGACTTGAACCAATTTACAGACCCAGAACCCGTTGAATAAAGAGGAGGCTGGGTCTTCTTGAGGAAGGACCCCACTATACTACCTAGAATTTATGCTATTAATTTTTCTTCCATTCTTCCCCAAGGAGTCCTCCAGCCTTTTATCAGAGTAACTGTGCATTGGGAAAAGGAAAATGATCAGATATCTTGGGGACTGCTGGACACGGCTTTGAGCTGATGCTTATTCCAGGGGACCCAAAACATCATTATACTTCATCTGGTTAAATTAGGGGCTTATGTAGGTCGGGTAATTCATGGAGTTTTAGCTCAGGTCTGACTTACAGTGGGTACAGTGGGTCCTCGGAATCATCTGTGGTTATTTCCCCAGTGCCAGAATGCATAATTGGCATATACATAGTTAGCAGCTGGCAGAATCCCCACATTGGCTTCCTGACTGGTAGAATGAAGGCTATTATGTTGGGAAAGGCCAAACGGAATCCATTACAGTTGTCTCTACCTAAAAAAAATAGTGAATCAAAAACAATATCACATCCCTGGAAAAATTGCAGACATTAGTGCCACCATCAAGGACTTGAAAGACTCAAGGGTGGTTATTCCTACCACCTCTCCATTCAACTCTCCTATTCAGCCTGTGCAAAAGAAAGATGAATCCTGGAGAATGAAAGTGGATTATCATATACTTAACCAAGTAGTGACTACAACTGCAGCTGCTGTACCAGATATGGTTTCATTGCTTGAGCAAATTAACACATCTCTTGGTACCTGGTATGCAACCAGTAAGGTCCAGAACAGGAGAAGTCTCTGCAGCAGGTCCAGGCTGCTGCGCAAGTTGCTCTGCCACTTGGGCCATATGACCCAACAGAACCAATGGTGCTTGAGGTTTCAGTGGCAAATAGGGATGCTATTTGGAGCCTTTGGCTGGCTCCCATATGTGAATCACAATGGAGACCTCTAGGATTTTGGAGCAAGACTCTGCTGTGTTCTGCAGATAACTATTCTCCTTTTGAGAGACAGCTCTTGGCCTGTTACTGGGCATTCATGGAAACTGAACATTTGACTATGAGTCATCAACCACCATGCGACCCGAACTGCTTATCATGAACTGGGTGCTTTCTGACCCATCTAGCCATAAAGTGGGACATGCACAGTGGCATTTCATCATCAAATGGAAGTGGTATATACGTGTTTGAGCTTGAGCATGTCCTGAGGGCACAAGGAAGTTACATGAGGAAGTGGCTCAAATGCCCATGCTCTCCAGTCCTGCCACCCTGCCTTCTATTCCCCAGCCTGCACTGATGGTCTCATGGTGAGTCCCCTATGATCAGTTGACAGAGGAAGAGAAGACTAGGGCCTGGTTCACAGATGGTTCTGCAAGATATTCAGGCACCACCTAAAAGTTGGCAATTGCAACACTACAGCCCCTTTCTAGGACATCCATGAAGGATATCGGTGAAAGGAAATCTTTCCAGTGGACAGAACTTCAAGCAGTGCACCTGGTTGTGCATTTTGCTTGGAAGGAGAAATGGCCAGATATGTGATTATACATTGATTCGTGGTCTGTAGCCAACGGTTTGGCTGGATGGTCAGGGGCTTGAAAAGAGTATGATTGAAAAACTGGTGACGAATAAATTTGGGGATGAGGTATGTGGATGGACATCTCTGAGTGGTCAAAAGCTGTGAAGATATTTGTATTTCATCTGAGTGCTCACCAAAGGGGAAGATTTGAATAATCAAATGAATAGAATGACTCATTCTGTGGATACCACTCAGCCTCTTTCCTCAGCCACCAATGTCACTGCCCAATGGTCATGGTGGCAGAAATGGTGGTTACACATGGGCTCAGCAACATGGACTTCCTCAACCAGGCTGACCTGGCTACGGCCACCGCTGAGTGCCCAATTTGCCCACAGCAGAAACCAACACTGAGCCCTCAATATGGCACCATTCCTCAGGGTGATCAGCCAGCTACTTGGTGGCAGGTCGATTATACTGGATCTCTTCCATCATGAAAAGGGCAGCAGTTTGTCTTCACTGGAATAGGCACTTACTCCAGATACGGGTTTGCCTATCATGCATGCAATGCTTCTGCAAAGACTACCATCCGAAGACTCATGGAATGCCTTATCCACCATCATGGTATTCCACACAGCATTGCCTCTGACCAAGGCACACACTTTACAGCTAATTAAGTGCAGCAGTGGGTTCATGCTCATGGAATTCATTAGTCTTACCATGTTCCCTATCATCCTGAAGCAGCTCGATTGACAGAACAGTGGAATGGCCTTTTGAAGTAACAATTACAATGTCAACCAAGTGAAAATACTTTGCAGGGCTAGAGCAAAGTTCTCCAGAAGGCTGTGTATGCTCTGAATCAACATCCAATATATGGTATTTTTTCTCCCATAGCCAGGATTCACGGGTCCAGGAATCAATGGGGAAAGTGAAAGTGGCACCACTCACCATCACCCGTGGTGACCCACTAGCAAAATTTTTGCTGCCTGTTCCTGTGACATTATGTTCTGCTGGTCTAGAGGTATTAGTTCAAGAGAGGAATGCTGCCACCAGGAGACACAACAATGATTCCATTAAACTGGAAGTTAAGATTGACACATGTCCACTTTGTTCTACTCCTACCTCTAAGTTAACTGGCTAAAAAGAAAGTGACAGTGTTGGCTGGGGTGATTTACCCAGACTGACAAGATGAAATCAGCCTACTACTCTTCAATGGAGGTAAGGAGATCCCTTAGGGCGTAATACTAATATTACCATGCCCTGTGACTAAGGTCAATGGGAAATTAGAACAACCCAATCCAGGCAGGACTACAAATGGCCCAGACTTTTCAGGAATAAAGGTTTGATTCACGCCACCAGGTAAAAAACCATGACCCACTGAGGTGCTTGATGAAGGCAAAGGGAATACAGAATAGGTAGAAGAAGAAGACAGTCTTCAATACCAGCTATGACCACGTGACCAGTTGCAGAAACAAGGACTGTAATTCTCATGAGTATTTCCTCCTTATTTTGTTAAGAACATGTTTGTGCATGTACACACATGTACTAAGAAAATATCTTCATTTTATTTCCTTTTTTATCATGTGACATAAGCTTTATTGACTTCATATCAGCCTTTAAGTGTTGTTAACTTTATGTAATAGCATTTGGGTTGGGGGTTGGCGCACTTCCGGTTGTACGAAGGATAGCTTTATTATGTTAGGCATAATTATGACCTTATTATTGTCTTGATTTGAAGATTATGTATTATTTCAGGAGATGTGTATGGGATCAAGTTGACAAGGGATGGACTTGTGATGGTTAATATTGAGTGTCAACTTAATTGGATTGAAGGATGCAAATTATTGTTCCTGGGTGTGTCTATGAGGGTGTTGCCAAAAAAGATTAACATTTGAGTCAGTGGAGAGGCAGACTCACCCTCAAACTCTGTGGGCACCATCTAATCAGCTGCCAGCCCAGCTAGGATAAAAGCAGGCAGAGGAACGTGAAAGGACTAGCTAAGTCTTCTGGCCTCCTTCCTGCTCCTGTGCTGGATGCTTGCTGCCCCCGAGCATTAGACTCCATGTTCTTCAGCTTTTGGACTTTTGGACTTACATCAGTGATTTGCCAGGGGCTTTCAGGCCTTTGGCCACAGACTGAAGGCTGCACTGTCGGCTTTCCTACTTTTGAGGTTTTGGGTCTTGGATGGTCTTCCTGGCTCCTCAGATTGCAGACAGGCTATTGTGGGACTTCATCTTGTGATCAGGTGAGTGAATTTTTCTAATACACTCCCTTTCATATATTCATCTATCATATTAGTTCTGTCCCTTTAGAGAACCTTGACAAATACACAGGTGAATAATCCTAGCTTGAATAGAAAGAATATCAAGGGAATAGTTCTGAAGCCTAACAGAGAGGTTATGAGAAGAAGCTAGAGCGTAGATGGCAGAGATTAGCTTGGAACCCTGAAAGACTTAGTATTTTATCAAAAGAATAGGTGGGGGTGGTTTGGGCTCCCCTTTCTCCTATGATAGATTGCCAGTATCCACACTATCAGAGATCTCCTCTGCCCTTATAAACACAAACACTGGTGTGGGTGGTGATTTGGGGGCTTTTGGAAAGCATTACACCAAACTACTAACTTGTGCTGGATTGCTTGCCCTTCCCCAGAACCACGCTATGATGGCAAGAAACCATACTGTGGATTCAGACATTGAGAGCTATGTCCTACCCAGTGGACCTCAGCCTTTGTGTCTATATGTTACTGGAGCCCCCACAGACATGCCTCAGCTCCTCCTCAGATTGTGGCAGACACATAAGGTTGGTTGGACCCAGGGGAGCTCCAGGGTTCCCAGTAGTCTAGTTCTTAGAGAGTTATGCTCCTAAGGGAAGAAGAACAATATATCAAAGGAGGAGCACTCCTCGGGACAAAAGAAACTAGATGTACCTGAGAGCTCCCCACTCGTGAGCTCTCAGTGGCTGTGCCAAATCCAGCAGAGATACAGGTGCTGTGCTTGGCTCTGCAAGAAAGAAATGTGGTTCCATCCCAGTGGCCAGTGTCAGCACTCAGGCACAGGTGTAGAGAAGACTTCTTGTTGCCTGCTTACTTCTGCACCCACAGTCATGACTGCTACCATAATTAATTGACACAGGTCCACTGGAGGATGGCCTTTCTAGGTCTTTTAGGGGCAAATGTGTCCCCACTGGCAGTATGCCCACTGGGCCTGGGCTTGCACAAAGGCAGGGCCCCTCCCCTTCTCTACACAGAGTGGCAGCACTACTGCAGCAGAGAGCAGAAGTGCTGCAAATCTGTTTGTTTAAAACATTGGGAAAATATTTCACACAAGATTCAGTTGTAAGTCATGGGGCATTTGTCTTTGACAGCTCTCAGCTTCATTGCAGTCTGGAAATAGACAGTGATCCCTGACAAATCTGTGTTCTGAGTGTTGGAACAGGGGTGTGACAGTGAAGCGAATCTCATTCCTGCCTGCCTAGGCCACGGGAATGGGGCAGCTTCCACCTCTTCATTGCAGAGATCATGGAGTATTTCACCAAGAACTAACCTTATTATCATTGTCAGGGATAATGATTATGCCAGCCATGGGGGTATCCAAGGATGGACTTGGTGGTCCAGCTCCACCCTGCTTTGTCTCATCATCCAGAGTTGAAGGGGAGACTCAGGCCACTGTGCATCTCAATGACAAACGTATTGCCTGAGGCAACAGAGATCTCCCAGTAAACAAAGATCAAGTATATTACCTACACCCGCATCGTGACTCATGCCTGTAATCCTAGCACTTTGGGAGGCTGAGGTGGGAGGATCACTTGACGTCAGGAGGTCAAGACCAGCCTGGACAACATGGTGAAACCCCATCTCTACTAAAAATACAAAAGTTAATCAGGTATGGTGGCAGGCGCCTGTATCCCAGCTACTTGGGAGACTGAGGAAGGAGAATTGTTTGAACCTAGGAGGTGGAGGTTGCAGTAAGCCAGGATCACACAACTGCACACCAGCCTGGGTGACAGAGTGAGATTCCATCTCAAAAAAAAAAAAAAAAAAAAAAAAAAAAAAAAAAAATATATATATATATATATATATATATATATATATATATATATCCCCACGTGCTACTACTGCAGCCAGCTTTAATGACAAATGATACCTACTGGCTTCAAGGTTGACCCACAGAACCAATACAAAATCTGCTGACATAAGTGCACAGCACTGAGTAAAGACATAAGTTTCCTGAGACCTCTGCAATCCCAGGCCCTAAAGGGGATCGTGTACCTGCTCAAATGCCCAGTTCAACACTACTACAGACAGTATACGAGAAAGCCACCACACAAATCTTGTCTATAAAGAAGAAACTCATACAGAGCCTTGGCCACTGAAATCATCCATAACTAAAGCCAAAAGACCCCAGACAATGTACATTGTAGGCACGTCCTCAATGAGAAGAAAAAAAAAAAATTTTCCAAATGAAAGTAAATTCAAAAATAGGAAGAGATAGTTTACACAGATGAGAAGAAACCAATAGAACAATTCTGAAAGTATGAAAAAACAGTGTTACAACACTCCCAAAGAGTCATGTTAACTCTTTAGCAATGAATTGTAACAAAAATAAAGTCATTAAAATGCTAGATAAAAATTAAAAATATTAATTTTGAATATGTTCAATGAGATCTAAGAGCAAGTTAAAAACCAACAAAAAAATTTTTTTTAAAGAATTCAGTATATCAAAAAAATTTACCAAACAGATTTTTTACAAAGGTATAACTGTCTCAAAGATTGAAGATGAGTATTTTTAGATTTAACCCAGACCAAATGTTTTAAAATATAATTTGATAAAATGTACAACAAAGCCTTCAAGAAGTATGGGATTATGTAAAATATTCAAACATATGAAATATAGATATTCCAAAAAAAAAAAAAGAAAAAGTAGAAAGTATCAAAAACCTATTTGAGAAAATAATTGGATGAAAGTTCTCTAGTCTTTCTATAGATTTAGACATTCAGATACAAGAATCTCAGAGACCTTCAGCATACATTGAAAGATGGATGTAATTAAAACATACAACCATCAGGCTATATAAATTCAACGTGAGGGAAAAAAATCCTAAAATCAGCAAAAGTAAGGCATCTAATTACACATGAAGGAAATTCTACCAGAATAACCGTGGACTTCTCAGCAGAAACCTTACAAGCCAGAAGAGATTAAGGTCTTATTGTCCATCTTCTTAAAGAAAAAAAAAAAAGCCAACCACAAATTTTTTATCCTGCTGAACTACGCTTCTGAAGAAATAAAAAATAATGTATTTCCCAGAAGAGCAAACACAAAAAGAATATGTAACCACTAGACTAACTCTACAAGAAATGCTCAAGGGAGATCTAATCATGGAAACGTAAGGTTGATATTCACTGTCATAAAAAGAAAAAACAACACCCACAAAGGTATAAACCTCACTGGTCTTATAAAACAGTTACACAATTACACAAATGAGACTAAAAGCAACTAGGTAGCAATTAACACTATAACAGAAGTATGAGACGGTGGCTGCCAAGATGGCCAAATAGGAAAAGCTCCAGTCTGCAGCTCCCAGCAAGATCAACACAGAAGGTGGGTGATTTATGCATTTCCAACTGAAGTACCCAGCTCATCTGATTGGGAATGGTTAGACAGTGGGTGCAGCCCACAGAGGGTGAGCCAAAGCAGGTGGGGCGTCACCTCACACAGGAAGTACAAGGGGTCGGGGAACTCCTTCCCATAGTCAAAGGAAGCCTTGAAAGACTATGTCGTGAGGAATGGTGCATTCTGGCCCAGATACTATGCTTTTCCCATGGTCTTCACAACCTACAGACCAGAAAATTCCCATGGGTGACTACACGACCGGGAAGCCATTTGGGCAGACCCCAAGTTAGCTGCAGCAGTTTTTTTTTCACAGCTCAGTGTCTCCGGGAATGCCAGCAAGAAAAAACCATTCACTCCCCTGGAAAGGAGGCTGAAGCCAGGGAGCCAAGTGGTCTAGCTCAGCAGATCCCACCCCCACAGGGCCCAGCAAGCTAAGATCCACTGGCTTGAAATTATTGTTGCCAACACAGCAGTCTGAAGTCAACCTGGGGTGCTCGAGCTTGGTGGGGAGAGGGATATCCACCATTACTGAAGCTTGAGTAGGCAATTTTTTCCTCACAGTGTAAACAAAGCCACCAGGAAATTTGAACTGCGTGGAGCCCACCATAGCGCCACAAAACCGCTGTAGCCAGACTGCCTCTCTAAATTCCCCTTCTCTAGGCAATGCATCTCTGAAAGAAAGGTAGCAGCCCCAGTCAGGGGCTTATAGATGAAAATCCCATCTCCCTGGGACAGACCACCTAGGAGAACGGTTGTCCATGGGGGCAGCTTCAGCAGACCTAGACGTTCCTGCCTGCCAGCTCTGAAGGGAGCAGCACATTTCCCAGCACAGCGCTCGAGCTCTGCTAAGGGTCAGACTGCCTCCTCAAGTGGGTGCCTGATCCCTGTGCCTCCTGACTGAGAGATACCTCCCATAAGAGGTCGACAGACACCTCATACAGGAGAGCTCTGCCTGGCATCTGGCAGGTGCCCCTCTGGGACGAAGCTTCCAGAGGAAGGAACAGGCAGCGATCTTTGCTGTTCTGCAGCCTCCACAGGTGATACCCAGGTCTGGAATGGACCTCCAGCAAACTCCAGCAGACCTGCAGCAGAGGGGCCTGACTGCTAGAAGGAAAACTAACACACAGAAAGGAATACCACAACATCAACAAAAAGGACGTCCACACAAAAACCCCATTCGAAGGTCACCATCATCAAAGATCAAAGGTAGATAAATCCACGAAGATGAGAAAAAAAAAAAAAAACAGCAAAAAAAGGCTGAAAATTCCAAAAACCAGAATGCCTCTTCTCCCTCCAAAGGATCACAACTCTTCACCAGCAAGGGAACAAAATTTGATGGAGAATGAGTTTGACAAATTGACATAAGTAGGCTTCAGAAGATGGGTAATACGAAATAGCTCTGAGCTAAAGGACCATGTTCAAACCCAATGCAAGGAAAATAAAAACCTTAAAAAAGGTTAGAGGAATTGCTAATGAGAATAACCAGTTTAGAGAATAACATAAATAATGTGACGGAGCTGAAAAACACAGCACAAGAACTTTGTGAAGTATACACAAGAATCAATAGCTGAATTAGTCAAGTGGAAGAAAAGATATCAGAGATTGAAGATCAACTAAATAAAATAAAGTATGAAGACAAGATTAGAGAAAAAAGAATGAAAAGGAAAAAACAAAGCCTCCAAGAAATATCGGACTATGTGAAAAGACCAAATGTACGTTTGATTGGTGTACCTGAAAGTGATGGGAAAAATGGAACCATGTTGGAAAACACTCTTCAGAATATTATCCAGGAGAACTTCCCCAACCTAGTAAGATAGGCCAACATTCAAATTAAGAAAATAAAGAGAACAACACTAAGATACTCCTTAAGAAGGGCAACCCCAAGGCACATAATTGTAAGATTCATAAAGGTTGAAACGAAGAAAAATGTTAAGGGCAGCCAGAGAAAAAGGTCAGGTTACCCACAAAAGCGAAGCCCATCAGACTAACAGTGGATCTCTCAGTAGAAACCCTACAAGCCAGAAAAGAGTAGGGGCCAATATTCAACATTCTTAATAAAAAAAAATTTCAAACCAGAATTTCATTACCAGCCAAACTAAGCTTCATATGCGAATAAGAAATAAAATCCTTTAGAAATGAGCAAATGAGAGATTTTGTCACCACCAGGCCTGCCTTACAAGAGCTCCTGAAGGAAGCTCTAAATATGAAAAGAAAAAGCTGGTATCAGCCACTGCAAAAACATACCAAATTGTAAAGACCATTGACACTATGAAGAAACTGCATTAACTAACAAGCAAAATAACCAGCAAGCATCATGATGACAGGATCAGATTTACACATAACAGTATTAACCTTAAATGTAAACGAGCTAAATGTTTCCATTAAAAGACAGACTGGCAAATAGGATAAAGAGTAAAGACCACTGGGGTGCTGTATTCAGGACACCCATCTCAAGTGCAAACACACACATAGGCTCAAAATAAAGAGATGGAGAAATATTTACCAAGCAAATGGAAAACAAAAAAAAGCAGAGTTTGCAATCCTAGTCTCTGATAAAATAGTTAAGCCAACAAAGATCAGAAAATACAAAGAAGGGCATTACATAAAGGTAAAGGGATCAATGCAACAGGCAGAGCTAACTATCCTAAATACACATACACCCAATACAGGAGCACCCGGATTCATACAGCAAGTTCTTAGAGACCTAAAAAGAGACTTAGACTCCCACACAATAAGAGTGGAATACTTTAACACCCCACTGACAATATTAGACAGATCCACAAGAAAAAAAATTAACAAGGATATGAAGGACTTGAACTCACCTCTGGACCAAGCAAACCTAATAGACATCTACAGAACTCTCCACCACAAATCAACAGAATATACATTCCTCTCAGCACCACATCGCTCTTATACTAAAGTGACCACGTAATTGGAAGTAAAACACTCCTCAGCAAATGCAAAAGAACGGAAATCATAACAAACAGTCTCACAGACCACAGTGCAATCAAATTACAACTCAGGATTAAGAAACTCACTTAAAACTGCACAACTACCTGGAAACTGAACAACCTGATCCTGAATGACTACTGGGTACATAACGAAATGAAGGCAGAAATAAATAAGTTATTTGAAAACAATGAGAACTAAGACACAATGAACCAGCATCTCTAGGATACAGCTAAAGCAGTATTTAGAGGGAAATTTACAGCACTAAATGCCCATAGGAGAAAGCAGGAAAGATCTAAAATCGACACCCTAACATAGCAATTAAAAGGACTAGAGAAGCAAGAGCAAACAAATTCAAAAGCTAGCAGCAGATAAGAAAAAACTAAGATCAGAGAAGAACTGAAGGAGATTGAGACATGAAAAGCCCTTCAAAAAATCAATGAATCCAGGAGGTTTTTTTTGAAAAGAATAAGAAAATAAATAGACTGCTAGCCAGACTAATAAAGAAGAAAAGAGAGAAGAATCAAATCAAATAAAAAATGATAAGGGGGATATCACCACTGATCCCACAGTAAAACAAACATCAGAAAATACTATAAACACCTCTACACAAATAAACTAGAAAATCTACAAGAAATGGATAAATTCCATACACCCTCCCAAGACTAAACCAGGAAGTAGTCGAATCCCTGAATAGACCAAAAAGAAGTTCTGAAATTCAGGCAGAAATTAATAGCCTACAAACAAAAAAAGCTCAGAACCAGATGAAATCACAGCTGAATTCTACCCACGGTACAAAGAGGAGCTGGTACGACTGTTTCTGAAACTATCCCAAACAATAGGAAAAGAGGGATTCCTCCCTAACTCATTTTATAAGGCCAGCATCATCCTGATACCCAAACCTGGCAGAGGCACAACAGAAAAAAAAAGAAAGAACGAAAGAAAATTTCAGATAAATATCGCTGATGAACATCAATGCAAAAATCCTCAATAACATACTGGAAAACTGAAACCAGAAGAACATCAAAAACTTATCCACCACGATCAAGTTGGTTTCATCCCAGGGATGCAAGGCTTGTTCAACGTACACAAATGAATAAACGTAATCCATCACATAAACAGAACCAATGACAAAAACCACAGGATAGACGCAGAAAAGGACTTCTACAAAATTCAACACCCCTTCATGCTAAAAAATTTCAATAAACAAGGTATTGATGGAACGTATCACAAACTAATAAAAGCTATTTATGACAAACCCACAGCGAATATCACACCGAATGGGCAAAAGCTGGAAACATTCCCTTTGAAAACCCACACAAGACAAGGATGCCCTCTCTCATCACTCCTATTCAACATAATATTAGAAGTTCTGGCCAGGGCAGTCAGGCAAGAGAAAAAAATAAAGGGTATTCAAATAGGAAGAGAGAAAGTCAAATTGTCTTTGTTTGCAGATGACATGATTATATATTTAGAAAACCCCATGGTCTCAGCACAAAATCTCCTTAAGCTGATAAGCAACTTCAGCAAAGTCTTCGGATACAAAATCAATCTGTTACCTAGGAATACAACTTGCAAGGGATGTGAAGAACCTGTTCAAGGAGAACTACAAACCACTGCTCAAGGAAATAAGAAAGGACAGAAACAAATGGAAAAACAGTCCATCCTCATGGATAGGAAGAATCAATATCATAAAAATGGTCATACTGTCCAAAGTAATTTATAGATTCAATGCTATCCTCTTCAGGGTACCATTGACTTTCTTCACAGAATTAGAAAGAAAACTACTTTAAATTTCATATGGAACCAAAAAGAGCCTGTATGGCCAAGACAATCTTAAGCAAAAATAACAAAGCTGAAGGCATCATGCTACCTGACTTCAAACTATACTAAAAAGATACAGTAACCAAAACAGCATGGTGCTGTTACCAAACAGACATATAGACCAATGGAACAGAACAGAGGCCTCAGAAATAATGCCACACATCTACAGCCATCACATTTTCGACAAACCTGACAAAAACAAGCAATGGGGAAAGGACTCTTTATTTAATAAATGGTATTGGGAAAACTGGCTAGCCATATGCAGAAAACTGAAACTGGACCTTTTCCTTACACCTTATACAAAAATTAACTCAAGATGAATTAAAGACTTAAACATAAGACCCAAAACCATAAAAACCCTATAAGAAAACCTAGGCAATACCATTAAGGATATAAACATGGGCAAGGTTTCATGACTAAAACATCAAAAGCAATGGCAACAAAGTCCAAAATTGACAAATGGGATCTAACTAAACTAGTGAGCTTCTGCACAGCAAAAGAAACTATCATCAGAGTGAAGAGGCAACCTACAGAATGGGAGAAAATGTTTGCAATCTATCCATCTGACAAAGTACTAATATCTAGAATCTACATGGAACTTAAACAAATTTACAAGAAATAAACAACCCCATCAAAAAGTGGGCGAAGGATATGAACAGAAACTTCTCAAAAGAAGACATTTATGCGGCCAACAAACATATGAAAAAAAGCTCATTATCACTGGTCATTAGAGAAATGCAAATCAAAACTTCAATGAGATAACATCTCACACCAGTTAGAATGGTGATCACTAAAATGTCAGGAAACAACAGATGCTGGAGAGGATGTGGAGAAATAGGAACACTTACGCACTGTTTGTGGGAGTGTCAATTCAACCATTGTGGAAGACAGTGTGGTGACTCCTCAAGGATCTAGAACCATTTGACCCAGCAATGCCATTACTGGGTATATACCCAAAGAAGTATAAATCATTCTACTATAAAGACATATGCATATGCACACATATGTCTATTGCAGCACTATTCACAATAGCAAAGACTTGAAAACAACCTAAAGGCCCGTCAATGATAGACTGAATGAAGAAAATGTGGCACATATATATCATGGAATACTATGCAGCCCCAAAAATAGATGAGTTAATGTTCTTTGCAGGGACATAGATAAAGCTGGAAACCATCATTCTCAGCAAACTAACAAAGGAACAGAAAACTAAACACTGCATGTTCTGACTCATAAGTGGGAGTTGAACAATGAAAACACATGGACACAGGGAGGGGAACATCACATACCAGGGTCTGTCAGGGGGTGGGAGTTAGGGGAGGGATAGCATTAGGAGGAATACATAATGTAGATGATGGGTTGATTGGTGCAGCAAATCCCCATGGCACGTGTATGCCTATGTAAGAAACCTGCACCTTCTACACATGTATCTCAGAACTTAAAGTATAATAATAATATTTTAAAAAACAGGCTCATGACCTCATATATCAACTATGAACATAAATGGATTAAATCAACTGCTTAACATATACATTGAATAAATAAACATGTTCTAACCATGTTACTTACAACAAACACATTTGACTTTTAAACATACATATAGATTCAAAGTAAAAGGGTGGGAAAAGGTACTACATGCAAATAAAAACGAAAAGTGAGTGGAAATTGCTATACTTATATAAATAAAATGGACTTTAAATCAACAACAAAACAAAAGATATAAAAGATCATTACATAATGATAAAGGTATCAACTAACAAGATGATATGACACTACTACATATATATACAACCAAACCAGAGCACCAAGATTCATAAAAAATACTAGTGGAGCTACGAAAAGAGATAGACAGATGCACAATAATAGTGGGGAATGTCAACATCAAAAAGAAAACCCTAGACATATGATTGAGACAGAAGAATCAAGAAACAAACACCGGAATCAAATTACACTGAGACCAAATGGACATAACGCACACAGACCATTTTACTCACCAATCATAGAGCATACATTCTTCTAACAAGTCCAAGAAGCACTTTCCAAGATGGAGCATATATTAGGTCAAAAAATAGCCTCACTAAGTTGAAAAAAAAATCATATCGAGTATCTTCTTGGATGACAGCATAATAAAATTAGAAATTAATAGTTAGGAGGGTCCAAGATGGCCAAATAGGAACAGCTCTGGTTTGCAGGTCCTGGTGAGACCAACATAGAAGGTGGGTGATTTCTGCATTTCCAACTGAGGTACTCAGTTCATTTCATTGGGAATGGTTAGGCAGTGGGTCCAACCCATGGAGAGCAAGCAGAAGCAGGGTGGGACATTGCTTCACCCAGGAATTACAAGGAGCTGGGGGACTTCCCTCCCCCACCCAAGGGAAGCTGTGAGGAACTGTGCTACCCTGCCAGGTTACTACTCTTTTCCCATGGTTTTGCAATCTGCAGATCAGGAGATTCCCTCATGCGCCTACACCACCAGGCTTTGGGTTTCAAGCACAAAACTGGGCGGCTGTTTGGGCAGACACTGAGCTAGCTACGGGAGTTGGTTTTCCATACTGCAGTGGTGTCTGGAACCCCAGCAAGACAGAACCATTTCCTTTTTTGGAAATGGGGCTTAAACCAGGGAGTCAAGTGGTCTCGCTCAGTGGGTCCCACTCCCACAGAGTCCAGGAAGCTAAGAACCACTGGCTGGAAATTCTCACTGCCAGCACAGCAGTCTGAAGTCAACCTGGGATGATCAAACTTGATGGGGGGATGGGTGCCTGCCATTACTGAGGCTTTAATAGACGGTTTTCCCCTGACTGTGCTAAAGAGGCTGGGAGGTCTGGGCTGTGTGTGGCAAAGTGGCTGTGACCAGACTGCTTCTATATAGTTCTCCTCAATAGGCAAGGCATCTCTGAAAGAAAGGTAACAGCCCCAGTCAGGGGCTTACAGACAAAACCCCCATCTCCCTGGGACAGAGCATCAGGGGGGATGGGAAGCTGTGGGTGCAGCTTCAGCGGATTTAATCATTCCTGCCTGCCAGCTCTGAAGAAAGCAGCTGATCCTGACAAGGGGGATTCTCCCAGCACAGATCTTGAGCAAGGCTAAGGGACAGACTGCCTCCTCAAGTAGTTCCTTGACACCCATGCCTCCTGACTGGGAGAGACCTCCCAACAAGGATCAACAGACACTTCAAACAGGAGAGCTCTGGCTGGCATAAGGCCAGTGCCCCTCTGGAATGAAGCTTCCAGGTGAAGGAGCAGCAGCAATCATTGCTGTTCTGCAGTCTCCACTGGTGATACCCAGGTGAACAGTGTCTGGAGTGAACCTAGAGCAAATTGCAGCAGACCTGCAGAAGAGGGCCTTGACTGTTAGAAGAAAAACTAACAAACAGAAAACAACAAGATCAACATCAACATAAATGACCTACACACAAAAACCCCATTTAAAGGTCATCACCCTCAAAGATCAAAGGTAGATAAATCCATGAAGATGAAAAACAAAAAAAAAAGTGCAAAAACCCTGAAAATTCCAAAAACCAGAAGGCCTCTTCTCCAAATGATTGCAATTCCCCTCCAGCAAGGGCAAAAAACTGGATGGAGAATGAGATTAAGGAATTGACAGAAGTAGACTTCAGAAGGTGGGTAATAACAAACTTTTCCAAGCTAAAGGAGTATGTTCTAACTCAATGCGAGGAAGATAAGAACCTCAATAAAAGGTTACAAGAACTGCTAACTATAATAACCGGTTTAGAGATGAACATAAATGACTGATGAAACTGAAAAACACAACAAGAGAACTTCGTGAAGTGTACACAAGTATCAATAGCCGAATCGATCAAGTGGAAGAAAGGATATCAGAGATTAAAGATCAAATTAATGAAATAAAGCATGAAGACAAGATTAGAGAAAAAAATAAAAAGGAATGAACAAAGCCTCCAAAAAATATGGGACTATGTGAAAAGACCAAACCTCCAACTGATTTGTGTACCAAAAGGTGACAGAGGGAATGGGACCAAGTTGGAAAACACACCTCAGGATATTATCCAGGAGAATTCCCCAACCTAGCAAGACAGGCCAACATTCAAATTCAGGAAATACAGAGAACACCACTAGGGTACTCCTCAAGAAGAGCAACCGCAAGACACATAATCATCAGATTGACCAACGTTGAAGTGAAGAAAAAAATGTTAAGAGCAGCCAGAGAGAAAGGTCAGGTTACCCACAAAGGGAAGCCAATAGACTAACAGTGGATCTCTCTGCAGAAACCCTAGAAGCCAGAAGAAAATGGGGGCGAATATTCAACATTCCTAAAGAAAAATATTTTCAACCCAGAATTTCATATCCAGCCAAATTATGTTTCATAAGGGAAGGAGAAACAAAATCCTTTCCAGACAAGCAAATGCTGAGGCATTTTGTCATCACCAGGTCTGCCTCACAAGAGCTCCTGAAGGAAGCAATAAATATGGAAAGAAAAACCCAGTACCAGCCACTGGAAAAACATACCAAAATATAAAGACCAATGAGACTCTGAAGAAACTGCATTAACTAATGTGCAAAATAACCAGCTCACATCATGAAGACAGAATCAAATTCACACATAACAATATTAACCTTAAATGTAAATGGGCTAAATGTCCCAATTAAAAAGACAGCAGACTGGCAAATTGGATAAAGAGTCAAGACCCATCTGTGTGCTGTATTCAGGAGACCCATCTCACATGCCAAAACACACATAGGCTCAAAATAAAAGGATAGAGTAAGATGTACCAAGCAAATGGAAAGCAAAAAAGCAGGGTTTGCAATCCTAGTCTCTGATAAGGCAGACTTTAAACCAACAAAGATCAAAAAACACAAAGAAGGGCATTACATAATGGTAAAGGGATCAATGCAACGAGAAGAGCTAACTATACTAAATATATATGCACTCAATATGGGAGCACCGAGATTCATAAAACAAGTTCTTAAAGACCTACAGGGAGACTTAGAACCCACACAATAATAGTGAGAGACTTTAATAAGTCACAGTCAATATTAGATCATCAAGACAGAAAACTAGCAAAGATATTCAGGACTTAAACACAGCTCTGGATCAAGTGGACCTGACAGATATCTACAGAACCCTCCACCCCAAAATAACAGAATATACATTCTTCTTGGTACCACATGACACTTACTCTGAAATTGATTACATAATTGGAAGTATAACATGCCTCAGCAAATGCAAAAGAACTGAAATTATAACAGTCTCTCAGACCACTGTGCAATCAAGATTTAAAAACTCACTCAAAACCACACAGCTACATGAAAATTGAACAACCTGCTCTGGAAAGACTTCTGGGTAAATAACAAAATTAAGGCATAAATCAAGAAGTTCTTTGAAATCAATGAAAACAAAGAAACAATGTATGAGAATCTCTGGAACACAGCTAAGGCAGTGTGAAAAGGAAAATTTATGGCACTAAATGTCCACATCAAAAAGCTAGAAAGATCTCAAATTGACACCCTAACGTCACAACTAGAAGAAATAGAGAACAAAGAACATATAAATGCCAGAGCTAGCAGAAGACAAGAAATAACCAAGTTCAGAGTAAAACTGAAGGACATAGAAACACACACAAAAAAAACCCTTCATAAATCAATGAATCCAGCAGCTGGTTTTTTTAATAAATTAATGAAATGGATAGGCCACTAGCTATAAAGAGAGAAGATTCAAATAAACATAATTAGAAATAAGGGGGATACCACCACTTAACCCATAGAAATACAAACAACTATCAAAGAATACTATAAACAGCTCTATGCAAGTAAACTAGAAAATCTAGAAGAAATGGGCCAGCCATGGTGTCTCACACTTGTAATCCCAGCACTTTGGGAGGCCGAGGTGAGTGGATCACCTGAGGTCAGAAGTTCAAGAGCAGCCTGGCCAACATGGTGAAACCCCATCTCTACTAAAAATACAAAAAATTAGCCAGACATTGTGACGTGTGCCTGTAATCCCAGCTACTCAGGAGGCTGAGACAGGAGAACAGGAGAATTGCTTGAACCTGGGAGGTGGAAGTTGCAATGAGCTGAGATTATGCAACTGCACTCCAGCCAGGGCAACAAAAGCAAAACACCATTTCAAAAAAAAAGAAAAGAAAGAAAGAAAGAAAATCTAGAAGAAATGGATAAATTTCTGAACACGTACGTCCTCCCAAGACTGAATCAGGAAGAAGTTGAATCCCTAAATAGACCAATAACAAGTTTTGGAATTAAGGCAGTAATAAACAGCCTACCAATCAAAAAACAAAGCCCAGGACCAGGTGGATTTACAACTTAATTCTATCAGAAACACAAAGAGGAGCTAATAGCTAATATCACTTTTTCTGAAACTATTTAAAACAATTGAAAAGGAGGGACTCCTCCCTAAGTCATTCTATGAGGTCAGCATCATCCTGATACAAAACCTGTCAGAGATTTAAAAAAACAAAAAAAATATTTAGGCCAGTATCATTGATGAACACTGATGGAAAGTTTCTCATTAAAGTACTAACAAACTAAATACAGCAGCACATCAAAGAGCTTATCCACCATGATCAAGTTGGCCAGTCAGAGTGGTGATTATTAAAAAGTCAAGAAACAACAGATGCTGGTGAGGTTGCAGAGAAATAGAAACACTTTTACACCCTTGGAAATTTAAATTAGTTTACCCATTGTGAAAGACAGTGTGGCAATTCCTCAAAGATTTAGAACCAGAAATACCATTTGACCCAGAAATCCAATTACTGGGTTTACACCAAAAGGAATATAAATCATTCCGTTATAAAGAAACATGCACATATGTTTTCATGGCAGCATTATTCACAATAGCAAAGACATAGAATCAACCCAAATGCCCAACAATGATAGATTGGATAAAGAAAACGTGGTACATATAAACCATGCAATACTATCCAGCCATAAAAAAGAACAAGGTCATGCCCTTGGCTGATCTTGCTCATGGATGAATAAGAACATGGATGAAGCTGAAAGCCATTATTCTAAGCAAACTAACACAGGAACAGAAAACAAACACCATATGTTCTCACTTATAAGTAGGAGCTAAATAGTAATAACACATAGACACAGGAAGGAGAACAAAACGCACCGGGGCCTGTTGGGGGAGAGAATCAGGAGAAACAGCTAATGCATGCTGGGCTTAATTTCTAGATGATGGGTTGTTAGGTGCAGTAAATGACCAATCAATAGAAAAAGAGGGAATCCTCCCTAACTCATTTTATGAGGCCAGCATTATCCTGATACTAAAGCCTGGTAAAGACACAACAAAAAAAGAGAATTTTAGACCAATATTTCTGATGAACATCGATGCCAAAATCCTCAATAAAATACTGGCAAACCGAATCCAGCAGCACATCAAACAGGTTATCCACCACGATCAAGTCAGCTTCATCCCTGGGATGCAAGGCTGGCTCAACATATGCAAATCAATAAATGTAATCCATCACATCAACAGAACCAATGACTAAAACCACATGATTATCTCAATAGATGCAGAAAGGCCTTCGACAAAATTCAACAGCCCTTCATCCTAAAATCTCTGAATAAACTAGGCACTGATGGAACATATCTCAAAATAATAAGAGCTATTTATGACAAACCCACAGCCAATATCATACTAAATGGGCCAAAACTGGAAGCATTCCCTTTGAAAACTGGCACAAGACAAGGATGCCCTCTCTCACCACTCCTATTCAACAGTGTTGGAAGTTCTGGCCAGGGCAATCAGGCAAGAGAAAGAAATAAAGGGTATTCAATTAGGAAAAGAGGAAGTCAAATTGTCCCTGTTTGCAGATGACATGATTGTATATTTAGAAAACCCCATCATCTCTGCCCAAAATCTCCTTAAGCTGATAAGCAACTTCAGCAAAGTCTCAGGATACAAAATCAATGTACAAAAATCACAAATATTCCTATACACCGATAACAGACAAACAGAGAGCCAAATCATGAGTGAACTCCCATTCACAATTGCCACAGAGAGAATAAAATACCTAGGAAACCAACTTACAAGGGATGTGAAGGACCTCTTCAAGGAGAACTACAAATCACTTCTCAATGAAATAAGAGAGGACACAAACAAATGGAAGAACATTCCATGCTCATGGGTAGGAAGAATCAATATCATGAAAATGGCCATACTGCCCAAGGTAATTTATAGATTCAATGCCATCCCCATCAAACTACCAATGACTTTCTTCACAGAATTGGAAAAAGCTAATTTAAAGTTCATATGGAACCAAAAAAGAGCCCACATAGCCAAGACAATCCTAAGAAAAGAGGACAAAGTTGGAGGCATCACGCTACCTGACTTGAAACTGTACTACAAGGCTACAGTAACCAAAACAGCATGGTGCTGGTACCAAAACAGAGATATAGACCAATTGAACAGGACAGAGGCCTCAGAAATAACACCACATATCTACAACCATCTGATCTTTGACAAACCTGATAAAAATAAAAAATTGGGAAAAAATTGCCTATTTAATAAATGGTGCTGGGAAAACTGGCTAGCCATATGTAGAAAGCTGAAACTGGATCCCTTCCTTATACCTTATACAAAAATTAATTGAAGATGGATTAAAGACTTAAATATTAGATCTGAAACCATAAAAACTCTAGAAGAAAACCTAGGCAATACCATTCACAACACAGGCATGGGCAAGGACTTCATGACTAAAACACCAAAAGCAATGGCAACAAAAGCCAAAATAACAAATCGGATCTAATTAAACTAAAGAGCTTCTGCACAGCAAAAGAAACTACCATCAGAGTAAACAGGCAACCTACAGAATGGGAGAAAATTTTTGCAATCTATTCATTTGACAAAGGGCTAATATCCAGAATGTACAATGAACTCAAACAAATTTACAAGAAAAAAATCAAACAATACCATCAAAAAGTGAGGGAAGGATATGAACAGACACTTCTCAAAAGAAAACATCTATGCAGCCAACAGACACATGAAAAAATGCTCATCATCACTGGCCATCAGAGAAATGCAAATCAAAAGCACAATGACATGCCATCTCACAGCAGTTAGAATGGCTATCATTAAAAAGTCAGGAATCAACAGGTGCTGGAGAGGATGTGGAGAAATAGGAACACTTTTAGATTCCTCAAGGGTCTAGAACTAGAAATACCATTTGAGCCAGCCATCCCATTACTGGGTATATACCCAAAGGATTAGAAATCATGCTACTATAAAGACACATGCACACATGTGTTTACTGTGGCACTATTCACAACAGCAAAGACTTGGAACCAACTCAAATGCCCATCAATAATAGACTGGATTAAGAAAATGTGGCACCTATACACCATGGAATACTATGCAGCCATAAAAAAATGAGTTCATGTCCTTTGTAGGGACATGGATGAAGCTGGAAACCATCATTCTCAGCAAACTATCACAAGTACAAAAAACCAAACAGCACACGTTCTCACTCATAGGTGGGAATTGAACAATGAGAACACCTGGACAAAGGGCAGAGAACTTCACACCCTGGGTCCTGTCAGGGGTTGGGGGGCTGGAGGATGGATAGCATTAGGAGAAATCCCTAATGTAAATGACGAGTTGATGGATGCAGCAAACCAACATGACACATGTATACCTATGTATCAAACCTGCACATTGTGCACATGTACCCTAGAACTTAAAGTATAATAAAAAAGTGCAAAAATTGCTAACATTGCTATACACAAATAACAGGCAACCACAGAGACAAATCATGAATGAAATCCCATTCACAATTGCTACAAAAAGAATAAGATACCTAGGAGTATAGCTAACAAGGGAAATGAAGGACCTCTTCAAGGAGAATTACAAACCAGTGCTCAAAGAAATCAGAGAGGACACAAACAAACGGAAAAACATTCCATGTTCATGGATAGGAAGAATCAATATTGTAAAAATAATTGTACTGCCCAAAGTAATTTATATTCAATGATATTTTCCCTAAACTACCACTGACACTCTTCATAAAATTAGAAATAACTATTTTAAAATTTATATGGAAAGAAAACAGAACCCGAATAGCCAGGACAATCCTAAACAAAACGAACAAAGCTGGAGGCATCATGCTACCTGACTTCAAACTATACTACACGGCTACAGTAACCAAAACAGCACTGTTCTGGTACAAATAGGCCAATAGAACAGAATATAAAACTCAGAAATGAGACCACACACTGAAAACCATCTGTTCTTCAACAATCCTGACAAAAACATGCAATGGGGAAAGGATTCCCTATTTAATAAATAATGCTTGGAGAACTGGCTAGCCGTATGCAGAAAAAAGAAGCTAGGCCGCTTCCTTACACCTTATACAAAAATTAAGTCGAGATGGATTCAAGATTTAGATGGAAAACCAAAAACTATAAAAACCCTAGAAGAAAATACCACTCAGGACATAGGCATGGGCAAAGATTTCATAATGGAGATGCCAAAAGCATTTGCATCAAAAGCAAAAATTGACAAATAGGATCTAATTAAGCTAAAGCACTTCTACACAGCAAAATAAACTATCATCATAGTGGACAGACAATCTACAGAATGGGATAAACTTTTTTTAAATTTATTCACATGACAATGGTCTAATATCCAGAGTCTGCAAGAAACTTAAATCTACAAGAAAGAAACAAACAACCCCATTAAAAAGTGGGCAAAGAATATGAACAGACACTTCTCAAAGGAAGACATACATGCAGCCCACAAACATATAAAACAAAAAGCTCAATATCACTGGTCATTAGAGAAATGCAAATCAAAATCACAATGAGAGACTATATCACGCCAGTCAGAATGGCCTTTATTAAAATGTCAAAAAACAACAGATGCTGGTGAGGTTGTAAAGAAAAAGAAATGCTTTTACACTTGCAGTGGGAGTGTAAATTAGTTCAACCATTTGGAACACAGTGTGGAAATTCCTCAAAGATATAGCGGCAGAAATAAAATTTGACCCAGCAATTCCATTACTGGGTATATACCCAAAGGAATATAAATCATTCTTTTATAAAGATACATGTACATGTATGTTCCCTGAAACAGTATTTACAATAACAAAGACATGGAATCAACCCAAATGCTCATCAATGATAGACCAGATAAAGAAAATGTGGTATATATACACCATGGAATACTATACAGCCATACAAAACAATGAGATCTTTTCCTTTGCATGGACATGGATGGGGCTGGAAGCCATTATTCTCAGCAAACTAACACAGGAACAGAAAAGCATGTACTACATGTTTTCACTTGTAACTGGAAACTGAATGATGAGAACACATAAACACATGCAAAGGAACAACACACACTGGGACCTGTAGGCAAGGAGGAGGGAAGGAGAACATTAGTAAGTATAGCTAATGCATGCTGGGCTTAATATTTACGTGATGGGATGATCTGTGAAGCAAACCACAATGGCACATGTTTACCTATGTAATAAACCTTGCACATCCTGCACACGTACCCCTGAATTTCCATGCTCATGAATAGAAAGAATCAATATTGTTAACATGGTCACACTGCCCAAAGCAATGTACAGATTCAATGCTATTTTTATCAAAGTATCAATGACATTTTTCACACAATTAGAAAAGCTATTCTAAAATTCATATTGAACCAGAAGTAAAGCTCAAATAGCCAAAGCAATCCCAAGAGAAAAAAAGAAAAAAAAGCTGGAGGCATCACATTACCCAACTTCCAACTATGTTACAAGGCTACAGCAAGCAAAACAGCATGGGAATGGTACCAAAATAGACACATAGACCAATGGAACAGAATAGAGAGACCAGAAATACAGCTGCACACCTAAAACCATATGATCTTCAACAATGAAAAAAAAAGCAATGGGTAAAGAACTTCTTATTTAATAAATGGTGCTGGGATAACTAGCTAGCCATAAACAGAAGATTGAACTTGACACCCTCTTTACACCATATACAAAAATCAACTCAAGATAGATTAAAGACTTAAATATAAAACCTAAAACTGTAAAATTCCTTGAATAAATCCTAGGAAATACCATTCTGAACATAGGCCTTGGCAAAGATTTCATGACAAAGACACAAAAGCAATTGCACAACAAACAAAAATTGACAAATAGGATCTAATTAACAACTGCACTATGTTCCCAGTAATGATTCTTAATTAGGGTGAAATGGACGCAATGACAGAAATAAAATTCAGAATATGAATAAGAATGAAGATCAACATTCAGGAGTAAGTTGAAATCCAACCCAAGGATTGTACAAAATACAATAAAATAATACAGGAGATGAAAGACAAAGTGGCCATTTTAAGAAATAACCAAACTGAGTTGATAGAGCCGAAAAACTTATTTCAATAATTTTATAATACAATTGCAAATATTAACAGCAGAATCAACCACACCGTGGAAAGAATTCCAGATGCTCTTTGAAACTTCTCAGTCAGAACAAAAGTTTTAAAAAGAATAATGAACAATGGACAAAACCTCCAAGAAGTATGGGATTATACAAAGAGACCAAATCTATTGGCATTCCTGAAAGACAAGGAGAGAAAGCAAGCAACTTGAAAAACATATTTCAGGATATCATCTATGAAAAATTTTCCCAACCTTGCTAGACAGACCAACACTCAAATTCAGGAAGTGCAGAAAACCCAGTGAAATAATACAGAAAAAAATCATCTCCAAGAAACTGTCATCAGATTCTTGTGTCAAAATGAAAGAAAAAATGTTAAATGCAACTGGAAAGAAGAGGCAGGTCACCTACAAAGGAACCCCAAGAGGTTAATATCAGATCTTTCAGCATAAACCCTAGAAGCCAGAAGAGAATGTGAGCCTATATTCAGCATTCTTAAAGAAAAGGCTTTCCAACCAAGAATTTCATATCCAGCCAAACTCAGCTTCAGATGTGAAGTAGAAACAACATCTTTTCAGACAAGCAAATGTTAAGGGATTTTGTTACCAGCAGACTTGCCTTACGAGAGGTCCAGAAGAGAGTGCTAAATATGAAAAAGAAAGACAATTGCTGGCCATTATGAAAACACACTTAAGTACATAGACCAGTGACACTATAATGCAACCACACCAAAAAGTCTGCATAATAATCAGCTAACAACATGTTAAATCTGCACATACCAAAACTAATTTTGAATGTAAACGGCCTAACTGCCCACAGTTAAAAGGCAAGAGTGATAAGCTGGATAAAGAAGCAAGACCCAACAGCATGCTGTTTTCAAGAGACCCATATCATGCAATGACACTCATAGGCTCAAAATAAAGAGATGGAGAAAAATATACCAAGCAAACAGAAAACAGAAATAAGTCGGGGTTACTAGTCTAATTTCAGAGAAAACATATTTTAAACCAACAAAGACCAAAAAAGACAATGAACAGCATTCTATAATGGTAAAAGGCTCAATTCAACAAGAAGACCTAACTATCCTAAGTATATATTCACCCAACACATGAGCACCTGGATTCATAAAGCAAGTTACTGGAGACCTGCAAAGAGATTTAGATAACCACACAATAAGAGTAGGAGTCTTCAGCATCTCACTGACAGATCATTGAGGCAGAAAACTAACAAAAATATTTAGGGCCTGAACTCAACACTTGACCAAATGGACCTAACAGATATCTACAGAACACTCCACCACAAAACAACAGAATATACATTCTTCTGATCTCCATATGGTACATACTCTAAAATCAACCAATCAGACATATAACAAACCTGTATAACAAACTTGCACGTATACCCCTGAACTTACACATTGAAAAGATAGAAAATGCTCAATGTTACTAATCATTAGAGAAATGCAATGCAAAACCACAAGATACCATCTCACACCAATCAGAATGGCTATTATTAAAAAGTAAAAAACCAACCAATGTTCACAAGTCTGCAGAGAAAAGAAAATGCTTATACACTGTTGTGGGGAATGTCAATTAGCCCAGCCATTGTAGAAAGTAGTTTGGAGACTTGTCAAGGAACTTAAAACAGAGCTGCCATTTGACCCAGCAATCTCATTATTGGGTATGTACTCAAATTAAAATAAATTATTCTACCAAAAAGACACATGCATTTGTATGTTCATTGTTATTCTACTCATAGTAGCAAAGACATAAAATTAAGCTAGTTGCCCATTAATTATAGATTGGATTGTTAAAATACAGTACAAATACAACCTGAAATACTATACAGTTATAAAAAAGAAAGAGATAATGTCCTTTAAAGCAACATGGATGGAACTTCAGGCCATAATCCTAAGTAAATTCATGCTAGAACAGAAAATCAAGTACCACATTATCTCATTTATAAGTGGAAGCTAATATTGTGCCCATATGGACAAAAATATGGGAACAATAGACACTGGAGACTACTGGAGGGTGAAAGGAGTAGCAATGGGTTGAAATATTATCTGTCAAGTACTACTCACACTACCTGGATTACGTGATCCATACCCAAACCTCAGCATCATGCAATAAGCCCATGTAACAAACCTGCACATGTACCTTCTATATGCACAACAAAAGGTGAAAATAAAATAGTTAACTATCCCCCACAGAAAAAATAATAGATACCAATCAAGTGGAATTTATACGAGACTGCAAGAATCATTCAACATACACAAGTCAATAAATATGATACAACACATCAACAAAATGAAGAACAAAATTGATATGATCATCTCAATATGTAGATAAAAACATTTTATAAACTTCAACATCCCTTCACCATAAAAATTCTCAACAACTCTGGCATAGAAGCAACATACCTCATAATAATAAAGTTCACATATGACAAACTCACAGCTAACATTGTACTGAATTGAGAAAAGTTGAAAGCCTTTCCTCTGGAAAACTGAACTAGAAGAAGATGCCCGTTTTCTTCTCTCTATTCATTATAGTACTGAAAGTCTTAGCCAGAGCAGTCAGTCAGGAGAAAGAAATAAAAGGCATCAAAATTGAAAAAGTGGAAGCTGAATTGTCCCTCTTTGCTAATGATCTGGTTTTTTATCTAGAAAAACCTAAAGACCCCACCAAAAACATTTTAGTTCTTTTAAATAAATTCTGTAAAGTTTTCAAAATACAAAATCAACACACAAAAATCAATAGGGTTTCTATATACCGAAAACAAACTAGCTAAGAAATAAATTAAAAAGGCAATCCCATTTACAATATCTACAATAAATAAAATACCTAAGAATAGATTTGTTTAATGATGTGAAACACCTCTACAGGAAAAACTAAAATATCCATGAAATAAATTAAAGAGGACACCAACAAGTGGAAAGACTTCCTATGCTATTGGATGAGAAGATTTAATATTTTTAACTCTCCATATGCCCAAAGAAACCTACAGATTCAATGCAATCTCTATCAAAATATGAATGCCACTTTTCTTAGAAATAAAATGTCCTAAAATTTGTATGTAACCACAAAAGAATCTAAATAGACAAAGACATTCTGAGAAAAATAAGAAACAAAACTGAGGCCATCATGATTTCAAAATATACCACAACCAAGACACTGTAGCGATTCCTCAAACACCTAAAGACAGAAATACCATTTGACCCAGCAATCCCATTACCGGGTACATACCCAAAGGAATATAAATCATTCTATTTTGAAGACTCATGCATAGGTACGTTCACTGCAGAACTATTCACATTAGCAAAGACATGAAATCAACCTAAATGTCCATCGATGATAGACTGGATAAAGAAAATGTGGTACATATACATCATGGAATCCTATGCAACAGTAAAAATGAACAATATAATGTTCTTTGCAGGGACATGGATGGAGCTGGATGGCATTACCCTTAGCAAACTAACACAGGAATAGAAAACCAAATACTGCATGTTCTTACTTATAAATGGGAATTAATGATGAGAACACATGGACATATATAGGGGAACAACACTCACTGGGGCCTTTCAGAGGGTGGAGGGTGAGAAGAGGGAGAGGATCAGGAAAAATAATTAATGGATACTAGCCTTAATACCTAGGTGATGAAATAATCTGTACAATAAACCCCCATGACACAAGTTTATGTATGTAACAAACCTATATAAGTATATATGTACACTTACATATATAGGTATCTATAAGTATATATATACTTACATATATAGGTATCTATAAGTATATATATACTTACATATATAGGTATCTATAAGTATATATATACTTACATATATAGGTATCTA
Organism: Homo sapiens; assembly: GCF_000001405.40. Lineage (NCBI taxonomy): Eukaryota > Metazoa > Chordata > Mammalia > Primates > Hominidae > Homo > Homo sapiens. Next base: position 57,017,393 of record NC_000023.11, on the reverse strand, counting down.
TAAGTATATATATACTTACATATATAGGTATCTATAAGTATATATATACTTACATATATAGGTATCTATAAGTATGTATATACTTACATATATAGGTATCTATAAGTATGTATATACTTACATAAATAGGTATCTATAAGTATGTATATACTTACATATATAGGTATCTATAAGTATGTATATACTTACATATATAGGTATCTATAAGTATGTATATACTTACATATATAGGTATCTATAAGTATGTATATACTTACATATATAGGTATCTATAAGTATGTATATACTTATATATATAGGTATCTATAAGTATATATATTTATATATAGGTATCTATAAGTATATATATATAGGTATATATGTATATATATAGGTATATATGTATATATGTATATATACATATATATGTGTATATATATACATATATATGTATATATGTATATACTTATATATATATGCCTCATATATATACTTATATATATACCTCATATATATACTTATATATATACTTATATATACCTCATATATATACTTATATATATAAGTATATATATACCTCAAAAGTATATATATATGTGTATAGATATATACATACACACTTATATACCAGTAGTATTATATATAGGTACATATATTTATATAAGTATATATATACACTTATATATACCTCAAAATATATATATAAGCCTATATATACCACAAAAGTATATCTATAAGTATATATATACCACAAAAGTATAAGTATATATATACATACACACACACACACTCACACCACAATCTACAGTAACCCAAATAGCTAGGTATTGATATAAAGACAGGAACATAGACCATGTGAGCAGAATAGAGAACTCAGAAATAAAGGCACATATTTAGAGCCAACTTATTTTCACAAAGTGCTAAGAATATAATTGTGGAAAAGATATCTTATTCAATAAATGGTGCTAGGAAAGCTGGATATCCATATAAAGAAGGATAAAACTTGTCACCTATCTCTCACCATATACAAAATCAACTCAAAATATATTAAAGCATTAAACATAAGACCCAAAAATATAAAACTAATAAATGAAAACAAAGGAAAAACATTTCAGGACATTGGTATAGGAAAATATTTTATGGCTAAGACCTCAAAAGCACAGATATATAAAACAAAAATTGACAAATGGAACTATATTAAACTGAAAAGCACATCAAAGAAAATAATCAACAGACTGAAGAGGCATCCTGTTGAATGGAAGGAAATATTTGCAAACTATTGATCTGACACAGGACTAATATCCAGAATAAACAAGGAACTCAAACGACTCAATAATAAGATAAAAACAAATAACCCCATTAAAAAGTGGGCAAAAAATCTGAATAGGCATTTCTCTAAAGAAGTCTTATAAGTGGCCAAAAGGTATATGAAAAAAGAAAACAACTCAACATCACTAATCATACAGGAAATGCAGATCAAAACTAAGGAGGTATCATCTTATCCCAGTAAGAATGGCTATTAATAAAAGACAAAAAAAAAAAAAAAAAAAAAAACGAACCGGATGCTGTCAAGAATGCAGAGGAAAGGGAACTCCTGAACACTGCTGCTGGGAATGCAAATTAGTATAGGCGCTATAAAAAACAGTATGGAGATTTCTCAAAAACTAACAATGGAACTACAATATGATACAGCAATGATGTAATTATTATATAATTTATGTATATTTACCCAAAAATAAGAAAATTAACCTAAGCATCTATCAACAGATGAATGGATAAAGAAAACGTAATATATTTACACAATGGAACACTATGCAGCTATAAAAAACAATGAAATTATGTCATTTGCAACAACATGGATGAAACTGTAGTTTATTATGTTAAGTGAAATAAGCCATACACAGAAAGACAAATATCACATGTTCTCACTCACATGTGGGAGGTAAAACATTTTATTTTGGAGGTAGAGAATAGAATGATAGATATCAGAGGCTGAGAAGATTGTGTGTGTTGGGGTGTATATAGTGAGGCTGATTAATGGGTACAAACACATAGAATAAGTTCTAGTGTTTAAGAGCAGAGTAGGATGAACACCTATATAAAGAACACATATATAAAGCTGTAGTGAGTTATGATCTTGCCATGGCACTCCAGCCTAAGAGATAGAGAGAGATCCTGTATCTAAAACAAAATGAGGAAAAACTCCTACAACTCAACAACAAATAACCCAATTTAAATTTTAAAATGGGCAATAACACAAAGGCAGGAAGAGTGGTATGATGGACATTAAAGACTCAGAACCAGGAATTGTGGAAGTAGGGTGAGGAATGAAAAATTACCTATTGGGTACAACCTACAATATTCAGGCAAGGGGTACACTTAAAGCTCAGACTTCACCACTATACAATTTATCAGTGTAATCAAAAACCAGTGGTATCCCTAAAGCTAAAATTAAAAAAAAACAAATTATTATGCAATATTGCATACATAAATATTTTACCCTATATCTCTGTTGCTTTTGTCCTTATAAAATTTTTATTGCTTGGTAATAAATGCTACAATTTTAATTGAATAAATAAATAAATAAAATGGGCAGTGGTCTTAAATAGACATTTCTTCCAGAAAGATATACAAATCGCCAATAAGCACGTGGAAAAAATACTCAAAATCAGAAATGACACAAGAATCAACCTGAAGGAGCTATCAAAAATCAAAGTTTTTTTAAAAATGAGTAATTTTGTTAGTGTCCTATGTCTGCTCTAAAAAAAACCACAAACAGGATGGCTTAAAAAAAAACACAAAGATCAAAAGAGACAAAGAAGGCCATTACATGATGATAAAGGAATCAATTCAACAGGAAGAGCTAACTACCCTAAATATATATGCACCCAATACAGGAGAACCCAGATTCATAAAGCAAGTTCTTAGAGACCTACAAAGAGACTTAGACTCCCACACAATAATAATGGGAGACTTTAACACCCCACTGTCAATATTAGACAGATCAATGAGACAGAAAGTTAACAAGGATATCCAGGAATTGAACTCAGCTCTGGACCAAGCAGACCTAATAGACATCTACAGAGCTCTCCACCCCAAATGAACAGAATATACATTCTTCTCAGCACCACATCACACTTATTCCAAAATTGACCATAGTTGGAAATAAAAAAACAGAAATTACAACAAACTGTCTCTCAGACCACACTGCAATCAAACTAGAACTCAGGATTAAGAAACTCACTCAAAACCGCTCAACTACATGGAACCTGAACAACCTGCTCCTGAATGACTACTGGGTACATAACGAAATGAAGGCAGAAATAAAAATGTTCTTTGAAACCAATGAGAACAAAGACACAACATACCAGAATCTCTGGGACACATTCAAAGCAGTGTGTAGAGGGAAATTTACAGCACTAAATGCCCACAAGAGAAAGCAGGAAAGATCTAAAATTGACACCCTAATGTCACAATTAAAAGAACTAGAGAAGCAAGAGCAAACACATTCAAAAGCTAGCAAAAGGCAAAAAATAACTAAGATCAGAGCAGAACTGAAGGAAATAGAGACACAAAAAGCCCATAAAAAAACAATGAATCCAGGAGCTGGTTTTATGAAAAGATCAACAAAATTGATAGACTGCTGGCAAGACTAATAAAGAAGAAAAGAGAGAAGAATCAAATAGACACAATAAAAAATTACAAAGGAGATATGACCAACGAGCCCACAGAAATACAAACTACCACCAGAGAATACTATGAACACCTCTATGCAAACAAACTAGAAAATCTAGAAGAAATGGATAAATTCCTCGACACATACACTCTCCCAAGACTAAACCAGGAAGAAGTTGAATCTCTGAATACAATAATAACAGGCTCTGAAACTGAGGCAATAATTAATAGCTTACAAACCAAAAAAAGTCCAGGACTAGATGGATTCACAGCTGAATTCTACCAGAGGTACAAGGAGGAGCTGGTACCATTTCTTCTGAAAATATTCCAATCAATAGAAAAAGAGGGAATCCTCCCTAACTCATTGTATGAGGCCAGCATCATCCGGATACCAAAGCCTGGCAGAGACACAACAAAAAAAAAACAGAATTTTAGACCAATATCCTTGATGAACATTGATGCAAAAATCCTCAATAAAATACTAGCAAACCGAATCCAGCAACACATCAAAAAGCTTATCCACCATGATCAAGTGGGCTTCATCCCTGGGATGCAAGGCTGGTTCAACATACGAAAATCAATAAACATAATCCAGCATATAAACAGAACCAAAGACAAAAACCACACACTTATCTCAATAGATGCAGAAAAGGCCTCTGACAAATACAACAGCCTTCATGCTAAAAACTTTCAATAAACTAGGTATTGATGGAATGTATCTCAAAACAATAAGAGCTATTCATGACAAACCCACAGCCAATATCATACCGAATGGGCAAAAACTGAAAGTATTCCCTTTGAAAACTGGCACAAAACAAGAATGCCCTCTCTCACCACTCCTATTCAACACAGTATTGGAAGTTCTGGCCAGGGCAATCAGGCAAGAGAAAGAAATAAAATGTATTCAATTAGAAAAAGAGGAAGCCAAATTGTCTCTGTTTGCAGACAACATGATTGTATATTTAGAAAACCCTATCGTCTCAGCCCAAAATCTCCTTAGGCTGATAAGGTACTTCAGCAATGTCTCAGGATACAAAATCAATGTCCAAAAATCACAAGCACTCCTATACCCCAAGAACAGACAAACACAGAGCCAAATCATGAGTGAACTCCCATTCACAATTGCTTCAAAGGGAATAAAATACCTAGGAATCCAACTTACAAGGGAAGTGAAGGACCTCTTCAAGAACTACAAACCACTGCTCAATGAAATAAGAGTATACAAATAAATGGAAGAACATCCCATGCTCATGGATAGGAAGAATCAATATCGTGAAAATGGCCATACTGCCCAAGGTAATTTATACATTCAATGGAGGCATCACGCTACCTGACTTCAAACTATACTACAAGGCTGCACTAACCAAAACAGCATGGTACTGGTACCAAAACAGAGATATAGACCAATGGAACAGAAGAGACCCCTCAGAAATAATGCTGCATACCTACAACTATCTGATCTTTGACAAACCTGACAAAAACAAGAAATGGGGAAAGGATTCCCTATTTAATAAATGGTGCTGGGAAAACTGGCTAGCCATATGTAGAAAGCTGAAACTGGATCCCTTCCTTACACCTTATACAAAAATTAATTCAAGATGGATTAAAGACTTACATGTTAGACCTAAAACCATAAAAACCCTAGAAGAAAACGTAGGCAATACCATTCAGGACATAGGCATGGGCAAGGACTTCATGTCTAAAACACCAAAAACAATGGCAACAAAACCAAAATTGACAAATGGGATCTAATTAAACTAAAGAGCTTCTGCACAGCAAAAGAAACTACCATCAGAGTGAACAGGCAACCTACAGAATGGGAGAAAATTTTTGCAACCTATTCATCTGACAAAGGGCTCATATCCAGAATCTACAATGAACTCAAACAAATTTACAAGAAAAAAACAAACAACCCCATCCAAAAGTGGGTGAAGGATATGAATAGACACTTCTCAAAAGAAGACATTTATGAAGCCAAAAAACACATGAAAAAATGCTCACCATCACTGGCCATCAGAGAAATGCAAATCAAAACCACAATGAAATACCATCTCACGCTAGTTAGAATGGCAATCTAACTAGCCTTTTTTATGCAGCCATAAAAAAGGATGAGTTCATGTACTTTTTAGGGACATGAATGAAGCTGGAAACCATCATTCTCAGCAAACTATCACAAGGACAAAAACCAAACACTGCATGTTCTCACTCATAGGTGGGAATTGAAAAATGAGAACACATGGACACAGGAAGGGGAACATCACACACTGGGGCCTGTTGTGGGGTAGGGGGAGGGGGGAGGGATAGCATTAGGAGATATACCTAATGTAAATGATGAGTTAATGGGTGCAGCACACCAACATGGCACATGTATACATATGTAACAAACCTCCACGTTGTGCACATGTACCCTAAAACATAAAGTTTAATAATAATAAAAAAGAACAAAAGAATAAAAAACAATAGAGCATGCCTACAGAATCTAGAAGATATCCTCAAAAGGGAAAATATAAGAGTCATTGGGCCAGGCACGGTGGCTCACGCCTGTAATCCCAGCACTTTGGGAGGCCGACGCAGGCAGAGCACTTGAGATGAGGAACTCAAGACCAGCCCGGCCAACACAGTAAAACGCTGTCATTACTAAAAATACAAAAATTAGCTGAGCTTGGTGGCACATGCCTGTAATCCCAGCTACTTGGGAGGCTGAGGCAGGACAATCGCTTGAACTCAGGAGGTGGAGGTTGCAGTGAGCTGAGATCACACCACTGCACTCCAGCCTCGGTGACAGAGCAAGACACTATCAAAAAAAAAAAAAAAAAAAGTGATGTGCCTTAAAGAGGAGGTAGAGAAAAATATAGGGGTAGAAACTGTATTCAAAGGGAGAATAACAGAGAACTTCCCAAACCTAGAGCAAGAGATCAATATCAAAGTATAAGAAGGTTATAAAACACCAAGCAGACTTAACCCAGAAAAGACTGCCTCAAGGCATTTAATAATCAACCTACCACAGGTCAAAGATAAAGAATCCTAAAAGCAGCAAGAGAAAAGAAACAACATACAGTGGAACTCTAATATGTCTGGCAACAGACTTTTCAGTGGAAACCGTACAGGCCAGAAGAGAGTGGCATGACATATTTAAAGTACTGATTAAAAAAAAAAATACATACACACACTTTCACCCTAGAATAATATATCTGGTGAAATTATTTTTCAAACATGAAAGAAAAATAAAGACTTTCCCTCACAAACAAAAGATGAGGGATTTAATCAACACCAGACATGTCCTACAAGAAATGCTAAAGGCAGTACTTCAATCAGAAAGAAAAGGACATTAATGAGCAATAAGTGATCACTGAAGGTACAAAACTAACTGTTAATAGTAAGTACACAAAAAAACACAGAATATTATAACACTGTAGCTATGCTGCATACATGACTCTTAGCCTATGTAAAAAGACTAAATGATGAACCAAGCAAATATAATAACTACAACAACTTTTCAATACATAGTACAAGAAGGTAGAAATAGAAAAAACAAAAAGTCAAAAAGTGGTGGGGTAGGGGCAAAGTTGAGGCATAGAGTTTTTCTTACTTTTCTTTTTGCTTGTTTGTTTATGCAAAAGGTGTTGAGTATTTATTACGTTTAAATAATGGGTTATAAGACAAGCTTCACAGTAACTTCAAACCAAAAAACATACAAGGGATAAAAAAATACAAGTCAATAAAAAATTAAAATTAAATTAAAGTTGCAGGTCACAAAATCAACATAGAAAATTCAGTAGTATTTCTATATGCCAACAGTAAACAATCCAAAAGAGAAATAAAAAATAAAATGTGTCCCATTTAAGATAGCCATACAGAAAATTAAATACCTAGGAATTTACCAAAGAGAGAGATCTCTATAATGAAAACTATAAAAAGCTGATGAAAGAAATTGAAGAGAACACCAAAATACTGAAAAATACTCTGGCCAGGCACGGTGGCTCATGCCTGTAATCCCAGAACTTTGGGAGGCCAAGGCGGGTAGATCACCTGAGGTCAGGAGTTAGAGACCAGCCTGGCCAACATGGTGAAACCCCATCTCTACTAAAAACACAGAAATTAGCCAGACGTGGTGTCGTGCACCTGTAATCCCAGCTACTCAGAAGGCTGAGGCAGGAGAATCGGTTGAAACTGTGAGGCAGAGGTTGCAGTGAGCTGAGGTCGTGCCACTGTACTACAGCCTGGGTGACAGAGTAAAACTCCATCTCTCTCTCTCTCTCTCTCTCTCTCTCTATATATATATATATATATATATATATATATATATACATATATATATATATATACATATATATATATACGTATATATATATATATATACATATATATATATATATTCTTTGTTCATGAATTGGAAGAATTCATATTATTAATATGTTTGTACTACCCAAAGCAATCTACAGATTTAATGCAATCTCTATCAAAATACCAATGACATTCTTCATAGAAATAAAAAAAATCCCAAAATTTATATGGAATCAAAAAAGACCTAGAATAGTCAAAGCTACTGTAAGCAAAAAGAGCAAAACTGGAGCAATCACGTTACCTGACTTGAAATGATATTTTAGAGCTATAGTAATCAAAACAGCATAGTACTGGCATAAAAGCAGACAGACCAATGAAACCGAATTGAAAACCCAGAAACAAATCCACTCACCTAAAGTGAACTCATTTTCAACAAAGGTGTCAAGAATATACACTAGGGAGAAGACAGTGTCTTCAATAAGTGGTTCTGGGAAAACTAGATATGGAGAAGAGTTAATCTAGACCCCCATCTCTTGCCATATACAAAAACAAATTGAAATGGATTAAACACTTAAATCTAAGACCTCAAACTATGAGATTCCTACAAGGAAACATTGAGAAAAATCTCCAGACATTGGCCTGGACAAAAATTTCTTGAGCAATACCCCACAAGCACAGGCGATGAAAGCATAAATGGACAAATGAGATCACATCAAGTTAAAAAGCTGCACAGTAAAGTAAACAGTCAACAAAGAGAAAAGACAACCCACAGAATGGGAGAAAATACTTGCACACTATTTATCTGACAAGAGATTAATAACCAGAATACATAAGGAGTTCAAACAACTGTACAGAAAGAACTCTAATAATTCAATTAAAAACTGGGCCAAAGATTTGAATAGACATACAAAAGAAGACATACAAATGGCAAACAGGCATATTAAAAGGTGTTCAACATCATTGTTCATCAGAGAAATGCAAATCAAAACTACAATGAGATATCATCTCACCCCGGTTAAAATGGCTTTTATCCAAAAAAAAAAAAAAGCAATAACAAATGGTTGCAAGGATGTGGAAGAAATAGAAACCTCATACACTGCTGGTGGGTAAGTAAAAAAGTACAACCACTAGGAACAGTTTGAACGTTCCTCAAAAAACTAAAAATAGAGCTACCAATGGATCCAGGAATCCCACTCTTAGGTGTATATCCAAAAGAAAGAAAATCAATATATGGAAGAGATAACTGCACTCCCATGTTTTTTAGAGCATGTTCACAATACCTCAGATATGAAAGCAACCGAGTATTCATCAACAGATTAATGACGAGTTAGTGGGTGCAGCGCACCAGCGTGGCACATGTATACATATGTAACTAACCTGCACACTGTGCACATGTACCCTAAAACTTAAAGTATAATAATAAAAAAATAAATAAAAATTAAAAAAAACAAAAAAAACACGGTACATATATATATACAATGAAGTACTATTCAGCCATAAAAATGAATGAGATTTATTCATTTGCAACAATATGAATGGAACTGGAGATCATATGTTAAGTGAAATAAGTCAGGCACAGTAAGAAAGACATAGCATGTTTTCACCTACTTGTGGTATGTAAACATCAAAACAATATAATTTATGGAAATCGAGAGTAGGATGGTTACCAGAGGCTGGAAATGGTGGTGAGGGGCTGAGGGGGAGGTGATGATGATTAATGGTTACAAAAAATATAGTTGGAAAGAATGAATACAACCTAGTATTTGGCAGCACAACAGGGTGACTATAGTCAATGATAATTTAATTGCACATTTTAAAATCACTAAAAAGAGTATAATTAGATTGTTTATAAAACAAAGAATAAATGCTTGAGGGGATGGATACCCGTTTTCCATGATGTAATTATTTCGCATTGCATGCCTGTATCAAAACATCTCATGTACCCCCATAAATATATACACCTACTATGAATGCTCAGAAATTAAAAAATAAAAATAAAAATAAAAAAGTGGTAGATGTATACCATGAAATACTATGCAGCCATAGAAAATAATCAGATCACGTCCCTTGCAGTAACATGAATAGAGATGAAGGTCATTATCCTAAGCAAACTAACTCAGGAACACAAAACCAAATACTGCATCCTCATAGTTATAAGTGGGAACTAAACATTGAGAATACATAGACAAAAAGAAGGGAACAACAGACACCAGGACCTACTTAAGGGTGCATGGTGGAAGGAGGTAGGGGATCAAATAATTACCTATTGGGTACTATGCTTGTTACCTAGGTGACGAAATAATCTGTACATTAAACCCCTGTGACAAAATTTACCTATGTAACAAACTTGCACATGTACCCCTGAAGCTAAAATAAAGTTAAAAGAAAGAATGAGAATGTGCAGGAAGTTCAAACAACTCAACAGCAAAAAACCCATCTAATCCACTTAAAATGGGGAAAATATCTACATAGACATTTCTCAAAATAAGACATACAAGGGACCAACTGGTATGTGAGAAATGCTCAATATCACTAATAATTGGGGAAATGAAAAATCAAAACCACAAGGATGTATCATCTTACGATAGCCAAAATGGCTTGTATCAAAAAGACAAGAAATAACAAATGTTGGCAAAAATTTGGAGAAAGGGGAACTCTCATACATTGTAGGAATGCAAGGTAGTACATCTACTATAAAAAAACAATGTGGAAGGTACTCAAAAATCTAAAACTAGAATTATCATATGATCTAGTAATTCCACCACTAAGTATATATCCAAAAAATTAATATATCAAAGATTTAGCTGCACTTTAATGTTTATTTCAGCACTATTCATAATAGACAAAATATAGAATCAACCAAAGTAAAGATCAACAATAAATAATTTTTTTAAATGAGGTATAAACACTAGACTTCAATTGAAATCTAGACGAAATGGACCTTACAGAAACTTATAGAACATTTTACCCAACAACTGCAGAATATGCATTCTTTTCATTAGCACACTAAAACGTTTTTCAAAATAGATCATATATTAGGCCTCAAAACAAGTCTCAATACATTTTTAATAATTAAAATCATATCAAGTATCTTCTCAGACCACAGTGGGGAAAAAAAAACTAGAAATCAATATCAAGAGGAACTCTAAAAACTATACAAATACAAGAAAATTAAATAACCTGTTTCTTAATGATCTTTGAGCAAATGACAAAATTAAGGTGGAAATTTTTAAATGTTCAAAACAAAAGTAGAGACACAACATACCAAAACCTCTAAAATATAGCAAAAGCAGTGGTAAGAGGGAAGGTTATAGCATTAAATGCTTACATCAAAAAGGAAAAAATATTACAAGTTAACATTCTAACATTGTACCTCAAGAAACTAAAAAAAAAAAAAAAAGAACAAACCAAGTCCACAGGTAGCAGAAGAAAAGAAATAACAAAGATCGGAGCAAAACTAAATAAAATTGTGACTCCCAAAACAATCCAAAGATTAATGAAAAGTTGGTTTTTTAAAAAAGATAAACAAAATCCAGAGACCACTAGCTAAATTAACCCAAGAAAGAAGAAGATTCAAATAAGAACAATCAAAAATGAAAGAGGAAAAATTACGATTAATACCACAGACACATAAAAAGATCATCAGAGGCTCGAATGAACATCTCTATGCTCACAAATTAGTAAACATAGAGTAAATGTATAAATTCCTGAAAGCATATAACCTCCCAAGATTGAACTAGGGAAAAAAAAAAGAAATTCTTAAGACAGCAATAATGAGCAGTATGATTGGATCATGAATAAAAAAAAAAAAAAGTCCCCAAAAGTAAAAGTCTAGGCCAGAGGAATTCACAGTTGAATTCTATCAGACATACAAGGAAATGGTACCATTCCTACTGAAACTATTCCAAAAAAGTCTAAAGATCAGTACCATATCTACATACCAATAACAATCAAGCTGAGAACCAAATTTAAATCTCAATGTTATTTACAATAGCTACAAAACAAAAATACCTAGGAATACATTTACAAAAGAAGATAAAAGATCTTTACAAGGAGAAATACAAAACACTAATGAAAGGAATCATACATAACACAAACAAATGGAAAAACATCCCAGGCTCATGAATTGGAAGAATCAATATTGTTAAAATGACCACACTGCCCAAAGTAATTTACAGATTCAATTCAGTTGCTATCAAATTACCAACATCATTTTTTCACAGAATTAGAATAAACAATCCTAAAATTCATATGGAAACAAACAGCCCCAACAGCCTAAGCAATCCTAAGCAAAAAGAACAAAGCTGGAAGAATCACATCACCTCACTTCAATTTATACTACAGGGATATAGTAACCAAGACAGCATGGTACTGGTATAAAAATAGACACACAAATTAGTAGAACAGAATAGAGAACCCAGAAGTAAGGTCACATACCTATAACCAATTGATCTTCAACAATGCTGACAAATATATACACTGAATAAAAGACACCCTACTCAGTAAATGTTGCTAGGAGAAGTGAATAGCCATGCAGAAGAATGAAACACACAAACAAACAAAACTCATGACAGATAAAAGACATAAATGTAAATAAAACCATACAAAACCTAGAAAAAAATTAGGGAAAGCACTTCTGGACATTGGCCTAGGCAAAGAATTTATGACTAAGTCCTCAAAAGCTAATGCGACAAAAACAAAAATAGACAAATAGGGCTTAATTAAACTAAAAATCCCCTACAAAGCAGAAGAAACAGTCAACAGAGTAAATGAACAACCTACAAAATGGGAGAAAATATTTGCAAAGTATTCATCTGACCCAGGACTAATATCTAGAATCTAGAAAGAACCCAAGCAACACAGAAAGTAATGTAAATAATAATAATAATAATCCCTTAAAAAGTGGGCCAAGAACATGAACAGACACTTTTCAAAAGAAGATATAGAAACAGCCAACAAACAATACAAAACAAAACAAAAAATAAAATACTCAACATCACTAATCATCAAAGAAATACAAATTAAAACCACAATGACATACCATCTTACTCCAGTCAGAATGACTATCATTAAAAAGTCAAAAAACAACAGATGTTGGCAAGGATGCTGAGGAAAAGGAACACTTATTCAATGTTGGTGGAAATGTAAATTAGAACAACCTCTCTGGAAAAAAATATATGGAGATTTCTCAAAGAACTAAAAATAGAACTACCATTTGATACAACAATCCCACTACTAGATACATACCAAAAAGAAAAGAAATTGTTACATCAAAATGCTACCTGTACTCATGTCTTTATTTCAGCACTATTCACAAAGTCATAGAATAAACCTAAGTGTCCATCAATGAATAATTGGATAAAGAGAATGTGACATACACACATGCCATAGAACACTTCTCAGTCATAAAAAAGAATGAAATCCTGTCTTTTGCAGCAACATGGAGAACAATGGAGGCCATTTTCTTAAGTTAAATAACCCAGAAAGTTAAATACTGCATGGACTCATTTATAAGCGGGAGCTAAATAATGAATACACATGAATACAAGGTGCAATAATAGACATTGAAGACTCTGAAAGGTGGGAGGTTGGGAAGAGGTTAGGAATAAAAAATTACCTACTGGGTATAATGTACATTATTCAAGTGATGGCTAAAAGCCCAGACTTCATTACTACACAATACTGCACTTGTACCCTCAAATCAGTAAAATTTTTTTAATTAAAAATAGAAAATGTTGTATATATACACAATGGAATATTATTCCACCATAAAAAAAGAATTAAATCCTGTTGCATATTCTCACTCATATGTGAGTGCTTTTTTAGCTTTTTTAGTATATCATGAAGATAGAGGTCAGATTAGCTGTTACCAGAGGCTACAAAGGGAAGTGGGGAGGATGGATAAAGAAAGAAAAAGAATATAAATGTATTTCTACTAGTAAAAAGTAATAAACAAATAAAAAGTATTTACAGGCTGGCCAGTTTTAGCAGGTTGTAATCATTACTTCCTTGTATGAACAATTTTTTCACAAAGCTTGAAAATTGTAATCATAATTATCTTTAAATAGTAATTATTATAGGGAAAATGTTAAATAAGGATAACAGCATTCTCTGAATTAGAAATTCATTTTACCATAGACTTGGTTATACTTTGTAAATAATGCACTGAATAATATAACTCCTAAAAGGCATTTTTCTTCAAGATTAAGTTTAATAAGCAGTTATTTTGAATTCCCTTTCAGGTAATTCACACATCTCCATTTCAGTCACTGCTATTTTTGTTTGTCCTTTTGATGATGTCATGTTTCCCTGATTGCTATTGATCCTTGTGGCTGTTCACTGATGTCTTCACATTTGAAGAAATAGGTACTGACTCCAGGCTTCACAGACTGGCTTTGTTTTGGAAGACCCTTCCATGTCAGCCTGTCCAGAGATTCTGGGCAGGCCATCTTGTGTTTTACTGATGCCCAGGGCCAGTTGGGCCAGCATGGTTCTGGGGCATGATGAAAGCCTGGAGCCATTGCAGTCAGTGTGGCACTGGGGGATGCCCAAAGCCTGGGTCTGCTCTACCTGCCATGGCACTGGAGTGAGTCAGAGAGCAAGTGCACCTCTCAGGCCTGAAGTCTGGAGATGTGGGGTCCCACCTGGCACCATGGCAAGGCTGGAAGATCAATCTGTGGGTACTGACCTACAGTCTGGAGCCATGGGACCTGTCTCATGCTGGGTTTTACTGTAGTGGGACTGGTATTGGTCCTAGGTAATTCCTGTACTCATTTCCCTCTCTTTCCTTCAAGCAGATGTTACATATTTTTATACTGTGTTGCCTGCAGTTTTTTGAGAGGTGATGTGGATAATGTAAAACTGTCCTTCCTACCCTCTTCAATGCATCTATTCTTATTGTTGTGCTACAACCGGGTACTGTGATATCTCACCTGGTTTTCTTTGTTCTTGTGAAGATATTTTAGTTTGTAAATAGTTCAAATTGATGTTTCTGTGCGGGGACAATCACTGGAGAGCCCTGTTCCACCATCTTGCTCCACCTCTCTCCTTCAACTTTCAGCCAATTTTTCAGCAAAAATCTTAAAGGCCAGAAGGCAATTGGATGATAGACTGATGAAGAAAAAAAAATCTTTCAACTGAGAATTCAATATCTGGCAAAAATGTCTTTCAAAATCGAAGGAGAAATTAAGATATTCCCAGGCAAACAAAAGCCAAGGAAGTTCATTACCACAACACCTGCCCTACAAAAAATGTTAAAAGAAGTCCTTCGGGATGACAATACTACCCAAAGCTGTCTACAGATTTAATGAATTTCCTATCAAAATCTTAATAAGGTTTCAAGGTTTTTAAAGTAATTTAAACACTTGTTATAAAATCATATGGAACCACGAAACAATAAACAAACAAAACAAAACAAAACAAATTCTTAAAAAAGAACAAAGAGGATTCACACTTCTTGATTTCAAATTTATTACAAAGCTACAGCACTAAATCAGTGTGCTGCTGGTATAAACACACACACATAGACCAATGGAATAAAAGAGAGCTATGAAATAGACTCTTGCTTATTTATGTAAGTGATTTTTGACAAGAATGCCGTGACCATTAAATGAGGAAAGAAAAATATTTTTAACAATCAGTGCTGGGAAAACTACATGGACACTTGCAAAAGAAGGATATTGGATGCTTATCTTACACCATATACACTATATACCTTACACCGCGCTGTCTTAAATGAACCAAAGACCTAAACATAAGAGCTAAAACTGTAAAACTGGTAGAAGGAAACATGAGAGAAAACTTCTATGAAATTGGATTTTGCAATAATTTATCAGATATGACACAAAGAGCACAGGAATGGAAACAGGAGATACATTGGACTCTATTAAAATTAGAATAAATGCATCAAGGGACACCATCAACAGAATGAAAAGACAACTCACAGAATGAGACAAAAATTGTAAATTATATATCCAATGAGAAACTAACATCCAGAATATACAAAGAATTCCCACAACTTAATGATAATAAACAAGCACCAACTAAAAAGTGGGCAAATGAATTGAATAGGTATTTCTCCAAAGAGATACAAATGGCCAATAAAAGCATAAAAAGATGCTCAGTTTCACTAATCATTAAGGAAATGCAAGTCAAAAGTACAATGAGGTACCACTGCACAATCATTATGATGACTATTACAAAAAAAATAAAAACTGTGAGTGAAGATGTGGAGAAATTGGAATACTTGTGCATTACTGACAAGAATGTAAAATGGTACAGCCACAGTGGAAACAGTTTGGCAGTGCCTCAAAAAGTTAAATTATCATATGATCCAGTAATTCTACTTCTCAGTATATACTCTAATGAAGGGCAAGCAGGGATTTGAACAAATATTTCTATACAAATGTTCATAGCATCATCATTCACACAGCCAAAAGATGGAAACAACACTAATGTCTATTGTCAGATGAATTGAAAAACAAAATGTGATATATAGGTGCAATGGAATATTACTCAGCCTTAAAACGGAATGAAATTGTGATAAATACTATAATATAAATGAATCTTGAAGACAGTATGCTACGTGAAAATAGACATAAAAGAACAAATATAGTATGATATCACTTATATGAGGCACCAAGGAAAAGAAGTTACCAGGGACTGAGGGAGGGAGGAATAGGGAATTATTTTTTAATGGGTACATATTTTATGTTTGGGATAACAAAAAAGTTCTGAAAACGGATAATGGTGATTGCACAACAATGTGCATGTACTTACTGCCACTAAATTGTACTCTTAAAGTGGTAATTTTATGTCATAGTATAGTTCACTCCAATTAAAAAATTTTATAAAATTAATAAAAATAATACACCTCAATAGGATGAAGGGAAAAAAATGATTATCTCAATTGACACAAGAAAGCATTTGACAAAATCCAACACCCTCTAATAATAATAATAATAAACCTGTCAACAAACTAGGAATAGAAGGGAACTTCTTCAAGATAAGAGACATATATGCATTAAAAAAAGAGCTAAATTCACATTCAACAGGGAAAGGCTGAAACCTCTCCCCCTAAGTATAAGAAGAGGACAAGAATGCCCCCTCACTATTTCCATTCAGCATTGTACTGCAGTAGGTTCTAGACAGGGCAATCAAGTAAGAAAATAAGTAAATAAAAGTTATCCATATTAGGAAAATGTAAAACTATCTTTATTTACTGATAATACCATTGTATATAGAGATGATCCCAAAGAATCCATTAGTAACTACTGAAATGATTAAAAGGATTCAGTCAAATTTCAGGACATGCTATGGATTGAATGTTTGTGGCCCTGTCCCCTAAATGTATATGTTAAAGCCTAATCTCCAGTGTGATAATATTTGAAGATGGAGCCTTTGGGAGATAATTAGGTCATGAGGGTAGAGCCCCTATGGATGGGATTAATGCTCTTATAAGAAGTAGCCAGAGAGCTAGCTCTCTCTCTGCTCTCCACCATGTGAGGGTATAATGAGAAGATAGCCATTTGGAACCAGAAAGAGGGCCTATCCCCAGGGAACGAAATTGGCCTGTACTTCTTATCTTGGACTTATCTGGAGACCCAGTCTCCAGAACTGTGAGAAATATATGTTTATTGTTTCAGCCACTCATTCTATGGTAATTTGTTATAACAGCCTGAACTAAGACAAGATACAATATCAAGGCTTAAAAATCATGAGGGCTCAATCCCACAAGACTGCCCTGCACTTTAGATGCCAATTACAAGTTCCAGATTATGATCTGTACTTCTAACAGACCAACTATAAATCAGGGTTCTCATTCAATTAATTTGCTAGAGCAGCTCACAGAACTCAGGGAAACACTTTACTTACATTTACCCATTTATTGTAAAGGATATTACAAAAGATACAGATGAACACCCAGAAGGAAGAGATACATTGGGCAAGGTATGTGGAATGGGGTACCAAACTTCCATGCCCTGTTCAAGTGAGCCACCCTTCAGGAACCTCCACGTGTTCAGCTATCCCAAAGCTCTCTCTTTTTTTTTTAATTTTATTATTATTATACTTTAAGTTTTAGGGCACATGTGCACAATGTGCAGGTTAGTTACATATGTATACATGTGCCATGCTGGTGTGCTGCACCCATTAACTCGTCATTTAGCATTAGGTATATCTCCTAATGCTATCCCTCCCCCCTCCCCCCACCCCACAACAGTCTCCAGAGTGTGATGTTCCCCTTCCTGTGTCCATGTGTTCTCATTGTTCAATTCCCACCTATGAGTGAGAATATGCGGTGTTTGGTTTTTTGTTCTTGCGATAGTTTACTGAGAATGATGATTTCCAATTTCATCCATGTCCCTACAAAGGACATGAACTCATCATTTTTTATGGCTGCATAGTATTTCATGGTGTATATGTGCCACATTTTCTTAATCCAGTCTATCATTTTTGGACATTTGGGTTGGTTCCAAGTCTTTGCTATTGTGAATAGTGCCGCAATAAACATACATGTGCATGTGTCTTTATAGCAGCATGATTTATAGTCCTTTGGGTATATACCCAGTAATGGCATGGCTGGGTCAAATGGTATTTCTAGTTCTAGATCCCTGAGGAATCACCACACTGACTTCCACAAGGGTTGAACTAGTTTACAGTCCCACCAACAGTGTAAAAGTGTTCCTATTTCTCCACATCCTCTCTAGCACCTGTTGTTTCCTGACTTTTTAATGATTGCCATTCTAACTGGTGTGAGATGGTATCTCATTGTGGTTTTGATTTGCATTTCTCTGATGGCCAGTGATGGTGAGCATTTTTTCATGTGTTTTTTTGGCTGCATAAATGTCTTCTTTTGAGAAGTGTCTGTTCATGTCCTTTGCCCACTTTTTGATGGGGTTGTTTGTTTTTTTCTTGTAAATTTGTTTGAGTTCATTGTAGATTCTGGATATTAGCCCTTTGTCAGATGAGTAGGTTGCGAAAATTTTCTCCCATTCTGTAGGTTGCCTGTTCACTCTGATGGTAGTTTCTTTTGCTGTGCAGAAGCTCTTTAGTTTAATTAGATCCCATTTGTCAATTTTGGCTTCTGTTGCCATTGCTTTTGGTGTTTTAGACATGAAGTCCTTGCCCATGCCTGTGTCCTGAATGGTAATGGCTAGGTTTTCTTCTAGGGTTTTTATGGTTTTTAGGTCTAACATTTAAGTCTTTAATCCATCTTGAATTAATTTTTGTATAAGGTGTAAAGAAGGGATCCAGTTTCAGCTTTCTACATATGGCTAGCCAGTTTTCCCAGCACCTTTTATTAAATAGGGAATCCTTTCCCCATTGCTTGTTTTTGTCAGGTTTGTCAAAGATCATATAGTTCTAGATATGCTTCCAAAGCTCTCTTAACCTTGTTATTTTGGGTTCTTATGAAGGCTTCATTATGTAGACATCATGAGCCATTGGTGATCGATTCAACCTTTAACTCCTCTCTGCTCCAATCTTCTAATCATGCCCTGGTCTTTGCCGTGAACAGCCCACATCCTGAAGCTATCTAGGGGCTGCCAATCATCAGTCATCTTATTAGCATACAAAAGACACTCTTATCTCTCAGGATACTTCAAGGGTTTTAGGGGCTGTATGCCAGAAAAGGAGATCAAAGAGCAAATATATATTTCACAATATCACAGTAAACAATTCCATTTACCATAGCGTCAAAAATAATAAAATAACTTAGAAATAAATCTAACCAAAACTATAAAACATTGCTGAAATAATTTAAAGAAGATCTAAATAAATTGCAAGATACCCAGTGTTCATAGGAAACTCTGTTTGTGGGAAATTATGCCCTCTGGAAACTCTGTGTTCATGGATTGTAAGACAATATTGTTGAGATAACAATACTTCCCAAGTTTATCTGCAGAGTCAGTGCAACCCTTATCAAAATCCCAACAGTCCTTTTGTTCAGAAAAGGAAAAGACAATCCTAAAATTCATATGAAATTGAAAGGAACTATGAAATTAGCTGAGCATGGTGGTACATGCCTGTAACCCCAGATACTCAGGATGGTGAGACAGGAGAATCGCTTGAACCCGGGAGGTGGAGGTTGCAGTGAGCCGAGATTGTGCCACTGCACTCTAGCCTGGGCGACAGAGCAAGACTCTGTCTCAAAAAAAAAAAAAAAAAAAAAAAAAAAAAAGGAGCATGAGTAGCCAATACAATCTTAATAATATTTTCAGAGAAATCACACTTACTGATTTCAAACATACTGCACAGTTACAGTAATCAAAAAATAAATGTGGTTCTTGCATAAAGATAAATTAAAAACGTGGTTTTTGCATAAAATTCTATGAAATAGAATTAAGAGTCCAGATATAAGCCTATACATCTGTACTAAATTGATTTTCAACAAGTATGCCAAGACAATTAAAAAGGCTAAGAATTGTCTCTTCAACAGAAGGTGCTGAGACAACTGGATATCCATGTGCAAAACAATGAATTTGGTCCCCTTCATCACACCATACATAATAATTAACTCAAAATGGGTCAAAGACATAAATATAAGAGCTAAAAACAAACAAAATTTTACAAGAAAATATAGGGGTACATTTTCATGAACTTGGATTTGGCAGTGTTTATTTAGGTGTGACTCCAAACGCACAACCAAGTTTTAAGCTTTTGTGCATCAAAAATACTATCAAGAAAGTGAAGACACCCCACAAAACGGGATAAAATATTTTCATATCATATATCTGATAAGGTTCTCTCATCCAGAATTTAAAAAGAACAATTAACAGCCCTGCTACAAACAATTCATTTAAAAAATGAACAAAGCACTTGAAATAGACATTTCTCCAAAGATACACAAATGTCCAACAAGCACACAAAAAGATGCTCATCCTCATTAGTCATTAGAGAAATGCAAATTAAAACCACAATTAGGTACCACTTCATACCCACTAGGATGGCTGTAACGATAAAACTGATTGAATCACTTCTAAAATGTCTTTCTCCACAGATTTATGATCTCACAAATTCCTGTTTTAATTATAGCAATTGTTCTAAGTTTAGTGTCTAGGTTATTCTGTTCAAGTGAACAGAATAATTCATGCGCAAGCACAATTTATAGGTATTTAACAATTAAACGTCTGAAGATAGGAGGCAACGGCAAAATTATGAAAAATCCTAATGCTTAATTTTATGAAGCTACTACAAAACATGTTCTCAGAAAATATCTAAAAAATTGAGCAAATGTTTATTCTACATGGAAATGAGCAGGACATGAAAGTGCATATTCAAAATTATCCAAGCTTTGTAAGAGCTTAGAAAAAAGGAAAAGGAAATAGTGTTAATATTTCACTGTGAGCCCTGGAAAATGGGAGGCCGGCTTAGTTAATTATTTTCTCTTCATGTCAATTTTCTGAATTTTACAGTGTCAATATTGTGCATGCAATTCTTTTGCAATCAGGGGAAAAGAAAAGAAATCCTCAAGAAGTTAAGTCTGGGAATGACAAGTCAGTAAAAATTACGTAGATTGGGTCAAGATGGCAGCCTGAACACTGAGCAGTAGCGCATTTCTCTTGTCCTACCACAAATCCCCTTCAATGGAGGGTGGGGGGACGCGGGGAGGGAGGGGAAAGGAAAGGGCTAATTCCTGAAAGGTGGAAAGCAGAAGGGGCAGGGGCGCAGAGGGTTGAGGTTAGGTGAGGGGAGGGGCGCGTGCTAAACCAGAAGAGGTAAACCAATGCAGTGAGAGAGAGGTGGTTGTGGGCTCCACAGCTTCTGATTTGGAGGAAGCTGCGAGACCGAGAGCCTAGGAGCACCTTCCACGCCCAGGGCTGTGGTACAGGTTGGTGGGGGAGGGGCGCCACGCGGTGTTTGGCAGGAAGGGGAGGCCTCTCTACTGACCGGAAGCTGCGCTAGAAAAAGAAGGAGGAGACTGCGGCGCAGCAGCGACTAGTGGGAGTCCGATGTGGGAGAGGGGCTGCGGCCACCGCCACCGCCGCCGCCACCAGGAAGGCGGAGGACGCAGGAGCCAAGAGCAAGGGACGCCGCCACGGTCATCTTCGCCTGCCCCGCCGCCCTCTTAGAGACACTCATTGCCTATGGATCATCCTCTCCCAGCTTTTGCAAGCACCGGGCTGCTCGCCCGCTGATTTTCCTCCTCCATAGGCTCACTGCGGAGGCAACGGCGAGGTGTCCGATTTGTGCACTTGAGGCCCGCAATCCGGGACGGTGGGGAATCTGCGCCTCCTGGCCGGGTAGTGTTGGAAGCAGGGCGAGGGGAATGGGGAAACGCTTCGTATTTCACCGAACCGCAGATCTTAGCCAGACTGAGCTGGGGAGGAAGGTTACTGCAGGCACTCAGCCAGGGTGCCTTGATTTCCAGCTTTGCTATCTAGCTTTCGGGAAAAACAGGTGTGGGTTTACTGGGTGCGCTGATTAGGAGAAAAAGCTCTCCGTGTTATGCATTGATTTTGTTAATTTCCTTTCTCGGTCCACCTGGCAACTGTGCTCCTCTTCGCAGGCATGAAGACCCCGTTTGGAAAGGCAGCTGCAGGGCAGCGGTCCAGGACGGGCGCTGGCCACGGCAGTGTGTCTGTTACCATGATAAAGAGGAAGGCTGCACACAAGAAGCATAGGAGCCGACCCACCTCCCAGCCTCGGGGGAACATCGTGGGCTGCAGAATTCAGCACGGATGGAAAGATGGAGATGAACCTCTAACACAGTGGAAAGGAACCGTTCTGGATCAGGTACCTGTAAATCCCTCTCTGTATCTTATCAAATATGATGGATTTGACTGTGTTTATGGATTGGAACTTCACAGAGATGAAAGAGTGTCATCACTTGAAGTCCTTCCTAATAGAGTTGCATCATCTAGAATCAGTGATACACACTTGGCAGAAATAATGGTTGGCAAAGCAGTGGAACATATTTTTGAGACAGAGGAAGGTTCCAAAAATGAATGGAGGGGGATGGTCTTAGCTCAGGCACCTGTCATGAACACATGGTTTTACATTACCTATGAGAAAGATCCTGTATTATATATGTACCAGCTCTTAGATGATTATAAAGATGGTGACCTCCGCATCCTTCAAGATTCCAATGATTCTCCTCTGGCAGAGAGGGAGCCAGGAGAAGTCATAGACAGCCTGGTAGGCAAACAGGTGGAATACGCCAAAGACGATGGCTCCAAGAGAACTGGCATGGTCATTCATCAGGTAGAAGCAAAACCCTCTGTGTACTTCATCAAATTTGATGATGATTTCCATATCTATGTCTACGATTTGGTAAAAACATCTTAGAGGTCATCTTGAAATTTGCCAAATATATGAGACTCTAAATCTGTAGACACAGAAAGTCTTGATTGCTTTCCAGTTTGTAAGAACCATCTTCTCCCTTTTTGCACGTTTTGCTTGGCAAAAAAATTGGAACTTCTGCCCTCTCATACGTTTTTGGAAGAAACCTTTTGCCCATCTGTCCAACCTTTTCACTGGTTCCTCTCCGCAATTTAACTGATTAGTGAGAAGGGTAAAGTCTGACATCCATTGGCTCATACTTTTTTTTATCTTGGGTGGTGTTAATAGATTAAAGGTAGCTGAACACCTCTCACCTCACTCTTTTTGGCACTTGGACTCTACACTCATTGAGGTGTGAAGCTTGCTGAGATATCCCATGTGACTGGCTGGGTAAGTGTCTTTGCAATCTCAAATCTCCCCCAAGTGGCTTCAAAAATCTAACTTGGGAAAGAGTGGGAAGCCCATTTTGGTCTCTTGTTCAAGTTGCATTCTCAGTTCTAACTGTACTAAAAGTAAGGCTAATAATTTTGCTCTCTTTCCGGTTCTTTCACCTATTGCTCAACTGTTTTAGAATTAAGAAGGTAATTACTTTGCATTTTAGTACCTAACCATAGGCTGAGAAACCTTGCAAAACTGATAAGAAGACAAGCATTTGGGGACCAAACTCCAAGTGGAGAGATCAAGATTTCTGGTGGAGCTTAAGTGAAAGGTTTTAGTCATCAGTGGCATTAGGGTCTCTCTTGTCTCCAATAGCTCTGGCTGGTATCTGCAGACATGGAGTAGGTTTTAACTGATAGAAGCTGTGCAGGCAGACTTTAGCACAAATGGTCTTTGCCAGCCCAGAGGAGCATTAAGCCAGGCTCTAGCTAGAGCCCTCAGTCACAGGCAAAGGCTGGGTTTGGCTGGGTTTGGACAGATCTGTCCAGAACCTCAAAATGAAAGAGGAGAAACCTAGAATCAAACTGAGATACAGATTTCTTTGCTGTGCTAAGAGAGACTCAAGTTTTAGATTTGATTCTTAGGAGACTGAATTCAGAGTCCCAGCATGTGAGGTGGGCAAGGCACTTGTGAGAACCAAGAATGGCTGAAAGCAGGCTATACTTCCTTGCAGGGACTGGTGGGCTCATCTATTATGGTATCCCAGCAGGACTTGGAACACAGTCAGTGGTAGGTAATCTGTAGGCTTAATGATGTTTTAAGTGCTGGCATTGGTAGATAGAAATCTAATAGATTTTTGTTAGTGTTTGGATTTTTAACTATCCTGTTTCTTGGCTGGCCCTAAGAAACTTATATGCAGATAAGGGTGAGTTCTACTGTGGCAGAAAAGTAAACAATGGAAGGGCCTTTGAGCTTTCCATTATTAAAGAGCCATTGGCGGAGGTTAACCAAAGCCTAGGAAAGAAAAGTTGAAGTACAAGCATGGTTTTTGAGAGAAGCACCTGGCCAAAACCAAAGCTTTCTCATTGAGGTTCTCACAGAAGCTCCATTAGCAGTAACAGCCTAATAAGGCCATGGAGTTCTGCACATTTGGGGCTGGGACTCAAGGCAGTACAATCATATTGGGACTGTACTGCAAGATATCTTCCAAATTAGTTTAAGTTCACAGGTCATGGAGTCCAGACTACCGGCACAGATTGGCATCCTGCTGAGGATGAAACAAAGAAGATGTTCTCTTTTCTCCTATGTTTTATCTGTCTACTTTTGCTTTTTGATGCCACTAAGTCTCTACTATGATGTTTGACTGACAACAGCAATGTGGGTCTGTATTGCCCTATGTTCTAAGTCCTGGGGTCATATATTTGCTTAAAAAAACTGTTCTAGTGGCTGGGGACTAGTGTGCTTTCTAATTTTTTTGATGTGAGGTTGATATTGTGATAATCTTATGTCTTCTTGACCCTTTGGACTCTTTAATATGTATGACATGCAATTGTGGGGTTAGATTAATTCAACTCCTGAGGTCCTGAAGGAACTTCACCCAGTCAAGAGGAAGACAGCCAAGGCTGCAGCTGCTGAAGGAACCCCATATCTGGGCAGACATCTTTGTGAGATCTATATGGCTGAAATGAGAAAAACGAGAAATTGGGAAAGGCAGAATTTTGGACTTTAATTATTTTGGACTTTGAATTAGAAATTTAATTTTGGGCAGTCCTTTTTCCCTTGGAGTTTAATAGTTGATGGGGTGGGGGTGAGGTCATATAGTTCAAACTAAGGCATTTTTATTATGTTGTTGATATTGTATTATTTGGAGTATTTTAATGCTATCTTTGGGAGTCATTGTATAATTGTTGTCAGCTATGTCAGGAAATATGGCTGGACATAATTGTAAATTAGGGCTGCAATTGTGATCAAATTTTCAGTCTAGGGTGTAATGTAGCCTTAGAGTTAATTTAATTACTGTTCTATTTTGACTTATTTCAGAGCCTCTTGGGGGCAAAAACAACTGCTCACCAATCTTACATTGATGGGAGCAGAACTTTTCTAAGATACTGTTGGTCTCCCTGGAAGGGGACAGCCACAGCCCTGTTTGTTGACCAGAGTCTTGAGCATTAACCATTGTGGCTTAAGAGAATGAAAATGTACAAGGGTATGATGGGATCTATCCTCTTCCTCTCTCCATGCTCCTGACTCAAGAAAAGGAAAAGACTTGCATCTCTCAAAAATGTTTGGAAGAAAGTTCTACCCATCTTCTCTTACACTCATTCAATCTTATGCTTGGGAGGAGGAATAACTTGATGAGATTGAGAAAATGGTTATAATGGATAGGCAGCTTAGGCCACTCTTGGATCTTGAGTTCGTTCCACACAGCAAGATGTGGGAAAGACTGCAGTCCTTCACTACATGGCTGGGTAAACATCTGCTTTCTAGACCCAACTATCTCTCCTTGGGGTGGGGGAATCCCAAAGTCGTTAGACTTATGATAGAAGTTCATTTCAGCCTCAGGTCCAAGCCATGTTCTCCAATCCAGCTCTATCAGCTATAAAGCTGGTATCTATTTTGATTCTTTTTTACAGTTTTAATATATAAATTGTTTTTTAGAAAAATAACACATGCCTATGGTAAAAGTCAAACAGTATAAAAGGGTATACTATTAAAAAGTAAGTCTCTCTTCCTCCTTCTCACCCCTGGCCTCAGTTCCCTGGTCCCATTTTCAAAAAGTAACAACTGTTACCAGTTACTGATGTATCATTCCAGAGATATTCCATGTATTTACAAGCATATTGTGTGTGGGTATGTGTGTATCAGGTTTTTTTTTTTTTTTTACACAAATGGTGGCATACTATACATGCTGTTCTGAATTTTGCTTTTTTCACTGAACAATATATTAAAGCTGATATCTTAATCCCTATTTGATTCCTGTGTATATTTTTTAATTGGTTCAGAATCTGGAAGGGAAGGAGGTGTAATTAATTCAAACCTTCAGACCCTAACCCAGTTTAATGAAAACTTACATGACCCTACAAACCCACAATTTCTGCCAGTCCAATTTTTC
This sequence comes from Homo sapiens, assembly GCF_000001405.40. Classification (NCBI taxonomy): domain Eukaryota; kingdom Metazoa; phylum Chordata; class Mammalia; order Primates; family Hominidae; genus Homo; species Homo sapiens. The sequence continues at coordinate 56,990,686 of NC_000023.11, read as the reverse complement.
TCAAAAGTAGAATGTGAAATATATGTGAACATAACGTATTCTCTGAGAGGAACTTCTCAAGAGAGGCCAGTATATTTTTACTGAGGGAAGTTAAAAGGAAAACCAATTATATATTGAAGCTGTGGGGAAAGTTAAGGTACTATATAATTAATAAACCAGAAATGAAATGAACAATTATTTTTTTCTGTTTAAACTTGCACTCACATCTACTGCAATATGCAAATTCATATTTATAGCTTTGATTTGCCTTTTCTAACAGAACTTGCCTGCATGTAACAGGAAACCCATTTCAAACAGGCTTAAACTGTTACCAAACGTTGATCAATATAAATTTAAAAAAAATCTAGAGCTCAGATGGGCTTCAGGCATAGTTTGAATTGGGGCTCAGGCTCAGTGTTTATGATTCTTTAGGATTTTCCCTCTGTGTGTCAGTTTCATTCTCAGGCTGTTTTTTCTTATGGTAGCAAAATTGGACCAGCAGTTCCAGGCTACAGCAGTCCAATCTAGAGAAAGATAGATAACCTGTGTCCTATGATGTATTCTCAGCTGGCTTAGGTCAGATACTTTGACCAATCACTAAAATCTCAGGGATGAAATACACTGATTGGCTTAGCAAGGTCAGGTGTTCCATCCCTAACCTCTAGGGCAGTGGTCCCCAATTGTTTTGGCACCAGGAACTGGTTTCATGGAAAACAATTTTTCCACGGACAGGGTGGGTGAGGGGAGGGGGGTGGTTTGGGGATGATTCAAATGCCTTACATTTATTGTGCAATTTATTTCTATTATTATGTTCTAATATATAATGAAATAATTATATAACTCACCATAATGTAGAATCAGTAGGAGCCCTGAGCTTGTTTTCCTGCAACTAGACTGTCCCAAATGAGGGTGGTGGGAGACAGCAACAGATCATCAGGCATTAGATTCTCATAAGGAACATGCAACCTAGATTCCTTGCATGCACAGTTCACAATAGGGTTCATGCTCCTATGAGCATCTAATGCCACTGCTGATCTGACAGGAGGCAGAACTCAGGTGGTAATGCAAGTGATGGGGAGCAGCTATAAACACAGATGAAGCTTCGCTTGCTTACCCACCTGCCACTCACCTCCTGCTGTGCAGCCTGGTTCCTAGCAGGCCATGGACCAGTATTTGTCAGTGGCCCAGGGGTTGGGGACCCCTGCACTAGGGTATATCTCTCTGAAACCAGATGGATTTCCAGTAGAATCAAGGGCTTTGGGTAAATGAATAATGAATGCTATTCACCAATCACAAATATCTAGTATAGCTTCTTCATTTGAATACCTAGTATCCATGGACACATTTCTTCCTACACATCCTCTTTCAAAGAATGCCCACATGTAGGTGTGATAAATTCATGTCCCCAAAGGAGAAAAACCTGAAGTCTTATCTAGTTACTGCATTTAGCGTTAAGTTCAAGATCCCTAGTTGATATGCAGCCATCTTTAGATCCATCTTCCTTGCAGTCTGGTCACCTATACTTAAATTATAAACTACTCTTCTCAACATACCCAATATACACTAGTGGGGAGATAACCAGAGAAATATAATCAAAACTACCATTTGAAAAAGGGAGGAAATAGGAAACAATACATAGTAGCTTCTGGTCCAAAGCATATATCATAACCTGTTAGACAAGGACTACCTATCCTGGCAGTTGAGTGACTCCTTTGGTCAAATACCTCTTTGTGTTTTCTGAGACGTTCTCTCTTGGAGGCATATCTTGGGTGGATGCCCTTTTTGGGGGTTGAACTGGGCATTCTACGCCACTTCTTGCACCTGGGGGTTGAACAATTGGAGGTTTTTAAATTATTGGCTATAATTAGAGATTATTTAGTACAGTAGCTCTCACTTTAGTACACACCAGAATCACCTTGAGAACTTGTTAAAATACAGATTTCTGGGGCCCTCTTACAGAGATTCTGATTGAGCAAGTCTAGGGTGGGGTCCACAGGCTTATATTTATAACAAGTTCCCACATGAGACTGATGCTGCTGGGACCCCACATTGAAAATCACTGATTTATAGGTGGCAATTGAGTGAGGTCAGAGTTATTATTTCCTATACTTACCTGATAAGATTTACCTGGAGTGATTGTTAAATATAAATTGCTGAGTCCCATCTTAGATGTAATGAATCAAAATCTCTTGGGAAGGGACCTGGGGCAGCTGTACAAGATACCTCAGGTGATTCTTTATCATCAGTAATGATTAGGAAACACTGATCTAGGAAATTAGGTTTTTCTTGCTCCAATCTTATTTCCTAATAAGTCTTCCATCTGCTTGCCCTTGTTCTCACTAAGCTTAATTTGGGGCAAAAAAAACTTGGCTTTTCAAATCATACAAAGTTCCAAATTACCCACGTCTCTTTCCACTGGGATTTCACAAAACCAGTGAGTAAACAAGCAAAGTTTTATTTTCTTCTTTCACTGTTTTCAAGTAGGCCCATTTCAACAATGGAGATGTTATGCTTGATCTTGGCCTAAGAAGCACAGATCTGAGGGCCACATGCTTCCCAAGAAAGGGTGGAATAAGTGAAAAAAACAATAAAGTCAGCTGATTGGACATTAATTCCAGGTTTTACTAGCTCTATACTAGCAAGTTACTTAATCTTTGTGAATCTATTCCCCTTCTTGATAGAGAGAGTAACACTCTTTACTCAGTTCTGTTTAGAAGTATATGAGAAACTATATCCTTAGCATGTAACATAGTGCAGCACAGATGCTTAATAAAGGTGAATTCCCTTTAGTTCTCAAGAGGGTAAACCGCATGTCCTTTTGGTTAACCTTTATATTTAGCAGTGCTCCAGTGACATGTAACTAGTGAATATAGGTCTAGAAATTCTATTACTGAAATGTGAAAGAAATTATTTAAATAATTCTTTAGATGTACATAGCTCTTTTAATCTCTGCTAAGAACTGAGTTTGTTTTCCCAGAGAGCTCGTTAATCTTTATAACATTACTGGACAGTTAAGAGAGCAGGGTTATTATCCTGAATGCAATCATTCATTCATTCATTCAGCTACTTTTTGATGGATTTGCCCAATAGTGATTAATGAGATAGATACTGTCCATTCTGTCAGGGAGCTTACATTTTCATAGAGGGGAGAAAAGCAACAAAGATATAGACAAATAACCTAAATAACGTGTATAATTTCAGAGAGTGATAAGTTGTATGAAGAACAAAAAAGCAGAGCAATGGATAGAGATGAACGGAAATAAGGGAACTACTTCAGCAAAAGGTTTTCAGAGGAAGGCCTGAGTGGATATTAGCAAATAACTAAAGAAGCCAGCCCATGCAATGATTTGAGGAAGGAGTGTTCTAGAGAGAAAAAAAAAAAAAGTTGAAAGGCTGGAATACCTGATGTCATTTATCCATAGCTATTAATTCAGTAATGTGTTTAACATTGAAACCTAGGGCCTGTGATTCTTCTCTACTGTTCTGCACAGCTAACACTATACCTCTGCTGTTTTCTGGTATGTTTTTGGAGTTTTTAAATATGTTTTTGTTTGTTTGTTTGTTTGTTTGTTTTTTGAGACAGAGTTTTGCTCTTGTTGCCCAGGCTGGAATGCAATGGCCCAATCTCGGCTCACCGCAACCTCCACCTCCTGGGTTCAAGCAATTCTCCTGCCTCAGCCTCCCAAGTAGCTGGGATTAAAGGCATGCAACACCATGCCTGGTTAATTTTGTATTTTTAGTAAAGACATGGTTTCACCATGTTGGTCAGGCTGGTCTTGAACTCCTGACCTCAGGTGATCCGCCTGCCTCAGCCTCCCAAAGTGCTGGGATTACAGGCATGTCCCACCATGCCCGGCCTTAAATATGTTTTTCTATTGTTATCCTAGAAAGCAAGTAAAGTGGCTAAGAGGTCACTGATTAAATGGAAATGGGGCAGATTTCTTCCTCTACCCCAAATCTATGAAACAGGTGCATAACATAAAGTTGAAGCTCACATGTAATGTAATGAATGTGTATACCTATTTTTCTGGTTACATTTTCAAGCACATACTACAAGACATTTGTATTATTAGTTTAAATCATTTGCCCTTGGAGGATGTCGGGATGTCAGTAAACATTTGTTGGACACCTAGTATGTGTTGGGCACATCTTAATCTGCACAGGATACTGGAAGCTGTGTGTTACTACCTCCATTTTTCAGATAAGGAGATAAAGCTTAAAGAGAAAAAGGAAACCAAGGTCACACAGCTGGTAAGAGTGCTGGACTGAAACTAGCTCTCTTGATGCCAAGTAATAGTCTAATTATTATTTTTTCCTAATATTTGCATAAAGAAATGGGAAAGAAACAGTAGCACCAAGGGGGAAGTCCAGGTGATTCACAGCTGTGATTTTCGCCATGACTCATTCATATTCTTCCCTCTCTATCACCCTCTTTTACACACACTTTGTTCCTACTGTTAAATCTACTTAATTCATTCATTTGTTCAACAAATTTATTCAGTGCCTACTTTGTTCCAGGCACTTTAACTAGGCATTTGGGATATATCATGAACAAAGCATTCAGTGATGCCTGTTCTCATGGAGCTTACATTCAAGCAAGGGGAGGCTAACAATTAAAAAAATAATAATAATAAGTAAATTATGTGGGATGTCAAAATTGATAACTGTTATAAAAAAGAAAATTAGAACAAGATAAGAGGGAAGGGAAGTGGTAGGTCACCATGGTAAATAGGGAGATTGGGGTGGACTTCATGGAGAAGGTAATATTTGAGCAAATAAATGAAGGAAGTGAGTTAGCCAAGCATATATCTAGAGAAAGAGCATACTAGGCAAAAGGAACTACTAGAGGAAAGGGCCTAAGAGATAAGTGTGTTTTTGGCATGTTCAAAGACTAACAGGGAGGCTTATTTAGCTAGAGCTACATAGGTGAAGGAGAAAGACATAAGAGAAGTCAGAGAGGAAATAAGGGTCTAAATAATATAAGGCATTGTAAAGACTTGGTATTTACTCTGCATGAAATGGGGAGCCTGTCACAAGTTGGGTTTTCCCAGGAAACAGACCCAGAAACAAAGTTAATCTTGTAGAAAATTTATTAAGCAGCGCCCTTGGGGTCAATACCTGGGGAAGAAATGGGAAAGCAGCAGGAGCACAAAGAAAATGAAGCTCTAAAAAGACTCAGTTACAGTGTCAACCACACCCACAGGAAGCTGTGGAACTAGAATGGCCCTTCAGAGTTGGGGTAATATTTACAGGCCTTTCAACCCCTACACTAATCCGTCTTTGGATATGGGCTGCCCCAGGAAGGGGTGTTGCATTGGACAAAGTTGCTTTCAGCAGCTGAGGCAATCTCTAATGGGGGTGAGAGCTGAAGCAGCATAATAAGTCCATCACTGAAGCATAACCTGGGTGTTGCATCCCATGTCCACAAACCCACTGTGGATTTTCAGCAGAGAATTGACCTCACTTATGTTTCTAAAAAAATCTCTCTGCTGTTTTAAGGACGGGCTATAAAGGAGAGAGTGAGGAAGCAGGGAAACTAGTTAGAGTATTGCAGTATCCCATGTGTGAGATTATATCTGAGAGGTAACAATGGAGATGGTGAGAGGTATTTAAATTTGGGGTATATTTTGAAGGAAGAGTAAGTAGAACTTTCTCACAAATTAGAAGTGAAATGTAAGGAAAGAGAGGAGTCATGGATGGCTCCAAAAAACAACTGGGAAGATGGAGTTGCCACTGATAGAGATGAAGAAGGCTATGGTTTGGATGGGTGCTAGGAAGAGGAGAGGCTAGGAAATCAGTTTTGGACAAGTTGAGTTTGAAGGTGTTTTTAGGACACCTAAGTGGGGCTGTTGAACAGTTATTGGATATATGAGTGTGCAGTTCATGGGAGAGGTCTGACTAAGCTGGATACATAAGTTGGAAATTTCTCCATGTAAATAATACTTAAAACCATGGGACTGTATGAGATCACCCTAGGGAATGGGTGTACATAGAGAACAACAGATGACCATGGACAGAGACCTGGGTCTTAAAGAGATCAGAGAGAAGAGGAGACACAAACAAGAGACTGAGAAGTCACCACCAGTGAGGTAGGAGGTAAACGAAGTGTGATGTCTTGGAAGTCCTTTTTGGCCTTCCTCCTTCCCATAAATCTCTTTGTGACAATTTTTTTTTTCACTTAATCTCAAATGTCAGCTCCTCCACTGTACTTTTTTTTTTTGCTTTTCAGCTCCTTTGAATAAACCTGCCCACCACCAAGAACCCATACATGACTTTCTTTTCATTGTATCAAAGTAATGTGTCCACCGGTGTGAGCACCAGCAACTCACTTCTTCCTCAGACATCTCTAAAGCTGGAAAGATTTTGAGGGACAATATGGTTTCCTTCACCCCACACCAATGTTATGAATGAGACCAGCAGACCAACAGCAAACACCTAGAAGGTAAGAAGTTATTTTTTAAATATCCTCTTCCAACCCTATAACACGGCAGAAAGCAAATGGAATGGATGGAACAAGTGTCAAAAAACAGTGTCTTCGTGAACGAGAGAGAGGGGAGGTGGGCTCTGAAAGCCTAACTCAAAGCTCAGTTGACTAATTAAAGAAGGAAATTAGAGGGCCGTGCTGGTATGTGCCTGTAGTTCCAGCTGCTGGGATGGCTGAAGTGAGAGGATCCCTGAGTGCAGGAGTTCAAGTCCCATCTGGGCAACATAGTGAGACCTCCATCTCTAAAAACTAAAATAAAAGAAGGAAGTCAAGGCCAATGCAAGGAGAGACCTAGTTAACCTACGGCTCTATTATATCAGTCCTCTGTATTATACATACATAGCCAAGCACTACCCAGATGCTATCATTCAGTGATCTGCCTCTTCTTACCAGCATTTAGTTATGGAACACAAAATATTTCTAGTGCAGATGGCCTCAGCGGGGTCCCCAGTAGTCAAGCCCCACCCTAGCATAGTACTGACCTTGCAGAGCCTTTGCTCATCCCACTACTCAGGTCTGTTGAAACTGTTGATTCCCATGGATATCTGTTGATTTATTATTTGCTGAATATTTGTTGATAACTGTAGATATTCGTTGGCCTTAGGGCCTCCCTTGCTTAAACACTGAAGTACACAAATCACTGCACACACACTATCAGATTCACCCACACAGTAATTCAAATGGTGCTTGGCCCACTTCTTTCCAAAACCTCAGACATTTGGAATGCTATCAGTTACCCTGTGTGAGATTGTGACTGTTTCTTAAGAGATTCCATTCTGCATGGGAAGAGAGAAAAGAACTGAAGAGTAGTGGGATGGCTGGGGATAGGGTAGAAAATCCCAAAGTTTTCTAATCCTCACCTCTTATTCCTTGTCTCTCACTCTCCTTTTTCCCCTCATTCACTAAAATGTGAGTACCCTGCACACATGAGTACCACTAGCTGCGGGGCACGTAAAAGAACAGGTGTCTCAAGAATGACTGTTGAAAACTATCACCCTGCACAAGGAAAGGCAGGTTTTGGAATAAATATTAACATATCAGTATTGTCTGAAATTGATGATGCCTTTTAAAGTGGATAGTTTCACAGAATGGAAATGCAGTTTGTAATTTTGCATGACAAATGGGGCCACTAAACTGCATGACAGCATTACATAATTTGCCTGGAATGAAGACCACCTTTTCAGCCCAGCATTCAAGGCCCTTCATGATCTGGCTCCTTTCTACCTTTGTAGCTTAACTATTTACTACTGCACTATTTACTACTACTCCCTGGTCCTTATGTTTCAGGCCATTTCCTTCAACAGTCCAAGTTGTTTCAAGTCTCTTGGTTTTTGCACTTGTTTCTCCTGCCTGGAATGTGCTTCCTCTCACTGTATTACCTGGGTGGAAACAGGATTTACTTAAACATTTCATATCTGAAGTCTTTAATTAACTCCACAGCTTGGTCAGTTGATCGCTCTTTACTCTTATATCCTTTATCCCTTTGTTATAGTATTTACTGCTACCTCCTGTTCCCCCAGAATGACAGCTTCTCTGTGATCTCTTCAGAGGCAACAGCTGTGTGGTTGAATTCCTCTTCATATTCTAGACATTGCCCAGCACAGACAAGGTTCTTTCTGGGGCATCAGAAAGTATTTTTTGACTAAGTGACTGGCTGAGAGAAGCAATGCTGGCCCTGGGTATTTTCTTCTCAAGACAAGTAGAAGGGATTTGCCACGAGAGTACACAGAAGCACTGGAGGAGAAAAGAACTGAGGTGACAGTAACAATCTTACGGCCATTCTTTCAGATGATAACTTCCAGTGCTTCTGTGAAGTCAGATGTTTCCCTCCCTTTTCTCACAAGAAGAAACTGAGAAGGGAAGTGGCAGGTCTCCCAGGTCCCACAGCTAATCAGCAGTGGGGCTGGAACTCCAACCTTGGGCTCCTAACACCAGACCCTAAACTTCCTGCTCCAGCTCCCCTGAATCTGGGCAGGAGTTATAGCTCAAGCCTGACCTGGATGCATTCAGGATAAGGGGTTTCTCCATATGTTGCTTCTGGCCCTGAGAATTCCATCATGATCCTGGGTGGTCCGTGATGCTGTCCAGGGTGAGCCCATTTACCCTGAGAGGATGTAGTACCTCTCCAAGTAACGATGGAGTCAAGTGTCTATCTCTGGCCAGCCTCAGGACAACAAAGATGTTTTTTCACCCATCACTGAGCTGTACATTGTGAACAAACTCGGGGAAGCAGCAGATACTGGAGAACCTTCTTGCTCCACTTCTACCATCTATTGCCTGTGAGACATGAGGAAGTCAGTCAACTTCTCTTCCTTTTGGACCCATTAATTCCTGAAACAAAATGAAAGGCACAGGGAATTGAGGGTGGGGTATGGCACCAATAAGCCATGCACCTCACAGGCTTTTTGTGATGCTCTAGTCATATAATGAGCAAAGATACGCTTGTGAAGTGTAATGGGATATTTAAGTTTAAAAAAATGTTACCATAAATCCGTGAGTGAATATTACTCTTGCAGGAAAATGCAGATAGGAAATAAGTATAAAATCCAGAAACCAGTTTAATGTCTGCAGTGCTCATCTATGCCATGATAGGAATTATAAGAGAGTTTAAAGCTGTAGTTTTTGGGATTTGAAGTTGAGGAACTTTTTATCCATTGGTAGTTTAAAGTTTACATCAACAATGTCATAAACCTGGACCTTTAGCTGGCCACCTTTGAAAGTATATAGAGAAGATATGCATGAGAATAAAGGTACCCACAGGGGGAAAACCAAATCACAAAATGAAACAAACAAACAAAAACTTTATCATGATTATAACATTTGAATCTGCGGAATTTTTCTTTTTCTTTTTTTTTTTTTTTTTGAGATGGAGTCTCACTCTGTCTCCCAGACTGGAGTTCAGTGGTGTGATCTTGGCTCACTGCAACCTCCATCTCCTGGGTTCAAGCAATTCTGTCTCAGCCTCCCAAGTATCTGTGACTACAGGCGCCAGCCACCAACATGCCTGGATAATTTTTGTATTTTTAGTAGAGACGGGGTTTCACCGTGTTGGCCAGGCTGGTCTCAAACTCCTGACCTCAGGTGATCTGCCTGCCTCGGCCTCCCAAAGTGCTGGGATTATAGGCGTGAGCCATTGTGCCAGTCCTGAATCTGTGGATTTAGAGAGGCTTTAGGCCTCTTCTTCCCTCTGTTTGTCCCAGTATTATTAGTCAATACATTGCTTTCATTTTCTGGCACTTACCAAAAAAAAAAAAAAGATTTTAACTAATATGTTTCTTTTTATTTTTTTTCTTTTTAATGCCGGTAATGTTCTGTACCACGAAAGGAAATGCCAATTTGTTACTTAGATGTACAGAAGATTGTTAACTGGGTATATGGAAATTAAGAATGTAAGCATATACAGACAAGGACTGGTGGTAAGGACAGAAAAATAGAATTTAAGAGCTGTGCGGGCCTTGAGATTGTCTAGTCTCCCTCCTCATTTGTACAGAGTATGAAACAGGTCCAGAGAGTGGAAAGGGTTTAAAGTAACAGTAAAGTCCTATAGGAGTCACATCTTAAATCAGTATGTCTGACTCCCAAGCCACGCTGCTACTGCTGCTGCCCCTTCTTCTTTTGTCCCTTTTTTTTTTAATGAAGGAAATTAAAAAAGAGAGATACATTTTTAGTTCTTATTTTATTCCAACCCCATTTTTTTCCTTTGTCGCTGAACTGTAGTTGATATGTCCTTCCTACTAGTTTATTTTTTCACTATATATGTATCCCCAAAATATATATTGTTTTCATGTTTTAAATTTTTACCCATATAGTGTACTATGCCAGTATTTTTGTGTCCTGCTTTTTTCACTCTATTTTTGTGACCTTTTCATATGGATATATAAAATGCCATTTTGAGGCTATACCACAATGTATATATTCCCAAAGAATGAATATCTAGGTAATTGTTAGTTTGGGATTTTTTGTTTGTTTGTTTGTTTGTTTTTAATTCTTGTTCTAAAATATCCTTACACATTTCTCCTTTTGCACATGAGTTTCTGTTGTGCATATGCCTAGAATTGCTGGGTCATAGGGTGGGCACATCTTCGATTTTGCTAGAGAATACCAAACTTCTCTTCCGAATAGTTACATTGGTCTGTCAGGTGGAACCAGAATCTGATCTGAGTACGTCACAAGATTTAGTGAGGATCCAAGCAGAACTAGAGTGTGAAAACACGTGTGAAGTTGTTGACAGTGCTGTGTCATGAATCGTGAAGGGGCAATTTTAAGTCAGCATATGGACAACAATGGTCATAGGTAGACACTGGATAAATGACCAACTTGTCCTATGAACGAGGTCTTAATTTTATCTACCTTAGGACCAAGTCCAGAGAATCAGCAAAAATGATTACATTTAATTATATCTTCATGTTTTGTGAGGGCTTTAGATCTGATATAAACATACAGGAAAAAATCCTTTTTAATAAAGCTGGAAGAGACATAATAGCATCAGTTTCTAGGCAGAAAATCAGCCCTATACAAATTCTAAAGGCCGGTTACAAACTGGACATGTTTTAACATGGTTTAGAATGTTTTCACCGAAAAACTAGCACTGTGCCTTTGTCTCTGAGAAAAATAGATAAATGTGTCAATTATGTGTTTACAGTTTAATTCATATTCAGTTATATTTTGCAGCTTAAAAGGCCACTAACAAAAAAATAGAACATAACAAAATAAATCTCACTTGGAATACTGGTTGTTTTGTTTGCTGTTTGGTTCTTTTAGTGTACTTTCCTTTTTACTGTGTTTTTGTTTCTGGGTTAAGATGGTGGCAAACTGGTGATGCTTCATCCACTTTTACTCTCTCACTGAATAATCCATGATGGACTGGAGAATCTCAATGATTGGTTCACCATACTCTGGCAGAAATTCCTACTGACTGCCATATAGGTAGGGCTTGACTAAGAAACTCTTGGTAACCAATGCAGACTCAGACCTCTTGAAAAAAAAACAGCAGGGCCAAGCTGGATAAAAGCCAAAATTACTATGTTTGCCAGATTACACTATCAGGTTTTGTAGAACAGCTAGGACTCTCATATACCTAAAGATAGTGAAAAGATGTATAGAGATTGCTGAGGTTGGAAATATATGTTGAGTTTAATCTAACACTGTAATCTACAATGGCCTTTCAATGAAGGTTTAAGGAATTTGGAATCTGTTCTGCAGGCAGAAGGGAAAGTACTGATGATTTTGAGCAGTGACAGTAGGATCAGATGCATGCTTTAAAAGGTCCAGAAGTATAAAGGGTATATGTATATTAGGGCTGGAGTGGCTGGAGGCTGGGAGACAAACTTATTGCAAGACTCCACATAAGATCATATTTACCTCACTGAGTCCTGTCCTCAGGTAAATACTGTTAATTAAAAGGGTTTCACCATTTACAGAGCTTTCAGATTATTTATCCTTAATATTATTATCCCCACATGTGCTCATGAGCAAGCCTCTCAGGATCTTCTGCTCCAGTCTTGTGACGGTAGCATGTTCCTGCTTCTGGTGGTGCTAAACCCTGGGCAATCATCTCTCCTAGGAACAGCTGTTCTTCATGGGTGACTGCTGTGAAACCAACAGGATGGCCTCTTTTCTATTTAATCCTAAGAGTGGGCATAAGGTAAGCGTTTACAAGATTTTACTGAAAGTTTTGGAATGTAAGAAGGAAAATGCTACACTGAATATAATTACAACTATTCAGGCACAGACGCATCCCAGAGTCTCCTACCAAGTTGACTCTCCTGTCTGTCTTCCTTTTCTGCCTTCACTTGGCTTCAGACAGCTCACCTTCCAACCACTGGAAGTGTTTATAGCATCTCCACATCTGTCCACAAGGTGGAGTTCAAGGCCAAATTTTTCACCAGCTCCAGATACTGAAAGGAGTACTTTTTCTTCATTCATAGTCAAGGTAAGGCCTGCCTCCTAGGTCTTCATTTCCTGTTCATACATTGAATCTGACAGTGGCAACATATTCCCTTTGGAGGAAATTCTGTCTAGGCCTAAAGCAGTGTGGTCTAGCTTTATGGTTTGATTAAAGACAATCACACAATGTCCCATATATTTCCTACATCACATGTAGGCCATCAACAGTCTGATCAAGGTTTGGCTATGTCAAGTCCAACACAGCTCCTAGGTATCAAATGATCATAAACTCTGGAGGTTCACTCTCACTCATGGCACCTGTCTTAGCCTATTTTCTGTTGCTTATAACAAAATACCTGAAAATTTATTTAAAAAAATAAAATGTATTTCTTACAGTTCTGGAGGCTGGGAAGTTCAAGATTGAGGGGCCACATCTGGTGAGGGCCTTCTTGATGGTAGAAACTCTCTGCAGTCCTGAGGTAGCACAGGGCATCACATGGCAAGGGGACTAAGTATGCTAACATGGTAGCTTAGGTCTCTCTTTCTCTTCTTATAAAACCACCAGTTCTACTTCCATGATAATCTGTCAGTGGATTAATCCATTCACAAGGGCAGAACCCTCATGTTCCAATCACCTGTTAAAGGCCATACCTCTGAATACTGCCACATTGGAGATTAAGTTTCAACATAAGTTTTGGAGGGAATATTCAAACCATAGAAGTTCCTTTCTGTGTATTTTTATGCATGCATGTACACATGTGTGTAGAGACACAGAGAGGACCAGAGAGGCAGAAAACGCATATATACACCTGTACATTAAATCCATCTATGTGCACATATACGAAGTTGTAGAAATAGAACCATAGTATATATCCTCCTCTATAAATTTTTCCACTTAATAGAACGTGAACATGTTTGTAGGTTCTTATATGCAGAGTTACTTCTTTGTATAGTATTCCATTGTGTGAATAAAGCATAATTTATTTAGCAAATCCTTGTTGATATATATTGGGACAGTTTCCAAAATGTGGTTATTATGAACAATGCCACCAAGAACATTGTCATACACATTTATTGTGTACTTATGCATGAATTTCAATAGTGACACGTTAATTCAAATATTTATTTCTTATCTTTCCAGGTAAAATATTGGGTAGGTCCTTTGGAGTTCTAGACTCAGTTTGAGATTACAGAAGATATGCTCAACATCCTCCTTTGACCTGGTCCCAGTTTCACCATATTTGCTAGATGCTTTATAGTCTCTGGTAAGGAGGTGTACAATTCTCTGATTTTATTTCAGTTTTTAGGGAATTTTATTTTGTTCATTTCAACAAGAAAAATTACATAAACAGGTAACAGCTCCACTCAAAGCTGTTTTAAATGAACAAAATATTGGACTTTGTGAACAAATATGATACTTTTTCTTTCTGCAATTATTGGCTAGCAATCTTATTTTACTAAATCTATACTGACAAATTTAATTTGGTCCATTTATTTGAGTTTAAAGACTATTTCAAACTCTCCCCAGTGAAACAGTCATGGGCCATTGCTATCCTCAAAAGAACTAAATATATAAATAGCAGCTTTCCTCAAAAAAGATGATAAAGTCTTCTTTTCCCTTTAGAGCATAAATTTCAGTGGCAGGTAAAACTATTTTAGCAACAATATGCTCACTTCTTCCATGATATGTTTTTCTTCCCTACTAAGTTGAAAGTTTTTCTCAGTTTCCATAGCCACTCACAAGTTTTTCTCTACCTAACTGAAGTTGCCCTCTTCTGCTGGTCATTAGGACATTAACTTTTAGAATGATTTCTGTTTCAGCCTCTTGTTTTGAAGGCAGGCTTTTAATTTCCTCAGAGAAATTGCAATGGAACGAAAATTTGTTCTCTCTTTTACATATGTACACTTGTATAAGAGATGTAATGTTTTTAAATAAAATTTTTAATTCATGCAAAAGCATGTCTCTAACAGTGTGAAGGTTATAAAGATTAATAATAGTAGAAATATCCCTGTACCAATCACACAGAATAATTCTAGTCAGATACAGTTTTTGTAAGGACAAAAAAGAAAATAGATCTAAAAAGGTAAATAAGAGAGATCATTGCATAGTCCTTTACAGTTTAACAAAGGTTGTTTAGAAAGGACCCGCTCCATACTTATCCGATTCTCCATTTTCCACTGAATTTCCTTTCCAAACAATGTGCAGTATTCTCAATATCTATCAAAATTCCATAAAAGTTATGACTGCCAATTTATACAAACTGTCCACCAAGATGTTTTCTCCCAAACGTCGCATTCTGGAGCCAAGCCATTAAAGACTTGGACTGTGACACAGTTTTCATTATGAGAACCATACACATTGGTGTAATTACCCTCACCTCCCATTTACTACCCTATAAAGGGAATCCCTATGGCCTTAGGCTTACACACACATCTAGGAGCTCTAAGGACCAGGAAAAGTTAAAAGTGGACCAACCACTCAATAAGGTGGCTCTTCAGACCCTTCAGTGCCTACCACGAGGGGGAACAATTCCACAGGAAATGGCTTAGGCAGAGTCATCCCAAACCTAAGCTGCCTCTACTGGCTAGAAATCAACTGTGGAGTTCCAACCAACAGTAACCAGCCAGCCGTACCCCAGGCTTTCATTCTCATAAAAGACTAAACTACTGTAAACCCAAAATAAAATTCTAAGGCCCCCCCAACCATCTGAATGGACATCCTCCTCTGCCAGGGCACTCTAAAATTTAACCTGAAAGACTGGTTCAGGATATGGCAGAAAGTGGGGGGATCGGACCTACCTCATTATACCCTCCAACATTAACATAAACACAGACCTTAAATATGATAAGAAACATTCTAATGTATTCTCTCTGAAGCCATCTACCTGGAGGCACCATCAGGATGATGAAACTTTGGTGTCTACAACCTCTTACTATAACCCAGACATCGCATTTTATTGATAATAACCAGTTGCCAATCAGAAAATTTTTAAATCTACCTATAAATTGAAAGCACCCCCCCTTCCAGTTGTCCTGCC